>NC_000024.10:6944045-7244455 GCF_000001405.40 Homo sapiens | reverse complement strand
TCAGATATCTTAAGACTTATTCATTACAATGAGAACAGTGTAGGAGAAACTGCCTCCATGATTCAGTTATCTCCCACTGGCTTCCTCCCCCAACACACAGGAATTATGGGAACTACAATTCCAGATGAGATTTTAGTAGGGATACAGCCAAACCATATCAATGGGAAACAATCCAAATGTTCATGATTTTTAAAAAATGTGGGATATTCAGACCATGAAGTAATATGCAGCAAAGAACAAGCGTGGAATACAGCTACCACTTCAGTGGCATAATTCTCAGAAACAATGTCAAAGGAAATAGACAGCTTGAAAAAACAAAACTCCATGCAATGTCACAATGTTTATACAAAGACCAAAAACAAACAAAGTGGGGAAATACAAATTAAAACAACAATGAGATACCAATACACATCTGTGAGAATGGCCAAAAGCCAGAACACTGACATCACCAAAGGCTGGTATGGTCCTGGAGCAACAGGAATGCCCATTCATGGCTGGTGGGAATGTAAAATGGTGCAGTCACTTTGGAAGACAGTTCAGCAGTTTCTTACAAAACTAAATATGTCCTGGCATATGATCCAGCAATCACTCTCAATGGTTACCCAAAAAAGTTGAAAACTTGTGTCCATACGAAAACTGGCACATGGATGTTTACAACAGCCTTGTTTATCATCGTCAAAACTTAGAGGCAAGGAAGACATCTTTCAGTAGGTGAATAGACAAATAGACCGCTATGCATCCAGGTAATGGAATATCATTCAGCACTAAAAATAAATGAGTAAGATGGCAGCAAGAATGAGAAAAAATATAATAAAAAAATAAATAAATAAGGGTTAGATGTGGTGGCTTGTGCCTGTAGTGCCAGCACTTTGGGAGGCCAAGGGACAATCCCTTAAGCCCAGGAATTAAAGATTAGCCTGGGCAACATAGTGAGATCCTGTTTTTACAAAAAATTTAAAAATTAGCTGGTTGTGGTAGTGTGTACCTGTAGTCCCAGCTACTGAGGAGGCTGAGATAAGAGGATTGCTTAAGTGTAGGAGGTCAAGGCTGCAGTGAGCTATTATTCCACCACTACACTCCAGCCTGGCCAATGGAGCGAGACTCTGTGGAAAGAAAGAAGGAAAGAAGGAAAGGAAGGAAGGAACGAAGGGAGGGAGGAAGGGAAGGAAGGAAAGAAATGAGCTATAAGTCAGACATTACTAAGTGAAAGGAGACAATCTGAAAAGGCTACATGCAATTCTAACTGCAGAACATTCCAGAAAAGGCAAAACTAAGGAGACAGTAAAAAGATCAGTGGTTGCCAGGATGTAGGAATGAATAGGCGCAGTATAGAGGATTTTTAGTGTAGTGAAACTCCTCTGTGTGACACTATAATGGTATATCCATGCTATTATACATTTATCCAAACCCACAGAATGTCCGCCACCAAGCGTGAACCCGAAGGTTAACGATGGGCTCTGGTGTCAATGATGTGTCAATGCCGGTTCATCAGCTGCTACAGACAGCAGGGGAGGTGATGCATGTTCAGGGTAGGGGGTCCATGGAACTCTCTGTACCTTCCTCTCAATTTTGCTGTCAATCTAAAACTGCTCTAAAAAATAAAATCTATTAAAAAAAACACACAGGCTGGGAGTGGTGGCTCATGACTATAATGCCAGTACTTTGCGAAGCTGAGGTGAGAGGATAACTTGGGTCCAGGAGCTCAAGAGTAGCCTGGGCTACATAATGACACCCTGTGTCTACAAAAATAAAAATAAAATTAGCCAGGTGTGGTGGCACGCACCTGTAATTCCAGCTACTCGGGAGGCTAAGGCAGGAGAATCACTTGAACCTGGGAGGTGGAAGTTGCAGTGAGCCGAGATTGAGTCACAACGCTCCAGCCTGGGTGACAGCAAGACTGTCTTAAAACAAAAAGTGATTCAAACAAGTGAAAAGATACTCAGCCTTACTCATGATGAATAAAATTAAAAAAAAAAAATGCTATGAGTATATAAAAATAAAAATATTATCCTGACATGGTGGTATTGCCTATAGTACCAGCTACTTGAGAGGTTAAAATGGGAGGATCGCTTGAGCCCAGGACTTTGAGGCTGCAGTGAGCCATGATTGCACCATTGTACTCCAGGCTGGGGAAGAGAGTAAGACCCTATCTCTAAAAAACAACACAAAACAAAAGCACACATGGACAACATAATATACAGTGTACAGATGAGACACATCACTAAACTATATATAAAATTGTTGAATAACAAATAGTTAACATAAATTTTTGTTTGAAAGAGGCACAGAAGACACTTTTAAGGTATGGGATGCATGTTTTGATCTAAATTGCACTGTACATGAGTGTTTGTTCTATTATTCTTGAACTGTACAAAATATGATATAGTCTTCCAAGCGTGAAAGGAAAAGAAAATAATTCTACTAGCTGATTTATTTACACTGTAGTGGTGGGACTTTTTCAGCAATTTTGATATCACGTGATTGCATCAAGAAGTTAATCAGAATTTCAGAACTGGAACAGACCAGGAACAGAAATATTCATGAAGAAAATACAGAATTACAGTTAGTGATAGGATAGTAGAGAACCAGCTTATTTTTTTTTTTCTTTTTACATTTCTCTCCCGTGGCCCCCTGGCTTTGTGAAGCAACACATACTATATACCAGTGGACATCTCTCAAAGGTGTTAACTTTGACCTTTCTCTACACAAGAACAAAACTAGACTTCATATCATGTGAAGCTAATTTAAAATATCTTGTCCTTTTAAGAATGAACCCACTTATTATTTGGTGTGTCCATTTATTTATTTATTTTTGAGACAGGGTCTTACTCTGTCACCCAGGCTGGAGTGCAGCCTGTACCTCCTGGGCACAGATGGTCCTCCCACTTCAGCCTCCTCAGTAGTTGAGACTACAGGCATGCACCACCACACCTGGCTATTTTAAAAATATTTCTGTAGAGATGAGGTCTTGCTATATTGTCCAGGCTGATCTTGAACTCTTGGGCTCAAGCAATGTACCCACTTCAGCCTCCCAAAATGCTGAGACTACAGATGTGAGCAACTGCACATGGCCATCCATTTTAATTATTTTCATGTATTAATGGAATAACCTAAAATTTAACTAATAACCAAAATAAGACATACTATCAGGTCTTGGTAAGAAATGATAGTCTTAGCTAGACACAGTGGCTCATGTTATAATCCCAGAAATTTAGGAGGCCAAGGTGGGAGGATTGCTTGAGCCCAGGAGTTTGAGACCAGCCTGGGCAATGTAATGACACCTCATCTTTACAAAAAATACAAAAATGAGCCAGGCATGGTGGCACATGACTGTAGTCCCACCTACTCAGCAGGTGGAGGTTCAAAGACATCTCGAGCAGGGAGGTCGAGGTGAGAGACAGAGAGAGAGAAAAGAAAGAGAGGAAGAGAGGAAATGAGAAAGGAAGGAAAGAAGGAAGAAAGGAAAGAGAAAAGAAAGAAAAAGAAAGAAAGAAAGAAAGGGAGAGAAAGGAAGAAAGAGAGAAGGAAAGAAACAAAAAAGAAAGAAAAGGAGAAAGGAAGGAAGAAAAGAAAAAGAAGGAAGGAAAAGGGAGGGAGAGAAGAAGGAAGGAAGCAAGCAAGGAAGGAAGGAAAAGACACAAGAGTCTTCAATATTAAAGCCAGTGCAGTACTTGCAATATAACATGATTTTCAAGTGGTACTTTAAAGACTTCCTTAATTCTTACTATTTCCTTGTAAAATCTCAGAGTCTAAAATGCATTTTATAGAGTAAAAGTTATAAAAAGTGAATTCATTTCTATACTATTCCCAACCAATCTAATCTTCTTTGTTCTGTCTGTATATATGTATATATACACATATATTATATATATATATATATACACTATATTCATATTTTTAAGTGTATATTTATATTTAGTCCTCTCAAGCACAAATTTGGATGTCATCTTTATCTTCCTCTTGTTTTTTACAAAGCAGAATTGGTCACCACATCCTCTTGACTTTGCTTTTATCAGCACCATCATGGTTGAGCCTTTTCTGTCTTTATCTGTGTCACACATCTCCTGCCCAGGACTGCTTCAGCCCATAACCACAGACTTAGCATACCCTTCCTGTAGCTTTCTCTTTAAAGTGTCAACCCCACCCTTCAAAGACAGCTTCCAGAATCTTTTTGTTTGTTTGTTTTTTTGAGATGGTGTCTCACTCTGTCACTCAGGCTGGAGTGCAATGACGTGAACTCGGCTCACTGCAAACTCCGCCTCTCAGGTTCAAGCGATTCTCTTACCTCAGCCTCCTGAGTAGCTGAGATTACAGGTACCCACCGCCACGCCCAGGTAGTTTTTGCATTTTTAGTAGAGACAGGGTTTCACCATGTTGGTCAGGCTGATCTCAAACTCCTGACGTTGTGATCCACCTGCCTCGGCCTTCTAAACTGCTGGGATTACAGGCACGAGCTACCACACCCGCCCCAGAATAATATTTCTTAGATATTACAGACTTCATCACGCAATGAATTTCTCAGAAAAGCTTTGTGGTTCTGTTGGTGAAAAATATAAAGCTGGGAGCTAAATGACAAGAACGCATGAATGCAAAGAAGGAGACAAGAGGAACTGGGCTCTATTTTGGGGGAGCGTGGGAGCAGAGAGAAGAGCAGAAAAGATAACTATTGGGTACTGGGCTTAATATCTGGGTGATGAAATAATCCATACAACAAACTCCTGTGACACATGTTTACCTATGTAACAAATCTTTCCATGTACCCCCAAACCTAAAATAAAAGGTAAATAAATAAATAAAGGAAAAATATAGAGCATGGGCCAGTTGTGGTGGCTCCTGCCTGTAATTCCAGCACTTTGAGAGTCCAAGATGGGCGGATTTCTTGAGATCAGGAGTTTGAGACCAGCCTGGGGTAAGATGGTGGGCCTCATCTCTAAAACAAATACAAAAAATAGCCAGATGTGGTGGAGCACACCTGTAGTCCCAGCTACTTGGGAGGGTGAGGTGGGAGGATTGCTTGAACCTGGGAGGTTGAAGCTGCAGTGAGCTGTAATCATGCCACTGTATTATTTCAGCCTAAGCAACAGAGTGAGACCGTATCTCATAAAAACTATATATAGGCTGTGCACAGTGGCTTACACCTGTAATCCCAGCACTTTGGGAGTCTGAGGTGGGCAGATCATGAGATCAGGAGATTCAGACCATCCTGGGTAACACACTGAAACCCCATCTCTACTAAAAATACAAAAAAATTAGCGAGGCATTGTGGCAGGTGCCTGTAGTCCCAGCTACTTGGGAGGCTGAGGCAGGAGAATGGTGTCAACCCAGGAGGCAGAGCTTACAGTTAGCTGAGATCATGCCACTGCACTCCAGCCTGGGCAACAGAGCGAGACTCCATCTCAAAAAAAAAAAAAATATTGGGCAACAGAGCGAGACTCCATCTCAAAATATATATATATATATATATATATATATATATATATATATAGAGAGAGAGAGAGAGAGAGAGAGAGAGAGCATCCCTGGTGTAGTGAACACTGTAGTGTGCTACTCAGTCCCTGCTATGAACATGAGTGAATATATACTGGTTTGTGTCTCACTGCTTTTATTTCTTTGGAGTACATATTTGGGAGTGTCATCCATGAATCTAGGTCTTTGCTTAGTCACCACTGATTAAAATTACAAGTAAGTTTGTCCAAGTTGTTGAGATGTGTTCATCTAGCTGAAAGGAGTAGGAGAATTCTTCTGCCAAGCACTGCTGTGCAGAGTTCCTGTCTCCAGCCCTGCCTGTGTCTGCACCTTGAGAGACACCTGCTGCCTCCCATTCCTGAATTTTTTTTTTTTTTAGACAGAGTTTCACTCTTGTTGCCCAGGTTGGAGTGAGTGTAATGGCACGATCTCGGCTCTCCACAACCTCCACCTATGGAGTTCAGGTGACTTTCCTACCTCAGCCTCCCATATAGCTCAGATTATAGGCATGCACCACCATGCCTGGCAAATTTTGTAGTAGAGATAGGGTTTCACCATGTTGGCCAGGGTGGTCTCGAACTCCTGACCTCAGGTGATCCACCGCCTCGGCTTCCCAAAGTGCTGGGATTACAGGCATGAGCCACTGAGCCTGGCCCCAATTCCTGAGATTTTTAAGAGTTCTGAGGGTTCTTGTTGGCTTCTCCTGTGTATTGCCATGAGTTCATTGCCTCTATCTCCCTCCTGCCTGCCATGACAGTAACTACTAGCTAGATTTTTTGTCCATTTGGGCTGGGGGGCTTATAGACCACAGATGTTTATTGCTCACAGTTCCAGAGGCTGGAGGTCCAGGATGAGGGTGTGGCAGATTCAGTGTCTGGTGGGGACCCACTTCCTGGTTCATGGACAGCACCATCTTACTGTGTCTTCACATGGTGGAAGGGTGAGGGAGTTCTCTGGGGCCCATTTTCTAAGGGAACTGATCCCTTTCATGAGTCTCCACCCTAACAACCTCATCACCTCCCTAAAGCTCCACCTCCTAACATCATGTCCTTGAGGATTAGCATTTCAACATAGGAATTTTGTGGGTCACACACATTCAGACCACAGCACCCACTTGCCTCCAAGCCTTCTAAAGGTCATCCTCATCTTTTGTCTGCTGTATTCTCACACATTCTCTTTGTCCTTTGTTTTCCTTATAATTCCAGCCTACATCCATTTTGAGGAGGGGTAAAAGGAGAAAAAGAGGGACAGACACCCATGTGCGCATGCATACACACACACACAAACATGCACACGCATGCACACAGACACACACACACACGGGGCAAAGATTAACAACTTTGTGAAATCTGCTATGTCTAACAGTAAGTCCTAGTTCTTCGTTTATAAGCCTGCATTTCCCATTAGGTGATATGACCTGGAAAGGAAAATATAATGTTTCCCTCAGCCTTTTCATTTCTGACTGTCAGCACACTGTCTCAAAACAGGAGCGATCAGAATGTGTTCATTAAGTAGGCACACATGGCTCATCAATGCCAATGTTAATTAGCATCTAGTGTCCAGGTATCGCTCCTACTGCTTAAACAAGCTGCATCAAAAATTAGAGAAATGAAACCAAACTTGCTTCTGTGTGTGAGAAAAGAGGGCATAAAAGGCTTGAAATGAGAATTTTTTTTTTTCTCTTTTTTTGAGACAGAGTCTTGCTTTGTTGCCCAGGCTGGAGTGCAATTGTGCGCAATCATGTCTCATTGCAGCCTTGATCTCCCAGGCTCAAGGGGAGTTCAGGGGGCTCACACCTCAGCCCCCTGAGTAGCTGGGTCCGTGGGTGCGCACCCCCACACCAGGTGAATTCTTTTTTTTTTTCTCTGAGGTGGCATCTAGCTCTGTCTCCCAGGCTGGAGTGCAGTGGCGCAATCTCGGCTCACTGCAACCTCTGCTTCACAGGTTCAAGTGATTCTCCTGCCTCAGCATACCGAGTAGCTGAGATTACAGGCACACACCACCACACCAAGCTAACTTTTATATTTTTAGTAGAGACAGGGTTTCACCATATTGGTCAGGCTGGTCTCGAACTCCCGACTTCATGATCCACCTGCCTCGGCCTCTCAAAGTGCTGAAATTACAGGTGTGAACCACTGTTCCTGACCTCTTTTTGTATTTTTAGTAGAGACACGGTTTTGCCATGTTGCCCAGGCTGGTCTCAAACTCTTGGACTCAAGAGATCTGCCCCTCTTGGCCTCTCAAAGTGCTGGGATTACAGTTGTGAGCCACTGCACCCAGCCTGAAATGAGAATGTTTTATTCAAGTATAGGAGAACCTCTAACTTTCTGGGTCCCCAGGAGATTGGGAGGAAAAAGGCTCGTGTTGTTGTGACATTTCAGTGTGTGAAGGGTGAAGAGAAAAGACTCTAGAATAGTGGGGGCTAGGGAGGTGGAGGGGGAAAGACACACACAGAGAGAGAGAGTGACAAAGAGAGAGAGAATGACAGTCATGCAAAAAGAGAGAGAGAGAGAAAACTAAGTGGGAGAAAGAATGAGAGAGAGAGAATGATAGTCATCCAAAAAGAGAGAGAGAGGGAGAGAGAGAGAGAGAGAAAGAGATCATGGGAGAGAGAATGAGAGAGAAAGAGAATGACGGAGTTATGCAAAAGAAGAGAGACAGAGAGAGTGGGAGGGAGAATGAGAGAAAGAGTGGGAGAGAGACAGAGAATGAAAAAAAAATAAGAGAAAGAAAGAGAGTGAGAGATAAAATGAAAGGCTGGGTGTCATGGCTCAAGCCTGTAGTCCTGGCATTTTGGGAAGCCAAGGTGGGTGGATCACTTGGGGTCAGGAGATTGAGACCAGCCTGGCCAACATGGTGAAACCCCATCTCTACTGAAAAATACAAAAAGGCTGGCTGTGGTAGCATGTGCCTGTAATCCCAGCTATTTGGGAGGCTGAAGCAGGAAAATCACCTGAACCCAGGAGGCAGTGGTTACAGTAAGCTGTGATCACACAACTGCACTCCAGGCTGGGCAACAGAACAAGACTCTGTAAAAAAACAAACAAAAAAAAAAAGAAAAAAGGAGAGAGAAAATGAGAGAGATAGATGCAAAACTTGGAGACATGAAAAGGGGATTGGATGTTGTCTTAGGCTCAGTAGCACTGGAAACTCAACATTAACAATGATGCCTTTGCTGTTTTGCAGGGAAGTGGCTAGGATTGCATACACAACCCAGCCATGCCACATGAGGGGCTGAGCATGAAGGCTGGAGCTCATGTAGCTGCAGAATGCCTTATAATGGTAACCCCCATGCACTCCTGCTGGTAATGTCTTAGAAAACTGGATTTGAGAAAATGAGGGCAATTTGAGCATGAGGAATTCAGGAACTGACATGGCTAACATGAAGAAATTTTGGGGGAATTTTCAGGATGACCATAAAAATAACATCCTGCACACAGTGAGTAGGGAGCTAGCCTTAACATTTTACAACCACAACCACATTTAATGCACATGACTATTATTATTCTCATTTTCCAACCAGTCATGGAAACTGAGCTGCAGAGAGGCAGACTTATCTGATTAGGATACCAGAAGAAGCAACCCAAGCTACAAACCCAGGCTGTTTGGAAATGGGATGTCCTAGGGACAATAGCTCTGGGGGTGTCTTAGAAAGCCTTGAGTTCAGGTTGGAGAAGGAAGTTGTAGGGTCCCAGGAGGCTGTGTTCACCATCATGATGTGACTACCTTAGGTGTTAACAGTGTTTGGAAGGGATTTTCAGTCTCATAATAAGTCTGTGAAAAGAATTTTAAAAGGCAAGCCATGAACAGGAAGCAAGCTTAGGAAATTCAAGAATATATACAAGGAAGGAATGTTAGGCACATCTCAATATTTAGATAACTCACATAATGTAAGCTTGAGTATTCATTTAGTAAACATTGGTGATGTAGCCATATCAGGAAGCTGAATAGAAAGAAAGTGTGTGTGTGTGTGTGTGTGTGTGTGTGTGTGTAGGCACTTGAGGAATAGTGATTGGGCAAAAAACCAAAAGCCATCATCCTACAAACAGAAAGTTAATAGATACCATCTAAAGTTAAGAAGCACAAGAAATTTCTGGACAAATACATTATTTTAAAATATAAAGTAGATCCCAGTAAAAAAAAATAGGATGGAACATTGAGGACAAGACATAAACTTGAGGTCCTGCTTCATCTTTTGAGCTTTGTATGTCTATCATTAGAGGCCAGTTGGCTGGGCGTGGTGGCTCACACCTGTAATTCCAGCACTTTGGGAGGCCAAGGCAGGCAGATTGTCTTAGGTCACCAGTTTGAGACCAATCTGGCCAACATGGTGAAACCCTGTCTCTACTAAAAATACAAAAAAATTAGCCGAGTGCGGTGGCATGTGCCTATAATCCCAGCTATTTGGGAGGCTGAGGCAGGGGAATTGCTTGAACCTGGGAGGTGGAGGTTGCAGTGAGCCAAAATCACATCACTGCACTCCAGTCTGGGTGACAGAGAGAGACTCCGTCTCAAAAAATAAAATAGAGGCCAGTCATGGTGGCTCTTGTCTGTAATCCCAGCATTTTAGAGGCTGAAGTAGGAGGATTCCCTGAAGCTAGAAGTTTGAGACCATTCTGGGCAACACAGTAAGATCCCTGTCTCTATAAAAAATTTAAAATTGGCTGGCCATGTTGGTATGTAGGTAATCAGCATAATACTGGATAGGCAGTTTTTCAATATTCATTCTCCTCCTACCCTAAACCCTCAAGTAGGCCCTAGTATCTATCGTACCCTTCTTTGTGTCCATGTGAACTAAATGTTTAGTTCCTAGTTAGAAGTGAGAACATGCAGTATTTGGCATTCAGATCCTGCCTGAATTTGCTTAGGATAATGGCCTCCAGCTGCATCCAGGTTGCTGCAAAGGATGTGATTTCCTTCTTTTTCATGGCTGCATAGTTTTCCATGGTGTGTATGTACCATGTTTCCTTTATACAATCTGTCATTTATGGGCATTTTGGTTGATTCCATGTCTTTGCTATTATGAATAGTGCTGCAGTGAACATACATGTACATGTGTCTTCATGGTAGAATGATTTATATTCCTTTGGGTATATACCCAGTAGTGAGATTTCGGGGTCAAATGGTGGTTATGTTTTAAGTCCTTTGGGAAATCTCCAGACTGTTTTCCACAGTGGCTGAACTAATTTATGCTCCCATCAACAGTCTATAAATGTCGTCTTTTCTCTGCAGCTTTGCCAGCATCTGATTTTTTTTTTAACTTTTAGTAACAGCTTAGAGGACAACTTTAAATTTAATTTTGAAATTTAGACTCTGACAGCATTCCATGTGTAAATGAATATTTGAAAGTTTTCTTGGTTGGGCTTGGTGGCTCATGCCTGTAATCCCAGCATTTTGGGAGACTGAGGCGGGTGGATTGCTTGAGCTCAGGAGTCTTGAGACAGCCTGGGCAACATGGTAAAACTCTGTGTCTACAAAAAATACAAAAATTAGCAGGGCATGGTGGTGTGTATCTCTGGTCCCAGCTAGTTGGGAGGCTGAGGTGGAAGGATCTCAGGAAGTCACAGCTGCAGTGAGCTATGATCACACCACCGCACTCCAGCCTGGGTGACAGAGCAAGACCTTGTCCCCTACCCCAAAAAGAGGTATCTTATCCACTTTAAATTTTGATTAAATAATTAAACAATACAGGTCGATTGATTTTTTTTCTATGTTGTCAAAAATAATAGCTGAGTTTGCTAGGTTAAAAAGAAGAAAGAATTGGCTGGGCGCAGTGGCTCACATCTGTAATCCCAGCACTTTGGGAAGCTGAGGCAGGCAGATCATGAGGTTAGGAGCTTGAGACCATCCTGTTTAACATAGTGAAACCCCATCTCTACTAAAAATACCAAAAAATTAGCCAAGCATGGTAGCAGGCACCTATAGTCCCAGCTACTCAGGAGGCTGAGGCAGGAGAATGGCATGAACCCGGGAGGAAGAGCTTGCAGTGAGCTGAGATCACACCATGGCACTCTAGCCTGGGTGACACAGTGAGACTCTGCCTCAAAAAAAAAAAAAAAAAAAAAAAAAAAAAAAAGGCAAGAATTTTTTTGAGAGCTTAGAATTGCCCGCTGGAGAGCTGAAAAGCAATGAGATAGACTTGTGTCATCACTGCTGATGGAAACTGCCTGTTCTTGGGAAGGTGGAGATGCAGGAAGAAACTAATGAGAGGCATTCTGTGGTCCTTGACCAAGGGCTGGAAGCATTACCCCCATAGAGAGCGGACTTCCACACAGAAGCTTGGTGATGTTGGCAGAATAATGTTACTGAAGGACATCCATACCCTAATCCCTGGAACTAGTGGCTACATTCCCTTACATAGTCAAAGGGACTTTGCAGATGTGACAAAGTTAAGGATATTGAGATTGGGGGATGATCGTGGATAATCCACATATGTCCAATGTCATCACAGGCATCCTTATAAGAGGGAAGTAGGAGGTCAGAGTCAGAGACGAAGACATGAGGATGGAAGCAGAGGTGGAATGATGTGCTTTGGAGATAAAGGAAGGGGCCGTGAGCCAAGGGATGTGGGTGGTTTCCAGAATATGGGAAAGCTAAGGAAATTAATTTTACCCCTAGAGCTTCCAGAAAGAACCAGTTTTGCCCACATCTTGGTTTCAGCCTATGATATGATGTGAATTTTTGTCCCCACCTGTATCAGTTCCTTCTCACACTGCTAATAAAGACATACCCAAGACTGGGTAATTCATAAAGGAAAGATGTTTAATTGACTCACAGGTCAGCATGGCTGGGGGCTTCAGGAAACTTACAATCATGGTGGAAGGGGAAGCCATCCTTCACGTGGCTACGGTCAGGAGAAGTGCAGAGTGAAGCGGGGCAAAGTCCCTTATAAAAGCATCAGATCTCATGAGAAGTCACTCGCTATCATGAGAACAGCACGGAGGTAACTGCCCCCATGATTCAATTACCTCCCACTGGTTCCCTCCCATGACACCTGGAGATTATGGGAACTACAGTTCAAGAAGAGATTTGGGTGGGGACACAGCCAAACCATATTGCCACCCAAGTCTGCTGTTGAATGGTAATCCGTGATGTTGGACGAGGGGCCTGGTGGCAGGTAGTTGAATCATAAGGGCAGACTTCCCCCTTTCTGTTATCATGATAGTGAATGAGTTCTCCCAAGATCTGATTGTTTAAAAGTGTGTGGCACCTCCACCTTTGCTCTCTTCTTCCTTCTCCAGCCATACAGAATGTGCCTCCTTCCTCTTCGCCTTCTGCCAGGATTGTACGTTTCCCTAGGCCTCCCCAGCCATGCCTCCTGTACAGCCTGCAGAATCATGAGTCAATTAAACCTCTTTTCTTTATAAATTACCCAGTCTCAGGTAGTTCTTCATAGCAATGTTAGAACAGCCTGTAAGACCCATTAAGAACTTCTGACTTACAGAAATATAAGAGTGCTATTGATTGTGTTAAGTCACTAATTGGGATGATGCCTCCCAATTTAAGCAATCCAATCTTGAATTGGGCTACAGCTGGTTTCCCTGTCATTGCCCCATTCAACAATGTAGATAAAGGAATTTTGGGGCCAGGAGCAGTGGCTTATGCCTATAATCCCGGCACTTTGGGAGGCTGAGGAAGGTGGATCACTTGAAGTCAGGAGTTTGAGACCAGCCTGGTCAACATGGTGAAATCCCATCTCTACTAAAAGTACAAAAATTACCCAGGTATGGTGGCAGGCAAGTGAAGTCCCAGCTACTTGGAAGGCTGAAGTAGGAGAATCACTTGAACTTGGGAGGCAGAGGATGAAGTCAGCTAAGATGGTGTCATTGCACTCCAGCCTGGGTGACCAAGCAAAACTCCATCTCAAACAAAACAAAACAGAAACAATGTAGATGTAGGAATTATAAATTATTCATCTTTTTCTTTTTTAGAGATGGGGTCTTGCTGTGTTGCCCAGGATAAGCTCAAACTCCTGGGGTCAAAAGATCCTCCTGCCTTGGTCTCCTGAATAGTTGGGACCAGTGCCTGGCTTGTAAATTATGCATTTCAATTAAAATACATTATTTTATTTATTATTTTCAATATTTCCATGCTCTTTTTTTCTCTATATTCTTTTTTTTTTTTTTTTACTTTAAAACACATTTATATTGACTTTTCTTTTTTTTTTGGAGACAGAGTCTTACTCTGTTGCCCAGGCTGGAGTGCAGTGGTGAGACCTTGGCTCACTGCAGCCTCTGCCTCAAGCATTCAAGCACTTCTGCCTCAGCCTCACGAGTAGCTGGGACTACAGGCACATGCCAGCATCCCTGGCTAATTTTTTTGTATTTTAGTAGAGACAGGGTTTCACCATGTTGCCCAGGCTGGTCTCGAACTCCTGAGCTCAGGCAATCCACCTGCCTCGGCCTCCCAAAGTGCTGGATTACAGGCATGAGCCACTGTTTCCAGCTAGCATAATCTTTTTTAATTGACAAATCAAATATTATATGTATTTATGATGTTGTGATACATATATCTATTGTGGAATGGCTAAATTGAGCTAATTAACATTCCCTAACACAGTTATGTTTACGTGGTGAGAACACTTAAAATCTACTCTCTTAGTAATTTTCATTTAACGGTGAATGTCTTCACCGTTTGCCAACAATACAATATATTGTTATGTACTGTGGTCATCATGCTGTAAAATAGATCTATTGAATTTATGCATCCTGTCTAACTGATGTTTTGTGTTTTTGTGTGTGTCTGTGTGTGCGTGTTTAACAAATATGGGGTCTCACTCTGTTGCCCAGGCTGGAGTGTAGTGGTGTGATCATGGCTCACTGTAGCCTTGAAATCCTGGGCTCGAGAGATTCTCCTGCCTCAGTCTTCCAAATAGCTGGGACCACAGGTGGGCAGCACTATGCCCAGCTAATTAAAATTTGCTTTTTTTGACAGAGGTAGGATCTCACTATGCTGCCCAGTTTCATTTTTTTGTCATTGACCAATATCTTCAGTGAATATATTTGCTATTTGATTATATGTGGCAGGATATTGCTCTGTTTGACTAGCTCTCTGAGGGTGGTTAGTGTGACCCACCATAGATGCTCAGTGAATACGTCTTCATGAGTTCAGTTATATTTGAAGGTGGGTGATGATAAAGATGGGACTTAATACCCCATTTCTGACATAATATTGGACATCTTTGGAAGGAACTTTGGGAGGCAGCTCATTGTAACAAGAAGATGTACTTGCAAGAAGATAGGATATGGTCCGATTAGAGGAATGCAAATCAAAACCACAATGAGAGACCATCTCACGCCAGTCAGAATGGCAATTATTAAAAAGTGAAAAACAAACAGAAGCTGGTGAGGTTGCAGAGAAAAAGGAAGGCTTTTACACTATTGGTGGGAGTGTAAATTAGTTCAACCATTGTGGGAGAGTGTGGTGATTTCTCAAAGATCTAGAGGCAAAACTATCATTTAACCCACCAATCCTATTGCTGGGTATATACTCAAAGGACTATAAATTACTCTATTATAAAGATACATAGACGTGTATGTTCACTGCAGCATTATTCATGATAGCAACAACACGGGATCAACCCAAATGACCATCAGTGGTAGACTGGATAGAGAAAATGTGGTCCATAGACACCATGGAATACTATGCAGCCATAAAAAGGAGTGAGATTATGTCCTTTGCAGGAACGTGGATGAAGCTGGAAGCTGTTATCCTCAGGAAACTAACACAGGAAGAGAAAACCAAACACTGCATGTTCTCACTTATAATTGGGAGCTGAACGATGAGAACACATGGACACATTGTGGGGAAGAGCACACTCTGGGGCCTGTTGTAAGGGGGCGCAGGGGGAAGGAGAGCATCAGGAAGAATAGCTAATGGATGCCAGGCTCAATACCTGGGTAATGAAATGTACATGAAAACCATAATGAGTTGTTATCTCATGCCAGTCGGAATGGCGATTATTAAAAAGTGAAAAACAACAAAGCAGCATGGCCCACGTTTGCCTATGAAACAACCTGCACAGCCTGCACTGATACCCCCGGACTTAAAATAAAAGTTGAAGGAAAAAGAAAAAGCATATGGTTTGACTACCTGGGGCCACTTTCTAGTTGACGTGATATTATCCACAGTAATTCACTTGGCTGGGTCTCAGAATTTTTGCCTGATGAGGTAACAGTGGTTACTTCAGAGAGTTTTGGGGGAAAAAGCATATAGGCTACTGTGATAGGTAGAATAATGGCTCCCCAAAGATGTCCACATCTGAATCCCTGGAACCTGGGAACAGCTGATCTTGCACGGTCAGGAGGACTTTGCAGATGAGATGAGGTTAAGGATCTTGAGATGGGAGATGCCCCTGGATGACCCAGGTTGGCCCTAAATGCCGTCACAGGCTCCTTCTAAGAGGGAGGCAGGAGGGTCCAAGTTGGAGAAGGAGACATGAAAATGGAAGCTGAGATGCGAGTGAGGGAGAGCCATGAGCTTGGAAATGCTGGAAACTAAAAAAGGCAGGAAACGGATCCTCCCCACAGCCTCCAGAAAGAACCAGCACTCCTGGGTTTTGTAAGAGACAGAATCTCTCTCTGTCACCCAGGCTGGAGTACAGTGCTACAATCACGGCTCACTGCAGCCTTGAGCTCCTGGGCTCAAGCGATCCTTCCACCTCACCCTCCCAAGTAGCTGGGACTACAGGCAGGCACCAACATACCCAGCTAATTTTTGGTACTTTTTGTAGACAGGGAGTCTTGCTATAGTGTCCAGGCTGGTGTTGAACTCCTGGCCTCAAGCAATCCTCCTGCCTCAGCCTCCCAAAGTGCTGAGATTACAGGTGTCAGCCACTGTACCCAGTCAACACCTTAATTTTAACTCCATGAACCTTGTGTAGGGCTTCTGACCTCCAAAACTATAATACATTTGTTAGTGTTAGGCACATACGTTTGTGGTGATTTTTTTTACAGCAGCGTTACAAAACTAACATGGATTTCATTTTGGAATTTGGGAAAAGCTACTTATTGCCTAATGTAGACAAGCTACTTAATAAATCGTAGTTCACCCCCTTCCCTCCCTTCCTTCTTTCTTTTTGAAAGACAAACTCACTTATGTATTACAGGACTCTGAAAATTACTGATGATAGATCCTGCGGGAAAAAAATGATGGGGTTATATAAATAATAAGCTAGTTATTTTCTTAATAACCTACTTATTTCTTAATAAATGGGGGATAGTTCCCCCCCACAAGTCTTTCCCTCCCTTCTTTCTTTTTGAAAGACAAACTCACCTATGTATTATAGGACTTTGCATATTACTAATAATAGATCTCTGGGAAAAAATGATGATGGTTATATAAATAATAACCTACTTATTTTCTTCTCATCTTGTTGCCAAGTATAATAAATCAACCTTGAAGTGCAAATGCATGAGAAGCATGATTTTCATGCTGATTCATGATTAGCATGCTTTTCTGGTGCTTAGTAATTTTAAAGCATTTCACTCTGTTTATCCCAAAGACAAACTCACTAATATCGTCAGAAAGAACTACATGCTTTTATTCTCCTCCTTTCAGCTAAATCCACTGAGGTATTTGCCTGACAGTTTTGGGGTGGTGCAATATCAGTTCACTGCAACCTCTGCCTCCTGGGTTCAAGCGATTCTCCCACCTCAGCCTCCCAAGTAGCTGGGATTATATCTTAGTAGACAGGGTTTCCATGTTGCCCAGGCTGATCTTCAACTCCTGGCCTTAGTTTATCCACCTGCTCTGGTCTCCCAAAGTGCTGGGATTACAGGTGTGAGCCACTGCACCCAGCCTATTAATTTTTATTTATTTATTTTTATTTTTATTTTTTGAAACAGAGTCTTTCTCTGTCACCCAGACTGGAGTCCAGTGGCATGCTCTTGGCTCACTGCAAACTCCGCCTCCCAGGTTCAAGAGATTCTCCTGCCTCAGCCTCCCAAGTAGCTGGGTACAGGTGTGCGCCAGCAAGCCCAGTTAATTTTTGTATTTTTAGTAGAGGTGGGATTTCACCAGGCTGGTCTCAAACTCCTGACCTCAGGTGATCCAGCCACGACAGCCTCCTAAAGTGTTGAGATTATAGGCATGAGTCACCACACACGGCCTTATTAATTTTTTTTTTTTTTTTGAGACAGAGTCTCGCTTGTCGCTCAGGCTGGAGTGCAGTGGCATGATCTTGGCTCACTGCAAGATCCACCTCCCAGGTTCAAGCAATTCTCCTGCCTCAGTCTCCTGAGTAGCTGGGATTACAGGTGCCTGCCACCATGCCCAACTAATTTTTGTATTTTTTGGTAGAGACAGGGTTTCACCATGTTCGTCAGGCTGGTCTTGAACTCCTGACCCCAAGTTATCTGCCTGCCTCAGCCTCCTAAAGTGGCAGGATTACAGGTGTGAACCACCACACCCAGTCCCTATTAATTTTTAATATAACCTGGTTGGTGGGAATTAATGACTTCAAGATAAGAAGCATAAAAATTTGGTGGGGCATGGTGGCTCATGTCTGTAATCCCAGCACTATGGGAGGCTGAGGTGGGTGGATCATGAGGTCAGGAGTTCAAGGCCAGCTTGGCCAAGATGGTGAAACCCCATGTCTACTAAAAATACAAAAAATAGCCAGGCATGGTGGCAGGCATGCCTGTAATCCCAGCTACTCCGGAAGCCGAGGCAGAGAATCGCTTGAACCCAGGAGGCAGAGGTTACAGTGAGCTGAGATCATGCCGCTGCTCTCCAGCCTGGGCAACAGAGCGAGACTCCATCTCCCAAAATAACCAAAAAAAGAAGCACAAAAATTTAGACAGCCTTGGAAATGTCATCATGATTCCCTGCATTGGATATATTGAGTGTGGCCAGGTCTGTAGCCTTATTTTGGATGAATTCTGGGTTGAAGTCCAGCTGAATGGACTCAAGTCATTTTCCCATTTAAGGAATTCCTAGTCCCATAGAGACATTAGTCCCTGCGAATTTCGTGCCATCTTTTGCTATTGTTCTTTTTTCTGCTTTTTTATCTTGCTTATGTGATTGTGCCTCAGGCAGGTTTGTATGTCCCTCCACTCTTTCCCCCAAGATCCTTGCTATTTGATGCCCCAGGCTAAACTTTAAAAAACTGTGGTAAAATGTATGTCACATAAAACTTTCCAATTAAATTATTTTTAACTGTACAATTTGGTAGTATTAAGTGCATTTACATTGTTGTGCAACTATCACCATGATCTATTTCCAAAACGCTTTCTTCACCCCAAACAAGAAATGTGTAGCTATTAAGTAATAATTTTTCATTTTCCCTCCCCACCAGCCCCTGACAACAACGATTCTACACTCTGTCTCCAAGTATTTGACTCCTCAAGGGACTTCGTGTAAGTGGAATCATATATTATTTGTCTTTTCATGACGGGCTTGTTTCACTTAGAATAGTGTCCTCAAGATTTATCTATATTATAGCATATGTCAGAATTTTCTCCCTTGAAGGCTGAATAATATTTCATTGTATTCATATACTACATTTTACTTATTTATTCATCTATGGACATTTGGGATTCTTCCATCTTTTGGCTACTGTGAGTAATCCTGCTATGAACACATACAAATATCTCTTTGAGATCTTGCTTTCAATATTTGTGGGTATATACCGAGAAGTGGAATTGCTGGATTAGATGGTAATTCTATTTTCAATTGTTTTAGGGAACTATTAATACTATACTTCCCTAGGCAGGGCTTTGCCTGTGTCCAGTAGTTGCTCCAATACAGCCTCATTCTTTTTTTTTTTTTTCTGAGATGGAGTCTCTCTCTGTCACTAGGCTGGAGTGCAGTGCTGTGATATTAGCTCACTGCAACCTCTGCCTCCCAGGTTCAAACGATTCTCCTGCCTCAGCCTCCTGAGTGGCTGGGACTACAGGCACATGCCACCACGCCGAGCTAATTTCTGTATTTTTAGTAGAGACGGGGTTTCACCATGTTGGCCAACATGGTCTTGAACTCCTGATTTGTGATTTGCCCGCCTCGGCCTCCCAAAGTGTGAGCCACTGTGCCTGGCCAATGTGGCCTCATTCTTATGAATCTTTTCTGTGTCCTGGTTCCAGCCTGCTGTGCTTGATCAAGGAGAGGACCATTTTCTATACAGATTATCAAGAATTTTCTTAGAACCATCACCAAGGACTATAATGAATAAATTGAGATGGATGCATGCATGGTAGACAGATGGATGAAAGATGAAGGATGGATGGATATATAAAATATGGATGAATTGATGGTAGATAACAGGTGAATGGATAGATGGGTGATGGATGGTATGATAGATAGATGAATAGATACTGAATTGATGGATCTAGGATAGATGAGTGAATAGGTAATAAACAGGTGGATTGATTGATGTATACATAAAAGGATGACAGAAGCCAGGCATGGTGGCTCACACCAGTAATCCCAGTACTTTAGGAGGCCAAGGTGGGCAGATCACCTGAGGTCAGGTGTTCGAGACCAGGCTGCTCAACATGGTGAAAGCCCATCTCTACTAAAAATACAAAAATTAGTGGGGCATGGTGGCATACGCCTGTAATTCCATCTACTCAGGAGGCTGAGGCAGGAGAATTGCTTGAACCTTGGAGGCGCAGGTTGCAGTGAGCTGAGATCATGCCACTGCACTCCAGCCTGGGTGACAGAGTGAAACTCTGTTTCAAAGTAAATTAATTAATTAAATAATTAATTAATTAAAATAAAATAAAAGGAAGACAGATGGATGTATGGATGGAATGGATGACGGAAGATGGATGGATGGATGGATGGATGGATGGATGAATGGATGGATGAATGGATAGATGGATGAATACACAGATGGATGTTAGGTGAATGAATGGATGGATGAATATAAACATGGAACATGGATGGCCTCTTGGACAATCAACCAGAATTCTAAAAATTCCTGGTCTGGCCCTTACGCTAATATTTTTCCCCATGTAATTAATTTAGGCGCAGTTTGTGTCTAAATTGCGATGTTGGACAAGGCTGTTTAGAAAACTGTGTGTTTGTGTATGTGCATGTTCATAAGGAACATTTGTGTGCCAATGTTGGCTGGGCCCCTGGCACCTTGAGATAAAATTGTCTCAAGCTCCTATTTTTACTTCTCATGAAAATTCAAATCTGTTTCCCAATTTCTGTGACTTCCTTGGAGGCTGGAAGGAACATTACCTTCTTATAGAAGCCCTGTACTCTGGAATTCTGCTTCCACACACACACCCCAGAATCTGTAATGAAAGCCAACCTCTTCTGCAACTTTCAAGCAAACACACCACACTGATGCAGCCTTCCCAGTGTAGCATAACAGACATAGCAAAATACAGTGGTGAGAGAGAAAGCAGAGAATGAGTTTAAAATGCGTTATCCTGTTTCCCACCCCTCTTTGGCTCCCTGGAATTTCCTTCTTGCTCTTCCTTCACTGATTCTGAAAATTCATCCAGCCCTCTCCAGCTTCTGCTCCCAAAACACACATTCAGCCCACTGGGGTATGCAGTGGAACATCAAGGTTTCCATTCAAGTTGATTCTCTCTTCTTCAAAGGTAGTTGTGGTTCTAAAAGCGGCATTCTTCTTTTTCCTATTTTCTGTGTGTGTCTCCAATAGACTCACTGTTAAGCAAATTAGCCTTAAAATCAAATTGAGGCTGGGCATGGTGGCTCATGCCTGTAATCCCAGCACTTTAGGAGACTGAGGTAGGAGGATTGCCTGAGGCAAGCAGTCTGAGACCAGCAGGGAAGCATAGTGAGACTCTGTCTCTACAAAAAATTACGAAATAAAAAGTTAGCCTGACATGGTGATGCACACCTGTAGTCTCAGCTACTTGGAGGCTGAGGTGGGAGGATCACTTGAACCCAGGAGGTTGAGGGTACAGTGAGCTGTGATTGTCCCACTGTGCTTCAGTCTAGGCAACAGAACAAGAACCCGTCTCAAAACAGACAAAAAATCCAATTGACCTGGGGTTAGATTCTGGTCCTGAATCTCAGATGACTTTTGTGAAATCAAGACATTTTATGTAAAGGGTTTGTCATAATGTTTGGTATTTAATAACTAAGCAATGATAATTGTTACTTAATATCAATAATAATACATTTTCCTATGTTTCATACAGTGCCTGGTAATAATAAATAATGATACATTTTCTTATGTTTGCTATTTAGTAAATAATAGATAGTAATCTATTCATTATATTAATATGTTTATGTTTTATGTATTTTTTTTTTTTTGAGATGGTGTCTCACTCTGTCACCCAGACTGGAGTGCAGATACCATCTCAGCTCACTGCAACCTCCGCCTCTGGTTCAAGAATTCTCCTGCCGCAGCATCCCACATAGCTGGGATTACCAGCATGCGCCACCATGCCTGGCTAATTTTTTGTAATTTTAGTAGAGATGAGGTTTCACTGTGTTAGCCAGGATGGTCTCGATCTCCTGACCTCAAGATCCACCCACCTCAGCCTCCCAAAGTGCTGGGATTACAGGCATGAGCTACCGTGCACAGCCATTTTGTATATTTTTAATAGTTCCATATAAGCCAATGACGTTTGGCTGGGTGTTGCAGAATTAGGCACCATTTTTATAGGTGTCAAAATAAAGTCTTAAAAATTTATCCCTGTATTTGCAAATGAGTGTGAAGAGTCATGAACATTTTAGAAGATTACAAAATGTAATCTTCTAAAAGTGGACCGAGTCTGCTGATACTGAGATGAAGTGTGAGCTGCCTGGTACCTTGCTGTTTGAGAGAAGTTGTAACACCTAAATAGGTAGTCTACTTGGGTTTATGAACTATCTATCAATGATTCCATTTATAACTCCACTCTAGTCTGTTTCCCAATTTCTCAATTCCTTTAAAAAGCAGTCAGTTCCTTTAAGAAAAAAAAAAGAACAATTTTGTAAGCATTTCTATTTTTTAAGCTGATCTTCTTTCTCACTTGTCTGTGGTTGAGTCAAACTTGGAAGTTTCCTTTCTTTTTATTTGTTTTGTGTGTCTTTTGCCACCTTTCTCAGCCTCTCCCTGTCACAGATACTACAGCCCTTCTGCCTTTGAGTTCAGCCCTCACTGGGCCTGAGCCAATGCTAAGGATGTCTTCACCAGCTGGAAGAATCAGAGTTTGGGGCTGGGACATGTCAGTATCTGATGACCCAGAAATTCCTCATGCATACGTAGCTTGACAGTCTTCTCCCTAATTGTCACTGAACCAACCAATTTCCATGCCAGAAAAAGATGTCAGACTTGGCCCTTGGGACTCTCTCTTGGTGAAATTGATCTTGCTCTTGTACTTTGGCCCTCTGTTGCCTTCAACTATCTAAGTATAGCACTCAGCTGCTGACCTAATTGTGAATTTTGCACCAATTGCTAGCTCTTGCTGCTTTGCTTTGTGGAAATAAACAAAGACCAACAACATCAGAAGAAATTAAGGTTGTCCCTTCAGAGATTGCCATAGCAATGGGTTCAGCCACATCATCCATCTATGTTTCCATCCATCCATCCATTTTACATCTATTCATACATTCATGCATACATTATATATCCATCTATCAATCCACCCATCCATCCATCAATCCTTCATCCATCCATTATATATTTATACATCCACCCATTATATTTCTATTCATCCATCCATCTGTTCATTCATTCATCCATTCATTCATCCATTTGTCCACCTGTTATATACCCATCTATCCATCAATTTATACATTATCTATTTATCTATCCACTGATTTATTCATCATCCATCCATTCATACATTATCTATTCATCTGTCCATCATCCATCCATCCATCAGTACACCCACCATTCATTTATCCCTCCCTCCCTTCATCACCCAACCACTCACCCACACATCCATCCATCCATCCACTCACTCATCCATCCATTCATCCATCATCCATCCATTCATCCATTATACATTTATCAATTCATCAATCAATCATCCATCTATCCATTCATTCATCTATCCATCCATTCATCTATCCATTATTCATCTGTCAATCTGGCAATCTTTCTATCACTTATCCATCTACTATATATCCATTTTTCCATCCCTCTATTCATCCATCCATCATCAATCTATTTTCTAGTCATCCCTCCATAATTAATTTATACATCATCTATTCACTCATCATCCATCCATTCATTCATTTTCTGTTCATCCAGTCACCCATTATCTATGCATCCATCCATCCATCCATCCATCCTCTATCCATGATTCATTTATCTATCCATTCAATATCTATTCATCCATCTACCCACCTATTCATCTTCTAAAAAGCATTTGGCGGAGACTCACAGGCAGGCAGAGAAGCAGGACAGCTTCATAGTGGAGAAAAGGGGAGGCTTCAGGTGTGCCCTGACTGGAGGTGGCTGGCACAGGGAGATGTAGGAGGCTCACTACAGGCAGGACATTCCATGTTATTGGTTACAAGTGCATGTGTGGTAGTCTCTCGTTGGTCCTAATTTAGAAGTGGGACAAAAATTAGGAACGCTGTCAGTTATTAAACAAGTCCGGTCATTTGGGGCCAATGATTACAGGGGTCATTGTTTGGCTTCCTGGGCTGTTACTAGAGACAGTGTTCTGATTTACTTACCACAAGCAAGACTTGCAGCTAGTAGGCTGGCTTTTGGGACTGGTTACTACAGGCAGTGGATTGATTTCTAGGCTGGTTGCTGTAGATCTTGGGTCAGGATTCTCTATTTATACATGGCCTAGCCATTGTCTGTTTATATTTTCAGTGTCTCAGCCCCATGCAGCAGACTGTGTTCTGACATACCAGTACAAGACCTGGCATGGCTTCAGAGCTGGGCAAGCCTCTTTGGCCAGTGACCTCACCCAGAATTGCAAGTCCCCCTGAACCCAGATCTGCCCATCTCTACTTTTTATTTTTTATTTTTATTTTTATTTTTTATTTATTTATTTATTTATTTTGAGACTGAGTCTTGTTCTGTTGCCCAGGCTGGAGTGTGGTGGCACGATCTCAGCTCACTGCAAGCTCCACCTCCTGTGTTCACGCCATCCTCCTGCCTCAGCCTCCCAAGTAGCTGGGACTACAGGTGCCCACCACCACGCCTGGCTAATTTTCTTGTATTTTTAGTAGAGGCGGTGTTTCACCATGTTAGCCAGGATGGTCTCGATCTCCTGACCTCATGATCCACCTGCCTCGGCCTCCCAAAGTGCTGGGAGGATTACAGGCATGAGCCACCGTGCCCAGCCCCCATTTCTACTTTTTGTTTCTCTTTTCTGCACGCTTACCCTTGCAATTTCTGCAAAATCTGGGTCCAATTTATATCATTTAGCAGGGTTTGGCAAACTTTCTCTGTAAAGGCCTACATGCTAAGTATTCTTGGCTTTGCAGATCACACAGTCTCTGTAGCAAGAGGTCAACTCCGTTGAGGAAGCAGAAGACAGATACAGACTATACTTAAATGAACGGGAGCGCCTGTGTTCCCATAAAACTTTGTTTATAAAAAACAGACCCCTGCCTTATGTATCATTAGTACATAGTGTTGAATAGAGTTAGAGCCAGTTTAGATCTCAGAGTTGATGTTGTAGCATACAATATGGCAAAGGAAAGCACTTAAATTAGCTTACAAGTAGCTATAACTCCATATTAGCAAATGAGTTTGTTCAGTATGTCTGTTTCATGCTGTCATCATTTGGTTTTATTTTGTCTCTTATAATTCAGTGGCTATTACAGGAGGCTCTATATGTTTTTCTCATTGGCTTCAGAGAGAAAATAAAGACAAAAATCAACTTCTCTGTAGAGAGATGATGTCTCGATCCAGTTAGTTGAATGCAACAATTGAATTGAGAAGAAGTCAACAAACAGAAGTTACATATGAGAAAATATTTTCATTAAGGAGTGGGTCTCAAATTTTTAGTCTTGAGACCCCTTTACATCCTTGAAAATTATGAAGAACGCCATTTTTCAGGAGCCGTCTGACTGTTTTCCACAGTGGCTGTACAATCTTACATAACACTCTAGGAGGGTTCCAATTTCTCCACATGCTCACCAGCACTTGTTATTATCCGACCTTGACACTAGCTATCCTAGTGGGTATGAACTCAATCTGATGGTGGGTTTTTAAGAAAAATTTTAAATTCAGAGGGTATGTGGACAGGTTTGTTACATGGATATATTGCATGGTGCTGAGGTTTGGGCTTCTGTTGAGCCTGTCACCCACATAGTACTCAATGGTTAGTTTTTCAACCCTTGCTCCCCCTCCCCCCACTTCTAGGAGTCCCCAGAGTCTGCTTTCCCCATCTTTATGTCTGTAAGTACACAATGTTTAGCTCCCACTTATAAGTAAAAACATGCAGTATTTGATTTTCTGTTTCTGAATTAGTTTACTTAGAATAATGGCCTCCAGCTCCATCCATGTTGCTGCAAAGGGCATGATTTCATTCTTTTCTGTGGCTTTGTAATATTCTATGGTGTATATGTACCACATTTTCTTTATCCACTATTGATGGGAACCTGGGTTGATTTCACGTCTTTGCTACTGTGACTAGTACTGCTAGAAACATATGAGTACAGATGTCTTTTTGGTAAAATGATTACTTTTCCTTTAGATAGATACCCAGTCATGCAATTGCTGGACCAAGAGCTAGTTCTAGTTTGAGTTCTTTGGGAAGTCTCCAAACTGCTTTCTGCAAGGGCTGAAATAATTTACATTCCTACCAGTGGTGTGTAAGCATTCCGATGATGTCTTGAATTTGCATATCTTTGATGGCCAGTGATATTGACTATCTTTTCATGTGTTTATTGGTCACTCGTGTATTTTTGGAGGGATGTACAATTTAAATTGTTTACCCACTTATATTTTTATGTTTTATTTTTATTTTTTTCTGAAAGAATCTTGCTCTGTCACCCAGGCTGGAGTGCAGTGGCATGATCTTGGCTCACTGCAACCTCCTCCTACCAGGCTCAAGCAATTCTTATACCTCAGCCTCCCAAGTAGCTGGAATTACAGGGGCACACCACCACACCCAGCTAAATGTTTATATTTTTGTAGAGACAGGGCTTTCACCATGTTGGCAAGGCTGGTCCCAATCTCCTGACCTCAAGTAATTAACCCACCTCAGCCTCCCAAAATGTTGGGATTACAGGCATGTGCCACCGTACCTAGCCCTACCCACTTTTTTTTTTCTTGGAGAGACAGTCTCGCTCCATCACCCAGGCTGGAGTTCAGTCGTGTGATCTTGGCTCACTGCAACCTCTGCCTGTCAGATTCAAGCAATTCTCCTGTATCAGCCTACCTACTTGTGGAGACTACAGTCGCGTGCCCCTACACCTGGCTAATTTTTGTATTTTAGTGGAGACAGGGTTTTATCACATTGGCCAGGCTGGTCTGAAATTCCTGATCTCAAATGATGTGCCCGCCTGAGCCTCCCAAAGTGCTGGGATAACAGGCATGAGCCACTGCATTCGGCTCCCTACCCACTTGTAAATTGAATTTTAAAAGTAATTTTGTTTCTGAGTGAAAAGGATGATTTCTATATTATGTACACAAGTCTCTAATCGGGTAAATGATTTGCATTTTCTCCCACTATGGTTGTAATTTCCTTTCTTGATGGTGTCCTTTGAAACACAAAGGTTTAAGTTTTGATGAAGCAGGCCTCAACTGTATAACTGATTTTTTTTTTCAGCTATGATAAATGACATGAGAGGATTAAAGACAACTTTGCAACAAATGTTTTTCTTTGACTGAACTTGCTTGAACCTGCCCCAGACTGAAAGTCATGAGAAGATATAAAAAGCAGGCAATGTTTTCTACATTTTCCTTGTTTTAAAATGTTGGTATCACATGAACTATTAATTTCTTAGGTGTGGTCTCCCAGTTGACTGTCAATTATGAATCTCAGAGAGTTTTATCTTTGACACCATCTTGGTGGGTCATGAATTTGGTTTAATAGTGCCAGAGAGAATTAAGAGGCTTTAAAAAGGACCATAAATCACCAGTAAAAACAGTCAGCCCCTTAAAAACTGTATAATATACTTTTAGAAGTAGATGCTTTCCCCCAACCAAACAATGGCGGAGTATTTTGGAATGTGGTTAGGCAAGAGCTTATGCCATTCAAAAAACAACAACACTTTCTGCCAAATTCTTCAAAATGTCTGGAGTAGTATGCTTGCTTTGGGTTTGGAAAGTGGCAATTTGGCCTGAAAAATATACATTTGTATTGTAGCAAAAAACCTGCATTTGGCTGACGATGTGTAGAGATGAAGAAGATTGGTTTGGTATGTCTAATCATTTTAAACAAATACTGCTTATTATTCTTATTATTGTTATTTTAAAATTTTATCATTATTATTATTTTATTATAGAGACAGAGTTTCGCCATGTAGCCCACAGTGGTCTTAAACTCCTGGGTTCAAGCCATTTTTCACCTCTGCCTTCCAGAGTGCTGGGATTACAGACATGAGCCACTATGCCTGGCTATTACATTTTTAAAAATACGTTATTGGCCAGGCACAGTGGCTTATGTCTGTAATCCCAGCACTCTGGGAAGCTGAGGTGGGTGGATCACTTGAAGTCAGAAGTTCGAGAGCAGCCTTGCTAACATGGTGAAACCCTGTTGCCATTAAAAATACAAAAATTAGTCAGACATGGTGATGCGCACCTATAAATCCCCTACTCAGGAGGCTGAGGTGGGAGAATCGCTTGAACCTGGGAGGTAGAGGTTGCAGTGAGCAGAGGTCATGCCACTGACTGCACTCCAGCCTGGGCAATAGAGTGAGATTCTGTCTCAAAATATATATGTGTGTGTTTGTGTGTGTGTGTGTGTGAAAAAACAGTAAGTATTTATGAAATTTAGGGACATTTTGCTAAGCACATTTTCTTTTCTTTCTTCTTCTTTTTTTTTTTTGAGATGGAGTTTTGCTCTTCCACTGACGCTTGAGTGCAATGGGGCTATCTTGACTCATGGCAATCTCCGTGCCCTCAAGTTCAAGTGATTCTCCTGCCTCAGCCTCCCGCGTATCTGGGATTGCAGGCATGTGCCACCACACCCAGCTAGTTTTTGCATTTTTAGTATAGATGGGGTTTCACCCTGTTGGCCAGGCTGCTCTCAAACTCTTGACCTCATGATCCGCCCCCACTCTGCCTCCCAAAGTGCTGGGATTATAGGTGTGAGCCACTGTGCTGCCACATTTTCTTTTAAAGTTTATAAAGACTTTAATGTAAAACAAGCAAACAAACAAACAAAACCAGCCTGACCAACATGGTGAAACCCGTCTCTACTAAAAATACAAAAATTAGCTTGGCATGGTGGGGCATGGTGCCATGTGCCTGTAATTCCAGCTATCTAGGTGGCTGAGGCAGGAAAGTCACTTGAATCCGGGAGGCAGAGGTTGCAGTGAGCTGAGATTGTGCCACTGCACTCCAGCCTGGACCACAGAGCCTGACCCCATCTCAAAAAACAAACAAACAAACAAAAACAAGCGAATGGTATTTAGAAATACCAGCATTTGCAAAATCATAAATAACATAGTTGTCAAGAGATATCCCCTGTAAGGATGTCAATTTATTTTTAACACTGGCTTCAAACTTCAAGCATCTGTTAATTTCTGTGTCATGGCCATAAGCAGGAAAATGATAATTTGTAGGCAAAAGCAGAAAATCTCAAGCAGATGGGAATGTGCTCAAATATGTGACCTATCCAGAAGGATCACTCCATCAGCAGGATGAATTCCAGCCTGGCTCTTGCAGGAGACCCCTGAATCCCAGAGCCGAAATACGCAGTCACCAAGTGAGGTCACATGTGTGATTATTATTATTTTTATTATTTTTGAGACAGGTTCTCATTCATCTCCCAGGCTGGAGTGCTATGGAGCGAATGATGGCTCACGGCAGCCTCAGCCTCCGAGGGTCAAGTGATCCTCCTTATCTAGCCTCCTGAGTAGCTGGAACTAGGCGCGATGCCTACCTAAATTTTTAAATTTTTTTAGAGGCAGGGTCTCCCTATGTTCCCCAGGGTAATCTTGAACTACTGGGCTTCTGTCTCAGCTTTCCAAAGTTCTTGATTACAGGCGTGAGCCACCACACCCAGCCTACTATTATTATTATCATTATTATCATTGGTTTCACTAAAAATATAATGACTCCCTGAATTTTTTTAAAGGCAGAATCTCACTCTGTTGTCCGTGCTGGAGTGCAGTGGCCCGATCTCAGCTCACTGTAAACTTCGCCTCCCAGATTCAAGTGATTCTCCTGTCTCAGCCTCCTGAGTAGCTGGGATTAGAGGTGCATGCCACCATGACTGGCTAATTTTTGTATTTTTAGTAGAGACAGGATTTTGCCATGTTGGCCAGGCTGGTCGCTGGAGCTCCTGACCTTAAGTGATCCACTTGCCTTGGCCTCCCAAAGTGCTGGGATTACAGGTGTGAGCCACCGCAACTGGCCATCACTGCATTTTTTCAATCATCTATTTTTATTTGTTCCATAATGCTTATAAGGAAAGGAATTGTGCAGAGCACATGCAGTGGCAAGGTGAGTGGTTTTCCTTTTGTCTATTTTATTTAGTTAATTTTTTAGTGTTATTCTATTTTTCATTTTTTAAAAATTTTGTTTCAGCAGTTTTTGGAGAACAGGTAGTGTTTTATTTATGTGGATAAGTTCTTTCATGGTGTTAATCATTTCTGAGATTTTTCATGCACCTGTCACCCAAGTAGTATAAACTGTACTCAATTTGTAGTGTTTTACTCCCCACTCCCTTCCCTTGTTCCCCGCCAAGTCCCCAGAGTTCATTATATCACTCTTATGCCTGTGCATCCTCATGGCTTAGCTCCCAGTTATAAGTGAGAACATACTCACTTAATATCATGAATATTTGCCTTTCATGCCTGACTTACTTCGCTTAGAATAATGGCCTCCAAGTCCATCCAAGTTGCTGGAAGGGCCATTTATTCTATTTTTTAAATGAATAGGCTTTGCTTTTAGGGGCAGTTTCAGGTTTATTTAAAAGCTGAGCAGAAAGTCTAGGGTTCCCCTAGACCCACTTGCCTGTATATACAACAAAGTTTGCCCCATGATTGACACCTCGCATTAGTGTGGTACACGTGTTACAACTGATGAGCTGATAGTGGGACATTATCATTCACCAGAGTCCACAGTCTCCATGAGGGCTCACTCTTTGTGCTGTGCAGTTCTATGGGTTTTGATAAATAGAGACTGAGTTGTAGATATGGAATAGTATCTGCAGATACATCATACAGAATAGTTTCACTGCCCTCAAAATCCCCTATGCTTCCTGTGTTCCTCCTCCTCTCTCTCCCCCAGGACGCTGACAAACACTGATCTTTTTACTTCTTCTATAGTTTTGCCTTTTGTCTATTTTTAATTTTCAGTCTACATAAAAATATGACTGGGGTTGGGCATGGTGGCTCATGCCTGTAATCCCAGCACTTTGGGAGGCCGAGGCGGATCATGAGGTCAGGAGATCGAGACCATTGTGGCTAACATGGTGAAATCCCGTCTCTACTAAGAATACAAAAATTAGCCGGGTGTGGTGTCATGCGCCTGTAGTTCCAGCTACTCAGGAGGCTGAGGCAGGAGAATAGCTTGAACCTGGGAGGTGGAGCTTGCAGTGAGCCAAGATCGCACCACTGCACTCCAGCCTGGGCAACGGACCGAGATTCCATCTCAAAAAAAAAAAAAATGTATTTTTTTTGCAACAACAAAAAAGAAACCACTTTAAAACACAAATGAAATCCATGAAGAAAAAAAAGTAAGTCACTCACATCCCACTATCCTATTTCATCAGATTGAAATAGGGTAAGAATAAAATGTAAGACTGATAATCAATAATTTTTAGATTTTGGATTCTATTTATAGAAGTCCCCCCCACCCAACTTCCTAAACCCACCTTGTCACCATGGTGATCTTCATCAGTCCTAAACAAGGATAAGCTTTGTTTTTTCAGTACTAAACAGGATAAGCCTGTCACCAAGGCTGGAGTGCAGGGACATGAGTATAGCTCACTGCAGCATCAACTCAAGCGATCCTCCTGCCTCTCTGCCTCTTGAGTAGCTGAGACTAAAGGCACACACCACTATGCCCAGGTAATTTGTAAAAATATCTGCAGGCCAGGCACAGTGGTTCAAGCCTGTAATCCCAGCACTTTGGGAGGCTGAGGCGGGTAGATCACAAGGTCAGGAGGTCAAGAACATCCTGGCCCAAATGGTGAAACCCTGTCTGTACTAAAAATACAAAAATTAGCTGGGTATGGTAGCACACATCTGTAGTCCCAGCTACTCAGGAGGCTGAGGCAGGAGAATTGCTTGAACCCAGGAGTCGGAGGTTGCAGCGAGCTGAGATTGTACCACTACACTCTAGCCTGGGTGACAGAGCAAGACTCTGTTTCAAAAAATAGTAATAATAAAAAATAAATAATAAATAAATAAATAAATAATAATTTTTGTAGAAATGTGTTCTGACTATGTTGCCCAGGGTGGTCTTTACTCCTGGGCTTAAGCCATCCTCCTGCCTCGGCTGGAAAAGAGTTGGGGCAAACTTCTATTGATCTCCCAGATTGGCTGGATTAAGAGGGTTTAAGTTTCTGTTTTTATTTTATGCGCTTTACAGATGAAGAGTCTGTGCCTTGGGGAGGTTGTTTCCTTTTTTGTTGTTTTTGAGATGGAGTGGCCTCTCGCTCTGTGGCCTAAGCTGGAGTGCAGTGGTGCGGTCTCAACTTACTGCAACCTCCACTCCCAGATTCAAGTAATTCTCCTGCCTTAGCTTCCAGATTAGCTGGGACTACAGACATGTGCCACCATGCCTGGCTAATTTTTGTATTTTTAGTGGAGATGGCGTTTTGCCACGTTGGCCAGACTGGTCTTGAATTCCTGACCTCAAGTGATCTGCCTGCTTCAGCCTCCTAAAGTGCTGGAAATACAGGCATGAGCCACCACACCCAGCCAGGGTCGTTTCTTGATCCTCTGTCCACCCAGCTTCTAAAGGACAGATACAGGGACATGTGTATCAACCTCTGATGTCAATGCTGTGATCTATTCAATTTCCCTAAAACACAACATTTTCCCCTGCCTTCACCATGTCCCAAGTTTATGATATTTGATGGTACCATGTTCTATTACATTTCAACATAACAGTTCACTAAACTATTGCACAACATGGTGACTGTAGTTAATAAGGAAGTTTTGTGTGTGTAGAAATTGCTGAGTAGATTTTAACGAAAAATGATAAAAATTTGAGATAATGCATATGTTAATTGGCTTGATTTAGCCATTCTGCTGTAGATATGTGTTTCTTTTTCTTTTTCTGTTTTTTTGAGACAGAGTCTTGCTCGGTTGCCAGGCTGGAGTGCAGTGGCACGATCTCGGCTCACTGCAGCCTCCAACTCCCTGGTTCAAGTGATTCTCCTGCCTCAGCCTCCTGAGTAGCTGGGACCACAGGCACATACCACCAGGCCTGGCTAATTTTTTGTGGTTTCACCGTGTTAGCCAGGATGGTCTTGATCTCCTGACCATGTGATCTGCCCACCTCAGCCTCCCAAAGTTCTGGGATTACAGGTGTGAACCACTGCACCCGGTCAGATACGTGTTTTGAAACATCATGTTGTGCATCACGGATATGTACAATTTTCTTTTCTTTAGTCTGAGACAGAGTCCCTCTCTGTTGCCCAGGCTGGAGTATAGTGGGGCAATCTCTGGCTTATTGAAACCTCCATCTCCTGGGTTCAAGCAGTTCTCCTGCCTCAGCCTCCCAGGTAGCTGGTTTTACAGGCATGTGACATCACACCTGGCTAATTTTTGCATTTTTAGTAGAGATGGAGTTTCACCTTGTTGGCCAGGCTTGTCTCAAACTCCTGACCTCAAGTGATCTGCCCACCTTGACCTCCCATAGTGCTAGGATTACAGTTTTCAGCCACCACGCCTGGCCTTTCATTTATTTTTTTATGCTAGCACCATGTGCTGCCAAAAACAACTGCTGAAATATTCATGATGTGATACCTACAGGAGCAGGCTCCAAAGTAGCATGAGGAGTGCCAAGTTTGCACACAGGGAGAGGAACAAGACTTTCGAGACTGGACAGATTTTAATCAAGTTAGGAGTTGACTCCTGGGCCTGGGGGAGTAAAATGTCCCAATATTTCGTTCCTCTATTTCCAGAGGCCTTTGAGGCTTGGAGTGTTTTGGGGGTTGAGATGATCTGTCCCTTGGTTGTGTAGGTTCAATCTCAGCTCACTGCAACCTCTGCCTCCCAGGTTCAAGCAATTCTCCTGCCTCAGCCTCCCAATAGCTGGGATTACAGGCACCTTCCACCACACCTGGCTAAGAAGACTGGAGAAGACTGAAAATTGCTTCCCTTTGATTAGTAGAGTCAGGATTTCATAATTGCAAATGCATTGCTGTGTAACAATTGCAAAACTGGAATGTCAACATGGAATTGATTTTCACAAAGAGAAATGTCTTTATTTTATTTTATTTATTTATTTATTTATTTATTTTGAGACAGAGTCTTTCTCTGTTGCCCAGGCTAGAGGGCAGTGGTGCGATCTCAGCTCACTGAAACCTCTACATCCCAGGTTCAAGTGATTCTCCTCTCTCAGCCTGCAGAGTAGCTGGGATTACAGGTGCCCACCACCACACCACCAACACTAATTTTTATATTTTTAATAGAGACGGGGTTTCACTATGTTGGCCAGACTGGTCTCAAACTCCTGACCTCGTGATCCACCTGCCTTGGCCTCCCAAAGTGCTAGGGTTACAAGAATGAGCCACAGCTCCAGGCCTAACAGAAATGTCTTTAAGGGCAATGTTCTTCTTCTTGGGACCTGAAGCAGCAAGTTCCATATGGAATCTTTGAACAAGAACTGAAGTGGGGAGTGGGCCTGGGTGGGGGTTAAATCAGGGCACAGCCTCCACAGTGGTGGTCCCGTGAGAACTGTGAGGCTCTCCCAGTGTCTGCTGAGCAAAGACCCTGGAGGAAGACATGATAGCTGATACTGTGGTGTCCTGATATGCAGACTCTGTTTTCTGCCAGCATCTCACTGTCACTTCATTTGCTTACACTGGGCTGACAGGCAGAAAAAATGTAGCTCGTCCCACCTTCCTCAGGGCCAGCAGTGAAGTGGTGTGTGAGCCTGTGTGCACATACATATGTCTGTGTGCAGACATGTATGTGTATATGTAACATGCATCTATGTGTTCATGTATGATGTGTATGACCATGTATATATTCATAGTGTGTGTGTTCACATGCATGATGTGTGTGGTGTGCTTATATGTGCTGTGCATTCAGTGTGTGTGAATGGGCATTCATCCACACATATGTGTTATGTGGTATATGTGGGGTGTATTTTTAGTGTGTGCCTATATGTGCATGAATGTGTGTAGTGTGCAGGCAGGCAGGTTAGTATATAAGTATATATGCATGCAGGTATCGTGTGCATGTGTTTAATATATATTTACTCTTCATATGTGCATGTATGTGTGATGTCAGCCTGCCGAGTAGCTGGGATTACAGGTGCCCACCACCACACCACCAGTGCCAGTGTGCATGTATGTAGCATGCATTACTGTGTATGTATGTGCATGCATGTCTGTGGTATATATTATGTGTGTGTTTTAATCCATGTGTAGTATGCCTTAGTGAGTGTGCATGCATATGATCACACATATGTGTGGGATATGTGTGCAAATGTGATATGTTTAGGGCACATGTGCACAGTTTGTGTACATATGTTTTTGGCGTATACATGTGTGCGTGTGTGTGATGTGCATGTGTTTGCCTGCTTGTGTCTGATATGTATGCACATGCAAACGTGTAGTGTATATGTGTGTATGCATGTCTGGCATGTATTTAGTGTGTATGTGTACATGCATGTGTACACATGCATGTGCCTGTGGGTGCAGTATGTAGTGTATGTATGCACATGTGGTGTGTATTTAGGTTAGGCATGTGAAGAGTAGTAAGGATTAGAGACCCTGTCTTAGCATGAGAGACTCCCTCTGTTTGTCTGTCAATCATCCATCTGTTTATCTTCCCATCAATCATGTATCTTCTATCTAGCTATCTAATCTCTCTCTGTACATATCTATCTATCCATCAGTTATCACCTATGTACATATCTATGTCTATATATCTATCCATTAATTATCTATGTATTATCTATCTATCTATCTATCTATCTATCTATCTATCTATCTACCTTCTATGTATCATCTCCCTATCATCTAATCTGTCTATCTGTATGTGCATACATTATATTATATGCCTTTTATTTTTGAGACAGAGTCTGGCTCTGTCACTCAGGCTGGAGTGCAATGGTGTGAATTTGACTGCAACCTCTGTCTCCTAGGTTTGAGTGATCTATCTGCCTCAGCATCCCGATCCACCACCACACTTAGCTAATTTTTGTATTTTTTTTTTTTTTTTTTTTTTTTTTTTTGAGACGGAGTCTCGCTCTGTCGCCCAGGCTGGAGTGCAGTGGCGGGATCTCGGCTCACTGCAAGCTCCGCCTCCCGGGTTCACGCCATTCTCCTGCCTCAGCCTCCCAAGTAGCTGGGACTACAGGCGCCCGCCACTACGCCCGGCTAATTTTTTGTATTTTTAGTAGAGACGGGGTTTCACCGTTTTAGCCGGGATGGTCTCGATCTCCTGACCTCGTGATCCGCCCGCCTCGGCCTCCCAAAGTGCTGGGATTACAGGCGTGAGCCACCGCGCCCGGCCTAATTTTTGTATTTTTAGTGGAGACAGAGTTTCACTATATTGGCCATGCTGGTTTCAAACTCCTGACCTCAGGTGATCCACCCACCTCAGTCTCCCAAAATGCTGGAATTACAGGCATGAGCCACCATGCCTGACCTATTATATGCATTTACATAGCATATATACATTTTATGTGTGCATGTGTGTATGTATGTCCCTATAATGTTTTCTTTTACACATATTTTTATATGTGTGTGTATATATACGGACATATACGCACATGTTCTTTTGAATGTATTTATATATTATGTAATATATGTTGTATGTATTATATGTGATGTAGATAAAAGTCTATGTATTATATATTGTGTATATATTATATATAACATACACACAATGTGTGTAATAGAAACATATGGTCATATAAATAATACATATATAATTTAAAAGAATGTGTATATATGTGAAAATATATTATACACATATATACATATAAAAGTTTGTAAAAGAATATATGTAATGCACATTATACACATGCAAGCATATATCTCATACAAAGCTCATCATAAGTGTGTGTGTATGAGTCTGCTCATATTCAAGTTCCAACGGTTCTCATTTTTAAAAATATGATAAGCACCACCAACACAAAAGGAATGTCCAAAATTCAGCTCTTTATCTGAACTATGGTCTTAGTGTATTAGGTTGCTTTGATTTGCTTAATGACCTGATAAACAATTGGGTCACAAACACCCACTGACATGGGCCACCTTGAAGGAGTATGGGAGGTGTGGGGCAGACATTTGATTGAATTAACATTTGTAGGTTAAAAAGTAATCCCACTTTGATTTTGTGAAATGACGTTGGGGAAGTTGGACCATGCAGATGGGTTCACCAATTTATGACTTGAGTTATAGATTGTAGCTATGCATGAATACCTGTTATGTGTGCTGTGTAGTGTGGAACCCTTGTGTGGTTTCCACAAAACTCTTTTGCCCTCTGGGAAGCTCTTCCCCTAAGTCTTTTTGTAGTCAGCCTTCAGGTCTCAACTCAAATTTCATCTCAGGAAAGAGGACCTTCTCTATCATACCACCTTGCTTTTTTTTTTTTTTTTTGTACTCTCTGACACTTTCTTGAGCTTGTTGGATTATCAGCTCTCTCTGGTCACTAGATTTAAATTAATTAATTAATTAATTAACTCTTTTGAGACAGGGTCTCTTTCCATTGCCCAGGCTGGATTGCAGTAGCAGGGTCACAGCTCACTGAAGCCTCGACTTCCTGGGCTCAGGTGATTCTCCCAGCTCAGTCCCCTTAGTAGCTGAGACTACAGGTATGCACCCCCAAGCCCAACTAACTTTTTAAGTTTTTTGTAGAGAGAGGGTTTTGCCATGTACCCCAGGCTGGTCTCAAACTCCTGGGTTCAAATGATCCTCCCTCCTAGCCCTCCCAAAGTGCTGAGATTACAGGCATGTGTCACCAAGCCTTACCCCTGTGGCCACTAGATTTTAAACTCAACAAGGGCAGAGGCATTGCTGGTTACATTTTCTGTTATATCCTTTTGTATCTGGTATGTTCCTGAGCATACAATCCTAACTCAAATAAATATTGGTTGCATGAGAAAATTAATAAATGAAGGCATATGCTTTTCTGAGTGTGATCTCACTTTGTTGCACTGGCTGGAGGGCAGTGGTATGATCTTAGCTCACTCAGCCCTGAACTCTGGGCTCAACTGATCCTCCCACCTCAGCCTCCTCAGTAGCTGAGACTACAGATGCATACCATCAAGCCCAGCTAATTTTTTATGTTTTTTGTAGAGACAGAGTCTCACTATGTTGCCTAAGCTGGTTTTGAGCTCCTGGGCTCAAGCAATCCAATCTTCCCACCCCAGCCTCCCAAAGTGCTTACATTGCAGTGTAAACCACTGCACCTGGCCTATTTCTTTGAACAGAAATTGGTAGCAAAGCATTGTTGATTGCTTTCTCACTAGACTTGATTTTCTGTCTTCTCTAATGTGTCCTGCCTTAGGTGTCAATGTGGGGGAATTATGGGATAAAAGAGGTCAGGGAGAATCATCTATTTGGAGTGACAACTACAGAAAGAGCACAGGTCAAGTGGCTACAGTGAAACCAGAGAACGTGATGTTTAAGATTTGAGGTTCTAGAATGGAGAGCAGAAATGTACGAGGAACCTGCAGAAGAGGTCAGGAGGAGTCACCTCCATCCCCTAAATGGCCAGATTCAATAAGAGAAGTGAGTGTTCATCTAAGGTATTTTGTCCCAAGGGAGCTGAACTGCTGGTGGCAGCAGCGGGACTGGCTACATGGGTGTAATCACTGTTTGCATGCAAAAGGCCAGAAATATGTTTGTCAGGGATGATCCATTTAGTTAGCTAGTTAGTTAGTTAGTTTGTTAGTTAGTTAGTTGAGATGGAGTCTCACTGTGTCACCAGGCTGGAGTGCAGCGGTGTGATCTCAGCTCACTGCAACCTTCAACTCCCAGGCTCAAGCAATTCTCCTGTCTCAGCCTCCTGAGCAGCTGGGATTACAGGTGCATGCCACTACGCCCAACTAATTTTTGTATTTTTAGTAGAGACGGGGTTTCACCATGGTGGTCAGGATAGTTTCAATCTCCTTGACCTTGTGATCTGCCTGCCTTGGCCTCCCAAAGTGCTAGGATTACAAATGTGAACCACCATTCCCACACATGGGATGATACTTTAATGCTGCTAAAATACATTTCCATTTGCATTTTCTCGTTTTACCATAATATCCAAGTCTGGTCTGGCCTCCAAAAGCAATCTTTTTTTATTTTTTTATTTTTTATTTTTTTAGAGGCAGGATCTTACTCTGTTGCCCAGGATGGAGTGCAGTGGTGTGATCATAGCTCACTGCAGTCTCAACTTTTGTGGGCTCAAACAATCCTTGTGTCTCAACTCCCTGTGATACTTGGACCACAGGTGTGTGCCACTATATCTGGCTAATTTTTAAAAACGTTTTGTAGATATGAGGCCTTACTATGTTGCCCAGGCTGGTATCAAACTTTGGGCTAAACGATCCTCCTATCGCAGGCTCCTGTGATGCTGGGACCATTAGGTGCATGCTATCAAGCCTGGCCAATTTTAAAAACTTTTCTGTAGAGCTGGGATCTCACTATGTTGCCCTAGGTTCAGGGTATCCTCCCACCTCTACCTCCCAAAGTGCTGGGATGACAGGTGTGAGCTACCATGCTTGGGACTCTTGTTTCTTTTTAAAGTTATATTTCAATATCCTCTTCATGATTAAAAAAAAAAGAAGAAAGGAAAGCTGGATGCAAAGTCAGACAAGAAAGCCTATAGGAATCAGAATGTTACTGTTTCTGGGGAATTTCCAGGGTAATTGCTGGCTACAAATGCTGCATCTTCCCTATATTAGTTCAGATTTCATGTGGATTTAAAGTTGCACTGTGGCAGAAATCAGAGAACTGGAGAGACCAAGTGGGGTTCAGGAGGGTTTATTTTAGGTGTACACTGGCTCAGGGGACACGTCTTGAAAGTCTGAGCAGTAAACGAAGAAAACAAGTGCCTTTTATGCATCTTCAGGCGGGAATTATGTGATCCAGGAAGCAGGCTTACAGAAGTGAGAACAAAGGCAGTTAATCATCATGTGACATTCTTCGGAAAACATGTCTTGCAGCTTATGTTTATCTATTTTGTGACCTTGCAGCTGCACAGCTAGAAAATTAAGAACTTACAGAACTTACAAAATATGTTGAGGAGAGATATGGTTAATGCTTCACAGACTCCACAGAAAGTCAGTTTATAGTCTTACTTAACTCTCACTTCTTGGGGGGGCATTTCATACCTATTCTGCCTAACTTTATACAGTAAGTTCTTAATTTCTTTTAATTTTCCACTTTATTCCCCCCTTTGGTGCTGTATATAAGAATTAGGCTTCAATAGAGAGCACCACAATTATCTAGTTCCTCTGGGGTTGGTACATACTCTTCCTGGGGCAGGGTCTGATACTTGGTCAGGGCCAAGATCTGAGTAGTTGTGTGTCTGGCCACAATTGCTTCTATAGTTGTCTGAATACTTCCGATGAGAAGTGGCAGGAGAAAAGGGAGTATTAGGCAGCCAACTTATGATAAGCATGAACCATTCTATCAAGGTTTTAAATACTCCAAAGATCAAAAACTATCCCCCAAAAAGGGAATTTGGAGACCATCTTGACTAAGTTTGAACCGGAACATGAGCTAACTTCTGCATCCTGGCAGTGATTTCCATGACAGCCTTCCTATTGTCATCAATTTCTAGACAAAGGTTCGTCCGATTGAACTTTCCATAGACACATCCTTCTGAGGCTAGGAGGTAATCTAATGCCAGCCTATTTTGATATATAGCAGTTCTCATCTGTGTGGCTTGTAGAGCCAATAAATCCAAAGCCTTTGCAATTTCATTGGTGGTGATTTCTAGTACAGCTTGTAGTGTTATGATGTGGTTGAACATATAGATCGGGGTACAGTATCCTCAGGACCTATTCTGTGCCCAGGTAGCTGGCCTATAGTATTTAATAATTGTTTTGAGAGAGCATTCATTGATTCGTTGTCTTTCCAGTCCCCTATGTCTATGTGCTTCTTGATATTTGTATCTATTTTTGAGATTATGCTCCTTCTAGCTCTCTTTCTATTTTCATCATATATGGGATATCCTTGCATTTCTCCTTTTTGTAGTGGAAGTAGGAAAAATGAAGGTTTTATTGTTCCTAGCATGCAAGCTCCTGTCCACTTATCTGGCAATTTCCTATATGCTCTTGCCCCACAGATCCAACACAGGCCAGAAGCTGCTTGTCAGGTGGCTGGTATCTCTAGTTGATACCACGAGTGGTTCAAGGAAGGGAAACAGGAAAGGGAAACATGAAAATGGATTGCAGCATGGCTATCTGGTGGTATTCTTGCCTAGCTTATTTTTACCCCATCACAAAGTTTTTCTTACTGTGTCATTGTAGTATTGCTGCCTTAGCCAGGCTAATTCTCCCACTGGGTTAGGAAAAGCCTTTCTCCAACAGGCTATGCAGTATCTCTTAATGATAAAAGTCTTCACTAGCTAAACACTTGGGCTTGTGAGTGTCCGCTCTGAGGATAAAAAGGTTAGGGTATAATTTTTTTGAAGCAATATCTCTTTAGCTTTCTAAGGCCATTGGTGTCCTATATTTGTTCCTCCACAGACATAACATGAGGAAATCCCCAGGCTACCAGCTGTGTTTTCAGCCAACTGTGCAAACAAATTTATAGCTATACGAGGGGGCACTTCAGGTACCTCTTGCTTGAAATGCTCATTAAATTACTTAAAGACCTGAAACTGCTGTTGGGCTGGACAGGTCCAGGTCTACTTTATAATGTATAAATTACTCTCTGACTTTTGGTCTCCCATTTGTAATGTCAGGGAGAGCCCTGTAGTCCATGTGGGGAGATCTGGCTTTAAATTAGTAAGGATTATAAGATTGTGTGTGCCAGTCCTACAATCTGGGTCTTTCTACATTTGGATAACCATGACTGTCACAGGTTCCACACCTAGTTCTGTATACTGTGTTGGGCAATACCAATCAGCCTCTGCTGGAATCTTGGAGGGGCAGACAAAGGGTTTACAGACCTTCTTGTTTAGGCAGGAAGTGGAGTATCCTGTAGAAGCAGTGGCTAGGGGATAAGTATGTGGAAACCACTTTGAGAAAGTTGTATTACTAGATGTCCATTGGCATACATTAAGGTACATGGGTACAGCTCCTTTGTGGGCGGATGAGATCTTGGTCTGATTTAAGAGACTACTTTCCTTTGATCCAGTATGAATTTCAAACCAGTTCCTAGGTAAGAACTTTGGGTCATAGCATGTGTAGGGTTGTTCATTCTCTGGATCACAGACTTAGTAAATAGTTTGATTGTGGGTACAGACACCTAGCTTAGTCCGTGGGCATTCATAGTATGTGTGGTATAATAAAGTCTTAACAACTGCATTCTTTATCAATGTAGTATGCATGCAGAGTGAACCTCCTTCTTTGAATTGTACTTCTTCCTGCATAGCCTCATGCACCGCTGCTAGCAAAGCAAAAAAAAAAAAGCAGTATCTTCATACTAGACATGGGCAGAAAAAGTCCTTTCTCAGAAAGATTGGCAATAATGATAGCATAGTAACAAGGCAATCAGCAACACTAAGATAGCAAACAAACTTAAAATTCCTATCCGCATTTATTCATCTGATGTAGACTCCTCAGGCTTTGGCTGTGCCTAGACTAGCCAGCCTCCAGTGGTGTGGCTAGAGCAGGGCTTGGCATTTCCTCAAGCTTCAGCTGTGTCTAGATTGACCAGCCTCCAGAGTGGTCAGAGCAGGGCAGTCGTCTTTCTCAGTAGTAAACTGGTCCACCACAGGATCAGTTGTGTTGCATGGTCTGGGTCCTGCTGACTGGTCCACTGGTCCAATGCTGCCAGTTTTAGTCGGGTATAGTGTATCGGTGTGACACATGTGACTTTAACAGCAGTGGGAGTGGACAAGATTTCAGTGTGGGTCCCATCCCATGTGGGCCCTAGAGTGGCTGGGTTCCATTTCTTAACCTAAATTTGGCCCACAGGCATAAAAGGGTAAACTGGATCCGTTAGGCTTATAGGCATCCTTTCTTGTGCCCAGCCGCAAACTTTTTGCATAGCCAGCCCTAGGGCCTTCATTTGGCTTCTTAAAGTTAATTCCCCTAGTTCCCGTAGATCACCTTTAACATGAGTTATAATTGGTGGTGGTCAGCCAAACACAATTTTGTAGGGCAAATACCCACTTTTTTTAGTAGGGGTGCACCTGACTCGGAGAAGGTGACATGGGCAAGACCTGATCCCACCTGAGATGAGTTTCTTGGCAAAACTTCTTCAGCAGTTGCTTGAGCGTCCGGTTCAACTGCTCTACTTCTCCTGAACTTTGTGGATGGTAAGCGGTGTGCAATTTCTGTTCAATCTTTTACGATTGGTTTAGTTGTTGAACAACTTCAGCTACAAATGCTGGCCCATTATCTGATCTTAAAGTCAATGGCAGTCCAAATCTGAGTATAATGTCTTTTAATAATACCTGAGTCACTTCTCGTGCTTTCTCTGTCTGGGTGGGGAATGCCTCAACCCACCTGGAGAAGGTGCAAACAAACACTAACGTGTACTGATAGCCTCCAGCTCAAGACAGCTCAGTAAAGTCGGTGAACAGATTTTCTCAAGGTGCTGCCCCTGTTGCTTGAATTTCTGGAAGCTGGGTTTGACCTTGCCATGGATTATTCTGGCCACAAGTTAGGCACTGCTCACTAATAGCTCATGTGATAACAGTGAGATGTGGCACATAGAAGTGCTGCCAGATCGATGTGTCTCATGCTGTTATTCCCATGTGTATTCCTTGATGGAACTGCTTCACAAACCTCGGGACTGTTGCCTCCAGAATGGCCAGGTTCCCAACTGAGAATTTCAACTAGGCTCCTTCTAAGTAATTTCCAGTCTCTTGCCCAAACCAGGCTTTTTCATTCAGAGAGTAACTTGGGACCTCTGGTAAGGAGAGCTCTAGCAAGAGCAGCACGGTTGGGTCTCCTTTTCAGGACGTGCATCTGTCATGGCTGCTCGTTGTGCTTCTCTATCCTCTTTCCTCTTTCTTCTTGCCTCAGTGCCATCTCCCACCTGGTGTTCTTTACAGTGAATAACTGCTACTGTCTCCAGAGCTGATACAGCAACTAGAAGCTATAAAATTTCTTCCTTATTTTTAATTTCCTTTCCCCCAGCAGTTAAAAGTTCTCTTTCTTTGTAAACAGCTCCATGAGCATGCAATGTAGCAAAAGTGTACTTTGAGTGTGCAAATATTAAGTGACTTTCCTTTGACTAATAGCAATGCTCTGGTTGGGGCTATTAACTCTGCCTTTTGAGCTGATGTTTCTGTGGGCAGAGACCAGGCCTTTGCCACCAAATATATGGTCACTACTGCATCTCCAGCTCGATGGGCCTCTTCTGATATAAAACTGTTCCCATCTGTGAAATATTCAACTCTGAGTCTCAAAAGGGCTGGTCCTTCAAGTCTCTCTGACTCAAGAACTCCTCATCCACCAGATCTACACAATAATGCTGTGGCATATGATTGGGCAGCTTGGGCATCTCTACGGGGAGAAGGGTGGCCAGATTCAAGGTGTTCACAGTCTCTAAGGTTATATATGGATTTTCACATAAAAGTACTTGATACCTTAACATTCTTGGACTTGATAGCCAATGATGTCCTCTGTTCCATTATGGTAACGATGGTATGTGGCACCTGGATAATTAGCTTTTGCCCTAGAGTTGATTTACTGGCATCTTCTGCTAGCATGGCACTGGCAGCTATTGCCTGGAAATGGGGGAGACCGGGGATCCTAGGGCCACTAGGTCCAGCCATTTTGACAAGTATGCCACAGGTTGATACCACGATCCTACGATCTGAACTAAAACTTCTACTACTATCCTTTGCTTCTTGTGCACCTAGAGGAAGAAAAGCTTTGTCAGGTCTGGTAGTCCCAAGGCTGGGGCTTGAATTAAGTCCTTTTTTATCTTATTAAAGGCTTCTCTTGCTCAATACCCCAAAGGAGGGTCTGTTTTTCTCCCGCTTTGTGGCTTCATGTAAGGGTTTTGCCATAAGTGAAAAGTTTGGAATCCAAATGCAGCAGAAACCTGCGGCTCCCAGAAACCCCCTTATTTGGCGGTGGGTCATTTGGGTAGGAAGTGTGCACAAAGCCTGTTTTTGCTTGCTGCCAAGTTTGCATTGCCCCTGGGTTACCAAGAATCCCAGATACTTTACTCTTTTACCACACATTTGGGCCTTTTTCTGAGACACCTTATAGCCTGCCTTCCATAGAAGGCGAAGGAGGACTTCTGTGCCCTGGAGACAATCTTCCTTGGTGGGGGCCACAAACAAAATGTCATCTATGTATTGTACAGAACACACTTGTCATTTGGCAGGAAAAACCTTGAGAACTGTTGCTAATGCCTCATCAAAGATAGTAGGGAAGTTTTTGAACCCTTGTGGGAGTCTGGTCCAGGTATATTGTGTTTCTCCCCATTGAAATGCAAAAATAGGTTGGCTCACTGGCACTAACCAGAGGCAAAAGAAAGCATCTTTTAAGTCTAAGCAGGTGAACCAGGCAGCATGGGCAGGAATATGGCCCCTCAGAGTGTATGGGTTGGGCACCACTGCATGTAGAGTAACAGTGACTTTATTTATAGCCTGGAGATCTTGTACTGGTCTAAACCTGCCAGACAGTTTTTGCACCGGTAAAAGAGGTATTTTCCAAGGTGACTTACACTTTTTTATAATTCTGTGTTCTAATAGCTGATTTACGTGCTTGATCATTCCTCACACTGCCTCTGTAGACACTTGGTATTGAGGAATGTGCATCAGTGAAGCACCTGGAATTAATTCCATTACCACTGGCACTGGTTTATAGCCAGTCCTGGTGGGTTTTCTTCCACCCAAACTTCAGGAATCTTAGAAACCAGTTCATCAAATAGCCTGTCCATAAACTTAAATGGCTTGTCTGCCTCTTTTACATATAGCCTCCACTCCTCAGTCTGTGGAAGGGTAAGCATTAACATCATAGATTTTGGCCGACTGAGATCTAGCACCATGCCTTCTCCTGCCCTGAAAGAGACCTGCACTTGCAGCTTTTGAAGTAAGTCTCTCCTTAGCAGGGGCACCAGGCAATTTGGCAGATATAAGAATTCATGTTGGACTTCTCATCCTCCAATAACACACCTTCTGGATTGAAAGAATGGCCTCTTTTCTGAAACACTGGTTGCCTCAACTATAGTTGCACAGTTTTTAGATAGAGGGCCTATGGGCCGAGTCACCACTGAATGTTCAGCACCAGTGTCCACCATAAAGTCTACCTGCTGGCCTCCCACTTCCATTGTGACCATAGGCTCCCAGGGGCCTAGAAAGATGGAGCCTGGTCTATCTCAGTCTTCATAGTCTTTGAGGCCGACAAGGTCAGTGTCTAGCTTCAGGACACATCAACTCATAGCTGACAGTCTAAACAAAGTGCCCGCTTCTGGACTGCTGTTCTCATCCTTTTCTCTCTCTGAATATTCATCCTTCCAGTGTGCTTTCTGCTTGCATCTTCCACATTGATCCCTCTCTAGCCTTGTGTGGCCTTCAAACCCTGGTCTCACTGGACCTCTTCCATGACCACATCCTTATCCTCTGACAAAATCAGTCTCTTTTTCAACCAATGCAGCCACCAACAGATCAGCCTTCTCCTTAGCCTTTAGCTTAGCCTCTTTCTTGGCTCCCTCCTCTTGGTTAAGAGACGGCTTAGTGGCCACTTGTATAAGCTGAGTAGCATTCATGCACTCAAAACCTTCTAAATTCTGAAGCTTCCACCTAGTATCACCTTGCGCCTGGCCTACAAATGCCACACTGACCATGCACTGATTCCCCACAGCCTCTGGGTCAAATGGAGTCTAAAGCCAGTATGCCTCACAAAGTCTTTCATAAAACTTACTGGGACTTTCATCGGCCTTTTGCCGAACCTCTGAGACTTTTCCTATATTCATTGCCTTTTTCCCTTCAGCTTTTATTCCATTTAGGAGTGCCTCCCGAAACCTCTGCAGGTTTTGCAACCCTCCTGCCTCATTGGGGTTCCAGCTAGGGTCTGTCTCTGGGAATCTTTCCTGTGCATATCACCAGACATCATTTGTGCCTTGAGGCACATTGCTGTCTAACCACTGGAGGGCTGTTTGAGCCACAGTATGGTGTTCCTTCATATTGAACAGCATTAAGAGGAGTTGCTGACAGTCTGGCCAGGTAGGATTATGAGTCAGGAAGACAGACTGCATCAAGTGTATAAGGGTCTGGGGCTTTTCCATATAGGAGGGAGCATGATGTTTCCAGTTTAGAAGGTTGGTGGTGGAGAAAGTTTGATAAACCAAAAGACTTGTCCTTCCTGGACCTGACCTTCTTCATCATGATAGATTTGGCTTTGAGTCTCCCAGAGGGGTATTTGCAAGGCTCAGGTGTGGCCCAATCTAAGATGGCATGCCTCATCACCCTGACGTTCCTCCTTAGTTTTTATGGGCAGGAGGTCAGGCTCTTCCCTATGGAGTGATGCCTGAGATTCACTCTCCTCTGAGTTTGATTCTTCAAGGGCCACCTGTGTAACACCTTTCCTTAACCTTGAAAACAATGGTTACATTGGAACATAGAGAGGAGGAAACTCCTTTTCCTTTGGAGGGGCTTCTAGAACAGGCTTTTCCTGCTTCTCTTGTAGATTTCCCTTCCCTTCTGTGGTCTCTGTAGATCCCCTTACTACCTCAAATTTGGTATGAGCCACTAGTGTCTTACAAAAGTTCATAGATGGCCAGTTTTGCTGGAGACAAAGAAATAAAACAAAGTTACCTGCAGAATTTGGCTGTTCTGGTGCATTCATCAAACAACTCCTTCACTCTCTCTCTGGAGGCTTCCCTTTGCAACATGGTTTCTGATGTCATTACCAATCTTATGTGGGAACTGAGCTGTACTGAAGATCCCTAGACACCCTACAGTCATGTGGCAGAACTTTCTGGGTGTTATCACATAACTAATGAGCTTAAGAATTCATTCCAACCAAAGGCAATGCTAGTTTGTTTCCCAGTTTAAACCTCTAATCATGGAGCCCTAGATAGTAGGTAGATGTGCGTTATCACCATCATGGTGCCCAAGTGATTAAGGAGTTTTGTTTCTTGTTTAACAGATTTGGGGCTGCTCTGCCCAGACCTGCCTATTGTAGACCCACTGGGGCCACATGAGGCTGTCTCTTGAGGATGCACAGAATTTTGTGGGTTCACCACCTTTTGTTATGTATACACAAGAAGACTCCACTTATAAATCCTGTGTACTTGTATTTAATTCAGTTCATATTCTTTCCTGTACTTTGAGAGTGCAGAAATGTTAAATGAAGATTGTTGTCACTAATTTACTTTGAATTGATTGATCTTCAGGTCATAGAATAAGTGTACAACATTGCATTCACATCAATATTTGCCTCCTTCCCACCTGAAGAGAACTTTGTAAGAAATAATTTCAGTAGCAATAGTAAACAATAAATATTGGATCATCACATAACCCATGTTAGTCTCACCCAGATGCAAAACAGTGATTTCAAAAACAAAGTAGTAAATGGCAACAACCACTCTTAGAAAAATACAGACCCTCAGGGGGCAGTTCCAAGATGGCTGAATAGGAACAGCTCCAGTCTACAGCTCCCAGTGTGAGTGCAGCAGAAGACAGGTGATTTCTGCATTTCCAACTGAGGTACCAGGTTCATCTCACTGGGGCTTGTTGGACAGTTGGTGCAGGACAATGGGTGCAGCACACCGAGCATAAGCCAAAGCAGGGTGAGCCATCACCTCACCCAGGAAGTGTAAAGGGTCAGGGAATTCCCTTTCATAGCCAAGCAGAGCTGTGACACACAGCACCTGGAGAATTGGGTCACTCCCACCCTAATACTCTGCTTTTCCAATGGTCTTAGCAAACGGCACACCAGGAGATTATATTCTGTGCCTGGCTCAGAGGATCCCACACCCATGGAGCCTTGCTCGTTGCTAGCACAGCAGTCTGAGATTGAACTGCAAGGTGGCAGCGAGGCTGGGGGAGGGGCACCCACCATTGCTGAGGCTTGAGTAGGTAAACAAAGCAGCTGGGAAGCTCGAACTGGGTGGAACCCACCACAGCTGAAGGAGGCCTGCCTGCCTCTGTAGACTCCACCTCTGGGGGCAGGGCATAGCTGAACAAAAGGCAACAGAAACCTCTACAGACTTAAATGTCCCTGTCTGACAGCTTGAAGAGAGTAGTGGTTCTCCCAGCATGGAGTTTGAGATCTGAGAATGGACAGACTGCCTCCTTAAGTGGGTCCCTGAACCCTGAGTAGCCTAACTGGGAGGCATCCCCCAGTAGAGGCAGACTGACACCTCACACAGCCAGGTACCCATCTGAGATGAAACTTCCAGAGGAATGATCAGGCAGCAGTATTTGCTGTTCAGCAATATTCCCTGTTCTGCAGCCTCTGCTGCTGATACCCAGGCAAACAAGGTTTTGAGAGGACCTCCAGCAAATTCCAACAGACTTGCAACTGAGGGTGCTGTTAGAAGGAAAACTAACAAACAGAAAGGACATCCACACCAAAACCCCATCTGTACGTCACCATCATCAAAGACCAAAGGTACATAAAACCACAAAGATGGGGAAAAAACAGAGCAGAAAAGCTGAAAATTCTAACATCAGAGCACCTTTCCCCCTCCAAAGGAATGCAGCTCCTCACCAGCAATGGAACAAAGCTGGATGGAGAATGACTTTGACGAATTGAGAGAAGAAGGCTTCAGATAATCAAAACTCTCTGAGCTAAAGGAGGAAGTTTGAACCCATTGCAAAGAAGTTAAAAACCTTGAAAAAAGATTAGATGAATGTCTAACTAGATTAACCAGTGTAGAGAAGTCCTTAAATAACCTAATGGAGCTGAAAACCATAGCACAATAACTACGTGACAAAAGCACAAGCTTCAGTAGCCAATTTGGTCAAATGGAAGAAAGGGTATCAGTGACTGAAGATCAAATGAATGAAATGAAGTGAGAAGAGAAGTTTAGAGAAAAAAGAATAAAAAGAAATGAACAAAGCCTCCAAGAAATATGAGACTATGGAAAAACCAAATCTATGTCCAATTGGTGTACCTGAAAGTGATGGGGAGAATGGAACCAAGTTGGAAAACACTCTGCAGGATATTATCCAGCAGAACTTCCCCAACCTAGCAAGGCATGCCAACATTCAAATTCAGGAAATACAGAGACTGTCACAAAGATACTCCTTGAGAATAGGAACTCCAAGACACATAATTGTCAGATTCACCAAACCTGAAAGGAAGGAAAAAATGTTAAGGGCCAGCAAGAGAGAAAGTTCGAGTTACCCACAAAGTGAAGCCCATCAGATCTCTTGGCAGAAACTCTACAAGCCAGAAGAGAGTGGGGGCCAATATTCAACATTCAAAAAGAAAAGTATTTTCAAGCCAGAATTTCATATCCAGTCAAACTAAGCTTCATAAGCAAAGGAGAAATAAAATCCTGTACAGACAAGCAAATGCTGAGAGGTTTTGTCACCACCAGGCCTACCTTACAAGAGCTCCTGAAGAAAGCACCAAACATGGAAAGGAAAAACTGGTACCAGCCACTGCAAAAATATGCCAAATTATAAAGACCATCAATGCTAGGAAGAAACTGCATCAACTAACGAGCAAAGTAACCAGCTAACATCATAATGACAGGATCAAATTCACACATAACAATATTAACCTTAAATGTAAATGGGCTAAACACTCCAATTAAAAAACACAGACTGGCAAACTGGATAAAGAGTCAAGACCCATCAGTGTGCTGTATTCAGGAGACCCATCTCATGTGCAGAGACACACATAGCCTCAAAATAAAGGGATGGAAGAAGATCTACCAAGCAAATGGAAAACAAAAAAAGGCAGGGGTTGCAATACTAGTCTCTGATAAAACAGACTTTAAACCAACAAAGATCAAAAGAGACAAAGAAGGTCATGACATAATGGTAAGGGGATCAATTCAACAAGAAGAGCTAACTATCCTAAATATATATGCACCCAATACAGGAACACCCAGTTTCATAAAGCAAGTCCCTAGAGATGTACAAAGAGACTTAGACTTCCACACAATAATAATGGGAGATTTAACACCCCACTGTCAACATTAGACAGATCAACAAGACAGAAAGTTAACAAGGATATCCAGGAATTGAACTCAGCTCTGCACCAAGTGGGCCTAATGGACATCTACAGAACTCTCCACCCCAAATCAACAGAATATACATTCTTCTCAGCGCTACATCACACTTATTCCAAAATTGACCACATACTTGGAAGTAAAGCTCTCCTCAGCAAATGTAAAAGAAGATAAATGATAACAAACTGTCTCTCAGACCTCAGTGCAATCAAACTAGAACTCGGGATTAAGAAACTCAATCAAAACCACTCAAATACATGGAAACTGAACAACCTGCTCCTGAATGACTACTGGTACATAATGAAATGAAGATAGAAATAAAGATGTTCTTTGAAACCAATGAGAACAAAGACACAACATATTAGAATGTCTGGGACACATTTAAAGCAATGTGTAGAGGGAAATTCATAGCACTAAATGCCCACAAGAGAAAGCAGGAAAGATCTAAAATCAACACCCTAACATCAAAATTAAGAGAAATAGAGAAGCAAGAGCAAACACATTCAAAAGCTAGCAGAAGGCAAGAAATAACAAAGATCAGAGCAGAAATGAAGGAGATAGAGACACAAAAAACCCTTCAAAAAATCAATGAATCCAGGAGCTGGTTTTTTGAAACGATTAACAAAATTGATAGACCACTAGCAACACTAATAAAGAAGAAAAGAGAGAAGAATCAAATAGACGCAATAAAAAATGAAAAAGGAGATATAAGCACTGATCCCACAGAAATAAAAACTACCATCAGAGAATACTATAAACACCTCTACATAAATAAACTAGAAAATCTAGAAGAAATGGATACATTCCTGGACACATACACCCTCCCAAGACTAAACCAGGAAGAAGTTGAATCTCTGAATACAATAACAGGCTGTGAAATTGAGGCAATAATTAATAGCTTACCAACCAAAAAAAGTCCAGGACAAGATGGATTCACAGCCGAATTCTACCAGAGGTACAAGGAGGAGCTGGTACCATTCCTTCTGAAACTATTCCAATCAATAGAAAAAGAGGGAATCCTCCCTAACTTATTTTATGAGGCCAGCATCATCCTGATACCAAAGCCTGACAGAGACACAACAAAAAAAGAGAATTTTAGACCAATATACCTGATGAACATCGATGCAAGAATCCTCATAAAGTAATGGCAAACCGAATCCAGCAGCACATCAAAAAGCTTATCGACCATGATCAAGTGGGCTTCATCCTTGGGATGCAAAGTTGGTTCAACATATGCAAATCAATAAATGTAATCCAGCATATAAACACAACCAAAGACAAAAACCACATGATTATCTCAATAGATGCAGAAAAAGCCTTTGACAAAATTCAACAGTGCTTCATGCTAAAAACTCTCAATAAATTAGGTATTGATGGGACGTATCTCAAAATAATAAGAGCTATTTATGACAAACCCGCAGTGAATATCATACTGAATGAGCAAAAACTGGAAGCATTCCTTCTGAAAACTGACACAAGACAGGGATGCCCTCTCTCACTGCTCCATTCAACATAGTGTTGGAAGTTCTGGCGAGGGCTATCAGGCAGGAGAAGGAAATAAAAGGTATTCAATTAGTCAAATTGTCTGTTTGCAGATGACATGATTGTATATCTAGAAAACCCGATCGTCTCAGCCCAAAATCTCCTTCAGCTGATATGCAACTTCAGCAAAGTCTCAGGACACAAAATCAATCTGCAAAAATCACAAGCATTCTTATACATCAATAACTGACATAGAGCAAAATCATCAGTGAACTCCTATTCACAATTGCTTCAAAGAGAATGAAATATCTAGGAATCCAACTTACAGGGATGTGAAGGACCTCTTCAAGGTGAGGTCAGTGAAATAAAAGAGGACACAAAGAAATGGAAGAACATTCCATGCTCATGGATGGGAAGAATCAACATTGTGAAAATGGCCATACTGCCCAAGGTAATTTATAGATTCAATGCCATCCCCATCAAGTTACCAATGACTTTCTTCACAGAATTGGAAAAAACTACTTTAAAGTCCATATGAAACCAAAAAAGATCCCACATTGCCAAGTCAGTCATAAGCCAAAAGAACAAAGCTGGAGGGATCATGCTACCTGACTTCAAACTATAGAACTATACTACAAGGTTATAGTAACCAAAACAGCATGGTACTGGTACCAAAACAGATATATAGACCAATGGAACAGAACAGAGCCCTCAGAAATAATATCACACATCTACAACCATCTGATCTTTGACAAACCTGACAAAAACAAGAAATGGGGAAAGGATTCCCTATTTAATAAATGGTGCTGGGAAAACTGGCTGGCCATATGTGGAAAGCTGAAACTGGATCCCTTCCTTACACCTTACACAAAAATTAATTCAAGATGGATTAAAGACTTACATGTTAGACCTAAAACCATAAAAACCCTGGAAGAAAAGCTAGGCAATACCATTCAGCATGTAGTCATGGGCAAGGCCTTCATGTCTAAAACACTGAAAGGAATGGCAACAAAAGCCAAAACTGACAAATGGGATCTAATTAAACTAAAGAACTTCTGCACAGCAAAAGAAACTACCATCAGAATGAACAGGCAATGTAAAGAATGGAAAAAGAAATTTGCAATTTACTTGTCTGACAAAGGGCAAATATCCAGAATCTACAATGAATTCAAACAAATTAAAAGAAAAAAACAAACAACTCCATCAAAAAGTGGGTGAAGGATATGAACAGACACTTCTCAAAAGAAGACACTTATGCAGCCAACAGACACATGAAAAAATGCTCATCACTGGCCATCAGAGAAATGTAAATCAAAACCACAATGAGATATCATCTCACGCCAGTTAGAGTGGTGATCACTGAAAAGTCAGGAAACAACAGGTGCTGGAGAGGATGTGGAGAAATAAGAACACTTTTACACTGTTGGTGGGACTGTAAACTAGTTCAACCATTGTGGAACACAGTGTGGTGATTACTCAAGGATCTAGAAGTAGAAATACCATTTGGCCCAGTGATCCCAATACTGGGTATATAGGCAATGGATTATAAATTGTGCTGCTATAAAGACACATGCACAGGTATGTTTATTGTGGCACTATTGACAATAGCAAAGACTTGGAACCAACCCAAATATCCACCAATGATAGACTGGATTAAGAAAATGTGGCACATATACACCATGGAATACTATGCAGCCATAAAAAATGATGAGTTCATGTCCTTTGTAGGGACATGGATGAAGCTGGAAACCATTATTCTCGGCCAACTATTGCAAGTACAAAAAACTTAACACCACGTGTTCTCACTCATAGGTGGGAATTGAACAATGAGAACACTTGGACACAGGAAGGGCAACATCACACACTGGGGCCTGTTGTGGGGTGGGTGGAGGGGAGAGGGATAGCATTAGGGGATATACCTAATGTAAATGACGAGTTAATGGGTGAAGCACAACAACATGGCACATGTATACATATGTAACAAACCTGCACGTTTTGCCCATGTACCCTGGAACTTAAAGTATGATTAAAAAAAGAAAAAAGAAAAAAAAAAAAGAAAAGAAAACAAGAAAAAAAAAAAGAAAAATACAGACCCTTTTAGTAACTGTTTTTCTTTGGCTGATGTTGATCCAAAGAGATTTCAAGAAAGCTGAAGGGTGGCATCCTGTTTTAGTTCTTCAATTCTTGAAAGAGATCCCTTGCATTGAGAATGCATATATTTGCATTTCAAAACAAGTGGGGTTTGGGAAAACAGTCTTAGAAGTCAAGGGAAGCATCTCCTAGGAGCAAGGTGTATATCAGGTAGAGAAAGACTAGAGGAAAAATGGCTATGACTATGCCCATTTCAGTCATTAGCTTGGAATCCTGCCACATGGCAGAGTTTGGTGGACACAGCACTTCTCTGCTCCCTGGGACATAAGCAGAACATTTTGGGCGTGACTGAAGTATTCTACTCCCAAGATGCCCCATGCATTGGGCTGGCAGAGGAGTGCTGTCTGAAGGCCAGAAGCTCAGTATGACTATTGACTGGCCTGGCCTTGATTCTCCTCCACAGGAACAATTCAGGCTTCTTACAATTAGTAGTTAGGTAGTTAGAAGGTGACTTATTCCATGTTGCAAAAGCAGAAACTTCCAGTTCTTCTTAGTGCGGGGTGAGTGCAGCCACCCTCTGCCATATAGCACTGGATAAAGCATATCCTAGGGCTACTCTGGTTCAACAGAAAGGTATACACAAGGGCGTAAATGCCAGGGGTCAAGATTTTGAGGGGGTTACCCAAGTAGAGTCAATCTTCTTCATTTGCAGATTCTCTCTTTGCAAATTCAACTACTTGCTCTAATTTCTTTGTAACTGAAAGTTAATACTCATTGCACTTTCATGAACATTTAAAGCATTGAATAATTTGAGTTACCTAGTTTGCACATTTCTGGCTACGCTTGAACAAGGTAATGCTCTGCTTTCTTATTTCAGCTTATAGTGTAAACAAGTGTCTTGCTGTGGTCTATGGAATGCCATGCTTTTTTCATTTTTGCAAAATGCAGCCTGTTTCTGCTGGTAATTTTGCTGTTTAAAATGACCCCAAGCATAGTGCTGAAGTGCTAGCTAGTGTTCCTAAGTGCAAGAAGGTTGTGATATTGCTTACAAAGAAAATATGTGTTGTAGAGACACTTTCTTCAGGTGTTCAGGCAGGAGTAAGAGTTGTTGGCCATGCATTCAATGAGAATGAGTCAACAATATGTATTAAACAATGTGCTTTTAAGTAGAAACACAGTGAAAACAAGGCTGTGTGTTGATAATTTGATGAAAATGTGGCCAGATGCTTACAGGAACCTAACCTCATATTTCTCATATGAGTACCAATGGTTCAGTCTTAGCGAATTCAGTGTTTTTGACAATTTTATAAAATGAGTCCTGTGAGTAATGAGAATTGGCTGTATCAGTTCATCATAAACATCCAATGAGCTTTAGTTTTGACACATATCTGATTCAAGTGATCAGAAGACCAAATGTATACTGTGAATGAAGGAGTCTACAGGATCAATTTCCACTGGTCACCTCTGGCAATTTTCCAGAGGGACTGACCCACTCAGTCCTCCTGTAGTTGAACAGTCTTAGAATATAGTGATTTAGTATTTTCCTCTTCTCTGATTCCAATGACTGGGAATGGACCCATCATTTATTTCATTAAGTGTTTTTAACTTTTTATTTTAAGATAATTTTTAAGACACACAAATTATTGCAAAAATGATACAGAGTTCATGTGGACACTTCACTTAGATTTAACAATGATAGCATCATACTTAACTATTACAGATAATCAAAACTGTCAACTGACATTGGTACAATACTGTATTAGTCCATTTTCTTCTGCTGATAAAGACATACCTGAGAGTGGGTAATTTATAAAGAAAAAGAGGTTAATGGCCTCACAGCTCTATGTGGCTGGGGCAGCCTCACAATCATGGTGGAAGGCAAAAAGCACACCTTTCATCATGGCAAGCAAAAGAGAATGAGAACCAAGCAAAAGGGTAAATCCCTTTTAAAATCATCAGATCTCATTAGACTTATTCACTACCATAAGGACATGCCTATTCCCATAATTCAATTATCTCTCAGTAGGTCACTCCCACAAAACATGGGAATAGTGAGAACTACAATTCAAAATTCAAGATGAGATTTTGGTGGGCACACAGCAAAGCCATATCAAATACTCTTCACTACATTACATTATGTTCATGGGTTTTATGTAAAATATGTGTGAGTGTATAGTGCTGTGAAATTGTATCATCTGTATAGATTCCTATCACTATCACTATAGCCAGGCATGTGCAGAATGCAGGAATGGCCACAGTGATGGTCATAGCAATGGGAAAAGCCAAGATGTGAAAGACTATCTCAAAAGGAAAGTGTTATGTTTCCTAAATTTCAAGTTGTTGTCTACAGAGCAGTTAAGGGGAACTATAATCTAGCATCTATGTGCTTTTAAGACAAGAGGCACCAAACAACCATGAGGTTGCAGGGCAGAGAGCAGGCTGACCTCAAGATGAAGTTGCATGGGCTGCAAGCTTGCTTTATTTTCTTTTCTCCCTTCTCTTACTCCGTGATTAATTTTATAAAGGTTATAGGGAATGTTTCAAAGCTGGTAATGAAAGTATCTGCATTGAGCTATTGAGACTCTAAACCCCAGTCTCAATAGACAGCACAAGTGGCTGGTTGTGGACTTTAGTCTCTGGATTCTCCCTACTGCTGCTGTAAAGAGAGAAAAGCCACTTATAACTTCCTGGGGAGCCTCATTCCTCCTCATAATCGTCCTTGGGGACACTGACTGTAGCCTCCACATGGGTAGAAACACCATCTGTTTTGAATACTTTTGCATCCTACTATGCAGTAGGGCTCTTCGTCTCTGAGTGGTGATGTTCCAGTCACACCTACTGGCACTTTAGTGCTCTGCTGCTCCACCCTTTGTGCTATCAGGACATTTATGGAAACTCTGATGCCACTACAGCCTCAGGCATCTTTTTTCCACACACACACTATTTATTTCCCCTGGGTCCTGGAACAGGGAAAGCCAAAACCAGAGAGAGCTCAGAGCAGCACCAAAGGACTAACTGTCCAGAAGCAAGAGGCCCTAGAGGCCTGAATATTAGTTGGTATTGTTACCAGAAAGGGGTCCTTATCCACACCCTAAGAGACGGTTCTTGGAACTCATGGAAGAAGGAATTCAGAGCAAATTCATAAAGTCAGAGCAAGTTTATTAAAGAAGTAAAGGAATAAAACAATGGCTACTCTATAGGCACAGCAGCAGGGCAGGATGCTCAGCTGATTATACTTACATTCTGGATTGATATGGTTTGGCTGTGTATCCCCACCCAAATCTCATCTCCAATTGTAATCCCCATAATCTCTATGTGTTGAGGGAAGGACCCGGCAGGAGGTGATTGGATCATAGGGGCACTCTGCCCCATGCTGTTATCATGATAGTGAGTTCTCAAGAGATTTAATGCTTTCATAATGTAGTTTTCCCTGTTTTTTCTTGCACCTACTGTCTTGCCTGCCACCATGTAAGACAGAGCTGCCTCTTCTTAAGCTATAATTATAAGTTTCCTGAGGCCTCCCCAGCCATGAAGAACTGTGAGTCAATTAAACCTATTTCCTTCATAAATTGCCTAGTTGTGGGAAGTTGTTCATAGCAGTGTAAAAATAGTCTAATACATTGATTATATGACAAACAAGAGGTGGATTATTCATGAGTTTTTTGGGAAAGGGGTAGACAACTCACAGAACTGAGGGCTCCTCCTATTTTTAGACCATATAGGGAAACTTCCTGACATTGCCATGACATTTGTAAACTGTCATAGCACTGGTGTGAGTGCCTTATAGCATGTGAATGCATTAGAATTAACATATAACGAGTGGTGAGGACGACCAGAGGTCACTTTCATCACCATCTTGGTTTTTCTAGGTTTTGGACAGCTTCTTACTGCATCCTGTTTTATCATCTGGGTCCTTGTGACCTGTATCCTGTGTTGATCTCTCTTCTCACCCTATAACTTAGAATGCCTAACCTCCAGGGAATGCAGCCTAGCATGGCTCAGCCTCATTTTACCCAGTCCCTATTCAAGATGGAGTCACTCTGGTTCAAATGCCTCTGACAGTATTTTCATAATGGGAGGTCATTCCTGGATCTTTCTATGCAAAGAGGACCAGAAAGATCCATTATAATTTATTACTTAATACCTTTGGGTGTGTATGTTAGTCCATTTTCATAGTGCTATGAAAAAAGACTGGTTAATTTATAAAGAAAAAGAGGACTAATGGGCTCACTGTTCTGTGTGGCTGGGTAGGCCTCACAATTATGGTGGAAGGTGAAGGAGCAGCAAAGGCACGTCTTACATGCTGGCAGGCAAGAGAGTGTGTGCAGGGGAACTGGCCTTTATAAAACCATCAGAACTCATCAGACTTATTCACTATCATAAGAACAGCATGGGAAAAACCCAACACCATGATTCAATTACCTTCCACTAGGTCCCTCCCATGACATGTGGGGATTATGGGAGCTAGAATTCAAGATGAGATTTGGGTGGGAACATAGTCAAACCATATCAGTATGGCAGTCTCATTTCCTGGAGATGAAGGAGGAGATGGGAGTAATAAGCGTATTTGTCTTGGCTTTTTCTTTCTTTCTTTCTTTCTTTCTTTCTTTCTTTCTTTCTTTCTTTCTTTCTTTCTTTCTTTCTTTCTTTTATTCAGAGATGAGGTCTTGCTATGTTGCTTGGCTGAGATTGAACTCCTCAGCCCAAGGGATCTTCCTACCTCAGTCTCTCAAAGTACTGGGATTACTGGCATGACCCACTGTGCTTGGCTCAGTTTTTGTTTTTTTTGTTTTTTAGAGGAGATTCACAGCTAGGATATTCTTGCTCATACATTAAAAACAAAAAGCATCCCATTTAGTCAATAACTTTTTTTGATAACAGCTTTATTTAGAGGTAATTTGCATACTATACAAGGGGAAGGCACATTTTCACCTTTTTTTCTTTTGTTTTTTTTTTGAGACAGTGCCCGTCACCCAGGCTAGAGTGCAGTGGTGCCACCTGTATTCACTGTAATCTTTACCTCTCAGACTGAAGCAATCCTCCCACCTCAGTCTCCTAAATGGCTAGCACTACAGGCACATGCCCCTATACCTGGCATATTTTTTTGTATTTTTGGTAGAGAAGGGATTTTGCAATGTTTCCCAGGCTAGTCTTCAAATCCTGGGCTCAAGCACTCCATCTGCCTAACCTCCCAAAGTGCTGGGATTACAGGCATGAGCCACTGCACCCAGCCATCTATTTTTTTGTTGTGTTAAAATACACATAACAGTTGCATAGTGTCCTCATCTTTTCATTTCTTACTCCCCTAAGCCCTGGCAACATCACCTAATTTTCTATTTCTATGATTTTGACTACTTCAGTTATTTTCAGGAAAGAGAAATACTTTTATTTGAGGAATTTGAGCCCTTTCAAATTACTGGGCCCATAAAGGTCCTTAATAAAGAAGACAGCATTCATATCCTAGTTCCTGCTTTGTGCTATGTATACATCTATTGAAACTCCTCACTATCATCACATGTAGCTATAGGTTAACCTAATAATGTCACACTGGACACCACAACACACCCTATGGCTAATGAGAGACAGCCAATCACAAATCAATATTATTTCTGTAAGCAGAATTTCTGACAAACAACTTTGTATCAATCCACTCACCAGCAAATCCTCTTCTCTACAAAAAGTATAAAAATTAGCTGGGCAAGGTGGTGTGCACCTGTAGCTCCAGATACATGGGGGGCCAAGGCAGGAGGATCACTTGAGCTTGGGAGGTTAAGACTGGAGTGAGCTGTGTTTATGCTACTGCACTCCACTTCGAAAATTCCTCTTCAAAAGTTTAGCCTGTTAACTTCCTTGTTCTTTGTTCTCAAACTTAACTTTCTTTCTCTTCATGCCTTCTTGCCCTTAGTTACTGTAAACAATCTTTCCATCAGCACTAATAAATAACTCACTTCTGTTCCCTTGGTTACTTACTCTGCACCCAATTCCTCCCACTGAAACCATGCATCCCACAATTGTAACTCACATTCCCCTCCCTCCTTCCTTATTTGAGAAAATATTCACAAGTAGCCAATTGAGTCAGCTTAGATTGTGAGGTCTGACCCCAGGCCATGGGGTAGTGACACAGAAGTAGAGACTATGCATTAAAGATAAAAATCCTTTCCCTCCTGTTTTCAGTGTGCTCTTGCCATCATGACTGACACAGGCAGCACCCTTCTGCAGAAGTAAATTTGCCTTGCTGAGAAGTCTTTTGTCTGAGTGCTTGTTTTCTTTGTGACACTGAGCTGTTATTTCTAACAAATTGCGGGCTCATCCAGGATCCCATACTCCTGCAGGGAAGGGTCTCTGATCATCTCTCATGAGGAGAAGTGTCCCATTCCCTTGTTGCAGTAACCTCAGGAGTAAGGGATTGAGACCCACCTAGCTTGATGAATGAACCTGGACTCTCAGCAATGTGAGCAGAAAAGTCCTACAAATAGATACCACAGTGATCAGGTAACTGTGCACAGACCAAGGTAAGAAAAGCTGTGGGGGTAGTGAAGTGTTCCTTGGTGGTAGGGATATCCTGGAGGTAAGGCAAGAAATCTCTAGTAGGAGAGGTTGAGCCCCACAGACTCAGAAAACTTAGGGAAACACCTAAAACTTCCAGGGTGGGAAATACCCCAAGCAAGGCAGAAAATAAAAAGGGCAAGACAGACAATAAAATTCTCTCTGATAGCCCACTGAGGAAATATGACAGACCTAAGGGAAATGATTATTAAAGGAATTACAGAATCAGTACCCCACACCCAGGATATTACCAAAGGCTTTAATATACAGCAGGGAAAGGATGATTGACCAATGGATTTCTTAGAGAGGCTTAAGAAGCATATGATAAAGTATGCTGGCCTAAAATTAGAAACATCCCTGGAACAAGGGATGTTAAAACTCCACGTTGTCACCAATAGTTGGCCAGATATTAAAAGAAAATTACAGAAAATAGAGAATTGGAAAGACTGTCTGATAGAGGAATTTTAAAGAAAGGCCCAAAAGGTATATGTATAGAGGCATGAGGAAAGGCAGGAGCAAAAGGCAAAAATTATGCTGTCCACCCTACAACAGGGTGGATTCTTCAAAAGGGTGCCCAGGGAAATAAAACCTGTAAGCCTTCCAAGTACCTGGCTGTCAGTCCCTACACAGGAGCCAAAAGAATCAAGCCAGAAGGCCAGGAAATAAAAACAGGAAAAAGGCAAATCAAGTGTTTCAAATGTGGAAAAATAGGTCACTTTAAAAGAGAATGCCTTAAGTTGGAAAAAGAAAAGGAAGTCATCCCAGTTAGGGCTTTTGAGGAAGAATAGGGAGGTCAGGGGCTCTGTCTTTTCTAGGACAAGTCCCACCAAAAGCCCTTGATAAATTTAAAGGTGGGATGCAACTCTGAGCTTATTACTTTTTTTAATTGACTCAGGGGTGGCTCACTCTGTTTATTATTCCTCATCTTGTGTAATTTGTTCACTAGAAGAACTTCATATCTCAGGAGTAAAAAGAAAAGGATTTAAAGCAAAGATCTTAAAAGAAACAAAAGTTATATATGAAAACAAATCAGCTAATATTAAGTTTCTGTTAATTCCAGAGGCAGGAACAAACATATTAGGGAGAAATTTAATGCTAGAATTAGGTTTAGGCCTCAGTGTTAACCATGGAAAATTTCTAACCTCCCTAAACTTATTCATTACTATAGATGAAGAGTATATCCATCCTACTATCTGATCAAGAGAAGATAATCAAGGAAAGTTGTGGGTTCGTCCAATCCATGACAAATTAAAAATTCCTGGGGAAATAGTAAAAAGAAAACAATACCCTATTCCTTTAAAAGCTAAAATGGGTTTAAAACCTATAATTGAAAGCCTTCTCCATGATGGACTCCTTGAACCCTGTGTGTCCCCTTATAATACTCCAATACTGCCTGTAAAGAAGGCAAAGAGGTCATACCAGTTAGTGCAAGACCTCTGGGCTATTTATCAAATAGTTTAAACCAGTCACCCTGTTGTTCCTAATCTCACACTACTGTGATAGAATCCCAACCAACCACCAATGATTCACAGTAATAGATTTAAAAGATGCAAACATGGGAGCTATTTGCACTCATTCATGCTTTAAAATGTCTACAAAACCAAGAAGGAACTATCTGTACTGAAAGGAACTATCTATACTGACTCCAAATATGCCTTTGGAATAGTCCACACCATTGGAAAAATCTGGACTGAATGGGGCTGTTGTTTATGTCCCAGGACACCAAAGGAACCCAACTTTTGAAACCTGGGGAAATAATATTGAAGCAAGCTGTCTCTTCCCAGGTGGTACCCATTTTCCACCTAACACCCTGTCTTCCCCCTCCAGCTGCAATCCCCATCTTTCCCCAAGCAGACCAAGAAAAACTAAAGAAAAAGTTTAGGAGCTGAGTGAAGCCCAGAGGGGAAAGTGGGTATTACTAGATGGAAGGAAAATGTTTTCTAAAACCCTCATGAGGGTAGTACTGTCGCAACTCCATCAAGGAATCCACTGGGATCCCCAAGCTATGAGTGACGCTGTCCTTAGAGTTTATAGGTGTACGGGGATCTATACCATCACTAAGCAAGTTACAGATAGATGCATAGTGTGCAAAAGAAAAAAAATAAGCAAACCTTAAAGAAGCAACCTTTCAGAGGAAGAAACCAGGGCTAAGGCCATTCAAAATTGTCCAAGTGGACTATGTTGAAATGCCCCAGTAGGTTCCCTCAAATACCATCTTATCCACTGGGTAAATGCCATCCTCTTCTCAAGTGCGACAGCCAGTAATGTTGTCAAAGCTCTGTTAGAACATATCATACCCAGGTTTGGACTAATAGAAAATATTGATTCAGACAATAGGACCCAGTCTACCACACTCATTATTAAAAGGATAACCCAAAAATCCTCTACAGGGTGCCTTACCTAAATTTTGCTACTGACCTTCCTACATTTAAGACAAAATATCACTTTCTTAAAAACTATATATTTGGTCTGTCTTCCACCATTTCCTCTCTCAGGACTCAAGGCCTCCTATCGCAAAGTCCAACTCTTAAGTACCTGGTTCATCTGCAGAAGAGGTGGAAGGAGGAGAAGCTTGAACCCACTTAAAAAGGACGCTTCTGAAGGGGTGGGTTGCCCCTCCACACCTGTGGGTGTTTCTTGTTAGGTGGAACGAGAGACTTGGAAAAGAAAAAGACACAGAGACAAAGTATAGAGAAAGAAATAAGGGGGCCCAGGGGACCAGCTTTCAGCATATGGAGGATCCTGCTGGCCTCTGAGTTCCTTTAGTATTTATTGATCATTCTTGGGTGTTTCTCAGAGAGGGGGATGTGGCAGGGTCACAGGATAATAGTGGAGAGAAGGTCAGCAGATAAACACGGGAACAAAGGTCTCTGCATCACAGACAAGGTAAAGAATTAAGTGCTGTGCTTTAGATATGCATACATATAAACATCTCAATGCCTTACAGAGCAGTATTGTTGCCTGCATGTCCCACCTCCCTATCTCAGTAGATGGAACATACAATCGGGTGTTATGCTGAGACATTCCATTGCCCAGGGATGGGCAGGAGACAGATGCCTTCATCTTGTCTCAACTGCAAAGAGGCATTCCTTCCTCTTATACTAATCCTCCTCAGCACAGACCCTTTACGGGTGTCGGGCTGGGGGAAGGTAAGGTCTTTCCCTTCCCATGAGGCCATATTTCAGACTATCACATGGGGAGAAACCTTGGACAATACCTGGCTTTCCTAGGCAGAGGTCCCTGTGGCCTTCCACAGTGTTTGTGTCCCTGGGTACTTGAGATTAGGGAGTGGTGATGACTCTTCATGAGCATGCTGCCTTCAAGCATCTGTTTAACAAAGCACATCTTGCACCACCCTTAATCCATTCAACCCTGAGTTGACACAGCACATGTTTCAGAGAGCATGGGGTTGAGGGTAAAGTTATAGATTTGTTAATCTATCACAGCATCTCAAGGCAGAAGAATTTTTCTTAGTACAGAACAACATGGAGTCTCCTATGTCTACTTCTTTCTACACAGACACAGTAACAATCTGATCTCTCTTGCTTTTCTCCACACCCTAAATTGTTCTGTTGACTACAGAGACCACTGTCTGCACAACCAAAAGGGGATGGACAAATCACACATGGGTAAAAGGAGTAACTTCCACAGCAAGAAAAAAAAAATGGACCGTCATCTCAGGACCAGCCTCCACCAGAGTAACGTTAAAGAGAAAAGCCTAATCTGTCTGTCTCTCTCTCCTTCTCTTTCCCTTAGATGACCCCCCATCTTATGATTAATGTAATTAGATCAAGCCCATTTCAAACCATTAGTTTTGATGCTTCTCCTATTACACCTTGTGGAGTCATGCAAAGTCAAATGCAGCTCTTTAATTCAGAGAAGTATCTCTGCCCTCTGTAAAGCTCCTCAGACTGGGTAGATTCTGTTAGCTGGACTCCTTTAGACTGGAAAGGTTCTGGAAAAGTTTCTGTTAGCTGGAAATCTTATCCTCCAAGAACAAAACTTCTCTGCCATAGCTGGTCTAATGTTCTATGGATTACCAAAAATCAGGGTTGGACCTCCCCAGCAAGAATCTATGTATCCTTCTAGACCTCTTAACCCTTCCCTACCCAATGGCAACATCAAACTAGACATTGTAGAAGTTAAATATTTAAAACAAACTTTAGCAGTTAAAACAGGATTCCAATATGTAAATGCCTGGCTGGAATGGATTAAATATCTTTTCACACGTTTAACAAAAGTGAATATTACACTTGTGTGGCAGGCAGGACAGAGGCCCAGATAGTCCTCTTCCCACTTGGATGGTCTTCTAAACAACTGGGCATGAGCTGCATGGTGAGTGTCTTTCAAAATCCCACAGCCTGGTATAATGAGGCATGCAAGATTCTCTCTGCTATTCCCTCAAGGTAAGGACTCTGTGGGTCAGCCCCAGAGAGCCATCCAGCCTCATGTCTCTCACGGTAGGGGAAAGATTAATGTCCCTTGGAGTCCTGACAAAGTATAGTGAAACCAAGTCTTTCCAAGAACTTACCAGTCAAACTGCCCTTGTCTATTCCCAAGCAGATATATAGTGATATTGTGGTGGACTGCTATTACCTAAATAGTAATACTCTGCCAAATAACTGGAGCATCACTTGTGCTCTGGTCCAATTGGTCATATCTTTCACCCTGGCATTCCATCAGCATAATAAAAAAGAGAATCAGACAAAAAGAAGTGTTCCACATGAATCTTTTGACCCTCACATTAAATAAATGCTACTGGGGACACATGAGGGGTACCAGATAAATTTAAAGCTTAAAACCAAATAGCTGCAGAGCTTGAATCCTTGTTCTGGTGGGTAACTGTTAATAAAAATGTAGATTAGATAAATTATAACTACTATAACCAACAATGATTTGTCAATTATACTAGGGATGCCATTAAAGGAATAGTTGAGCAATTAGGGCCATCTAGCCAAATGGCTTGGGAAAACAGAATGGCCCTACACATGATGTTAGCTGAAAAAGTGGAGTTTGCATTATGATTAAAACCCAATGTTGTACCTTCATCCCAAACAATATTGCCACCGATGGAAGCATAACAAGGGACTTACAAGGACTTACCACTTTATCCAATGAACTAGCTAGAAATCCTGGAAATTGATAACCATTTTTCAGGATGTCTAGAAAGACGCTTTGCTAAATGGAAAGTAATCAGAGACTCAGTTCTTACTTCTTTTGCAGTCATAAGTGTACTCATTCTTGTTGGATGTTGTGTCATACCATGCATCCGTGGGCTAGCACAAAGGCTTATAGAAATAGCACTTACTAAAACCTCCCTTGGTTCTCCTCCACCTTATTCAGAAAAGCTTTTCCTTTTAAAGGATCAAGTTAAACAGCAAAGTCAGGACATGTTAAAAAGGTTTGAAGAGGAAGGACTGTAAAAATTACAAAGGGGGAATTGTAAGATACAATAAAATTTCTCTTCAAACGTTTTAGCCTGTTAACTTTCTTGTTCTTTGTTCCCAAACCTTTCTTTTTCTCTGTGTCTCCTTGCCCCCAGTTACTGTAAACAACCTTCCCATCAGCGCTAATCAATGACTCACATCTATTCCCTTGGTTACTCATTCTGCACCATTCCTTCTGCCAAAACCACACATCCCACTGTGTCTGGAGTTGGTTCCTTCTGGTGGGTTCGTAGTCTCGCTGACTTCAAGAATGAAGCCAAGGACCTTCGCAGTGAGTGTTGCTACCTTAAAGATGGCACAGGATACAAAGGGTGAGCAGTAGCAAGGTTTATCATGAAGAGCAAAACAACAAAGCTTCCACAGCATGGAAGAGGACCCAAGCAGGTTGACACAGCTGGCTGGGGTGACCAGCTTTTATTCCCTTATTTGTCCCCTCCCATGTACCATTTCTGTCCTATCAGAGTGCCCTTTTTTCAGTCCTCCCTGCAATTAGCTACTTTTAGACCCCCACTGATTGATGCATTTTACAGAGTGCTATTGATGCATTTTACAATCTCCTTGCTAGCTACAGAGTGCTGATTTGTGCATTTTACAATCCCCTTGCTAGCTACAGAGCACTGACTGATGCATTTTACAATCCTCTTGTAAGACAGAAAAGTTCTCCGAGTCCCCCACTTGACCCAGGAAGTCCAGCTGGCTTCACCTTTCAATCCCCCCTCTAAACAGGACACTCCAACTGCTGTTGGGAATAGGGCAATGACAGCTGTAGCTACTTCCTGCTGGATAGGGGTGGAGAAATGGCCCTAAAGTTGCAGTGTCCTCCAGAGGGGAACTCTCTAAGACAGTCAAAGGGCCAGTGGATCCATCCAAAGTCCTCAGTAGAAGTTGTGAGTTGAGCTTATTTGGGGTTCCATTTGTAAGGCCATCTGTAGCTTGATGGCCTCAATCCTGGAGGAAACAAAATTGACAAGGAGGTTAAAAATACAGGGCTCACAGGTGAGTAATAGCATGATGGTTGTCATGGGACCTAGAAAGGAGAGAAGCCCTGTCACCCAACTCCAGAGTTTGGTATAAGAGTTTGAAAGGTGTTGTCTGATATCAGAAGCCTTTTCCTGTAAATGCTGGGTGGCATTTCATATTATCCCTGACTGGTTAGTGTAAAAACAACACTTTTCCCCTAAGAAGGTGCAAAGTCCTCCTTTGTCAGCAGTGAGGAGGTCTAGGCCTCAGCGGTTTTGGAGAGTCACTGCTGCCAAAAAGTCTATTTGGGATTGTAGAATAAACATATTTTGTTATTTCTTACAAACTGTCTGAGAAATCCTTTGAGAGTGTGTGGTAGTAGAATAATGAAGTAGATAAACCGGCTATTCCAGTTCCTGTAGCAGTGGCCATTCCTAACCCTATAAGTGGGGGAATTAGTTGTATGGCCCTGTGCTGATGGACATGAGCTTTGAGGGACACTGATAGGGTCTGATTTCCTGGGGCAAAGTCAATGCTGGGACTTAGGAAGACTAAGGTGCAGGTGCCTGTCCATTTGGTGGGGAGGCAGATACAGGTTGAAGTTCCACATAAGAAGAATATGCCTTGGCTGGGTAGACAGAACTGGTTGTGTATGTTAAAAAGGAGAGTACTTGCCAAGGTAGCTCCAATTATTGTCTGGAAAGGGGTGTTGGGAGAAAACTGAGTTCTATTTTCCCATTGGAGAAAAAACTATTTTGTATCTACTAGGAACCATTTAAAGGAGTAATTGAAAGAGGGGATGAGAAGGTATTCACTACTGGTGCGGGTACTGCTGCAGGGGGTCCAGGGGTGAAACGTCATGCAGGGAGTTTGTTTACCATTATAAAACCTGGACTGTTTGTTAAGCATGGAGGAGGTGATGATTTTTGGAGGCTCTTAGAAATGGGCAAGCCATCTGAATGGAGCTGTTTGTGTGACTCGGAAGTTACTATGATCAATTGGAGCTTGAAGTTGTAGGGTGTAATTACACAGATGGGATAGTAGGTGCCCCAGGGACAAGCCTGATAACAGGTTGCATTGGATGCACCAAGGGGCTTGGAGAGTTAAGATGGTATTCAGGGTTACAGGGTCGTATATGGGCTTTTCGCTGCTTGTGTAATAGGTAAGGTTGGCAATGTAACAGCATAAAAGCTGGATTGCACATCCTGTTAGGGTATTCTTGGTAAACTTTGGGGAAGCCCAAATTTAGGAATTATTTCATGAATTAGGACAGTAACCACTTCTTGAGCCTTCTCTGTCTTGAAGGAGAAGGCTTCTATCCAGTTTGTAAAGGTATCAACACAGACCAACAAGTATTGAAATCCCCTTGACTAAGGCATATGGGTGAACTCTAACTGCCAGTCCTCTCCAGGATAGTGACAAATTCTTTGTTCCTCAGAGGAGCCTTATGATAGACCAAGGGATTATTCCTTTGGCACACCTCACAGGCTTTGACTACTTGTTGGATGGTCCAGAGGAGATTTGGGCCTGTAAATAGGGATTTGGCCATTCGGTGAGTGTTCTCAGTACCCATATGAAAAGTTTGGTGGAGGGTCTTAAATATTTTCCACTTTCTGGCTTTGGGTATGAGTACCTTTCCCTCTTCTGTCTTTAACCACCCCAAGGGCAGAAAACTATGCCCATGTGAAAGTCCCCATTCTGTTTCATAAGGGAATACTGGGGCTTAATCTCTTGGAGATGGTTGTTCCATACCAAGAGTTCTTCCATAAGTATTTACAATGGGAGGTTCTGCCTGGCAGCAGTTTTGGCCTCAGCATCTGCCCGATGGCCTTTTCTGCCTTTTCTCCTTCACCTTCTTGATGGCTTTGGCAGTGTAAGATTGCCACATCCTTGGGTTTTTGCACATAACTTTATGATTTCCCTGTGCTATTTAATGGGGGTTCCCCCAGAGGTTAGGAACTCCCTTTCTTTCCATATTGCAGCATGGGCATGTAGGATTAGATAAGCATATTTTCTATCTGCACACACATTTATTCTTTTTCCCTTTCCCAGTTCTAAGGCTCAGGTAAGTGCCACTAGTTTTACTAACTGGGCATTGGTCCCTGGGGAAAGAAGCTTACTTTCAAGTGCTGTTACATCACTAACTATGGCATAACCTGCCCTTTGTATCCCATTCACCACAAATGAACTTCCATCAGTATATAGGTTAAGGTCAGGATTAGCTAAGGGGACTTCTAAAAGATCCTCTCGGGTAGCATAAGTCTGGGCTACAATTTGTTGGCAGTCATGCTCAATTGGTTTCCCAACCTCTGGGAGAAAAGTGGCATGGTGGAGGGCTGCACATATGTGTATTTGAAGTGCCAGTCCCTCAAGGAGGGTATCTAAGCAGGCAGCTGTCTGATAGCCATAAACTTCCTTTGGCACCTATTTTGCCATTTACATCATGAGTAGTCCAGACAGTGAGATCGTTTCCTTGTATTATTTTGATAGCCTCTGATACTAAGATAGCCACCACTGCAACTGCCCATAAGCAGTGAGGCCAGCCTTTTGCTACTACATCAATTTTGTTACTTAGGTATGCCACTGATTGTGGGATTGCCCCATGAGTCTGAGTAAGGACTCCAAGAGCTACTCTTATTCTCTCTGTGCCATATAAAGAGAAGTTTTGTCCTGTGGGAAAGCTTAAGGCTGGAGCTTGTACTAGGGCCTGCTTTAAGGTTTTGAAGGCTGTTTCTGCCTCTGTTTCCCATTCTACTAGATGAGTATTTTCCCTCTGGGTCTCCTTGATCATACAGTGGCCTGGCCATCTTGCTGTATCTGGTGATATATAGTTGGCAAAAGCCAGTGATCCCAAGGAACCCGCACAACTGTTTTAATGTCTTAGGGCAAGCATAAGCCAGTACAGGCTGTATTCATTCCTTGCTGAGGGCCCTGATTCCTCGGCCTAAAATTAGGCCTAGATATTTGACTTATTGTAGGCAGAGCTGGGCTTTCAATTTAGATACCTTGTACTCCTGGTTAGCTAGAAAGTTCAAGAGATCTAGGGTAGCCTGCTGGCATGAGACTTCTGAACTGGTAGCCAAATTAAATCACCCACATAGTGAAGGAACAGAGTGCCTAGACTTGAGAAGTGGCCTAGATCTTGGGCCAGTGCCTAACCAAACAAATGAGGGCTATCTCTAAACCCTTGAGGCAAGACCGTCCATGTAAATTGGGACATGTGGTCTGTGGGATTCTCAAAGGCAAAGAGACACTGGAACTCAGAGTGCAGGGGAATGCAGAAGAAGGCACCCTTGAGGTCCAGAACAATGAACTATTCTGCTTCCTCTGGTGTTTGAGAGAGCATGGTATAGGGGTTGGGAACAACTGGATATAGAGGAATTACTGCCTCATTAATGAGTCTAAGATTTTGCACTAATCTCCACTGACTGGGTTTTTGCAATTCTAGAATTGGGATTTTGCAGGAACTGCTGCATTTTCTTCCTAAGCCTTGAACTTTTAAATGTCTAACAATATCCTGTAATCCTTTATGAGCTTCAGGCCTTAAGGGATATTGCCTTTGATAAGGAAAAGTGGTGGGGTCTTTTAGCCTGATTTGGACTGGTTGGACATTTTTTTGCCATTCAAATTGTCCTTCCAGTGCCCAGACTTCATTGTTGATTGCTTCTTCAAGTAGGGGACAACAAATGTCTAACTTGTTCCCCATAGTCATATAGATAATAATTCCAGCTCTGGTAAATATGTCCCTCCCTAATAAGGGTGTGGGAATTTCAGGCATAACAAGGAAGGCATGTGAAAGGAGCAAAATGTCCCAATTACAGCTGAAGAGTTGGGAGAAACACCTGTTTACAGGCTGTCCCAGGATTCCTCAGATGGTAAAGGACCTTGAGGATGGCTGTCCAGGGCAGGAGATTAACATTGAGAAGACCACACCAGTGTCCAGGAGGAAGTCACTTTTCTGGCCCTCAATGGTTAAATTTACCTGAGGGCTCAGTGAGGGTGATGACATGAACTGTTGCTTGCCTCAGGGACCCTCAGTCTTGCTATTGGATCACCTGGTTGGGGGCTTTTGGCCCAGAGAACCTTTCTCCTTTGGGGCAGTGCACCTTCCAGTGATTGCCTTGGCATAATGGACATGGAAGAGGGGGTGGCTTGTTTCTCACTGGACAACTTGTTTAAAGTGTCCTTGCACATCACACTGATAAGAAGCCCTACTGGTTGATTAGCCTGTTCCATTTTTCTGTCCTCTCTGAACCACCAAGTTTTGTTTTTCTGAGGGCCATGACTAAGGCTGTGGCCTTTCTCATATCTCACTTTTCCTGTTCGGCCTGTTCCTCTTTGTCCCTATTATAGAACACCAAGTTTGCTGGGTTTAATAATACCTCCAGATTTTGTTCAGGGCCCAGGGCTCACTTTTGGAGCTTTCTTCTGATATCTCTGGCTGATTGGGTAATAAACTTACCTTTGAGGATGAACTGACCCTCAAGGGAGTCAGATGACAGAGGAGGATATTTTCTTAAGGCCTCCTGTAGCTGCTCAAGGAAGTTGGTAGAATTTTCTTCCTTTCACTGAGTTATGGTGGACATCATTGAATAATTCATTGAGTTTTTCTTAATTCTCCTTTGTCTTTCTAGAACACAGGTCAACAGATGTTTGCAGCTCCAGTCCCCATGATCTGAGTCTAGGACTCAGTGGGGATCCATACTGGGGATGGCTTACTGACCAGCAGGGAATTTGTCCATCTCTTCGTCGGTCATTGTATGATTTACTTGACTCAGATACAAGGTATCTCCAAACTCTCCAGCTGCAGCTAAAGCTGCATTCTTTTTATTAAAGGCCAGGGTTTGATCTAACAATAGCATGAGATCTCTCCAAGTGAGGTCAAAGTTTTGCCCTACACCCTGTAGGATATCTATATACCTATCAGGATCATCTGAAAACTTCCCCATATCTACCTTGATCTGCTTTAAATCAGAGCGGGAGAAGGGGACATGTATCCGGGTTGGGCCAAATTCCCCTCCCCCTACAGCTTGAAGGGACATAACTGACAGCCCAGGGGCTTTTGTGGTCCCTTGGAGATTTCTTTGCTTGTTTCCTTCTGGGTGGAGGAGATTAGAGGAGGATTATCATTAATAGGAAGTTGAGCTGTAGGGAAGCTAGGATATGGAGGTAAGCTGAGACATCCTCCTGTGGGATGTAGATTGCAAGCTTTGCATAGTTGTGGATTATCCTTCAGTGAAGAGAAAGTTTGGACATAAGTTTTTCACTCCATTTACCTTCCCTCTTACGGAAAAGGTCAAGTTGCAGTATAGTATTGTAATTTATACTTCCCTCGGGTGGCCATTTTTCCCCATCAGAGAGAATTTTGGGGCCAGGCCATAGTGCAGAAAAAAATTAAGCCACTTCTTTTTCAGGGTTTGTGGGTCAAATTTGTCCCAAGGGCTTAGGATGCATTTCAGGGATGAGCCTGTTGATGCCTGAGTGTTTCCTACCTGAAAGAAAAAGCTGCCCACTGTTTTGGTTGTTGATGTTTTTTCTCCCCTGCCCAAGAATCTGCAATGGTCCCTGGACCCTGCTGTTTGGAATAGTTGCACTCACTGAAGCAGCAGTGGAAACACTGCCTTTCCTCTTAGACTAAAAAGAGGACAGAGGAAGGTCAGATTTAACGTCCCTTACTGATGCATTCTCGAAAACCTGAACCCCTCCCTTTCCTCTTAGACCATGAAGAGGACCAAGAAGGTCAGATTTAGTGGACCTTACCAACGCATTCTCAAAAACCTGTTAGTTAGAGTCCTAAGCATTTTCTCCTGTTGGTATTGGGAACTTACCCTTGTCTTTTATAGCCTCAAAATGGAGTGGAGGGCCCAACCCTGAGGGAGAGAAGGGATCTCCAGGGTTGGAAGAGTGACACCTTTTGTCCTCACTTCTCATCATATGAATTGAAGGCATACCATTTCTGAGGCACCCCATATCCTAGCTTCAGGAATAGCCTTTGTTAGGCCTGCTAGTCTGAGGAGGAATCCTAAAATTCCACATAGTCCCCCAAAAAATGGGGCTTCATGAAAAATTATATCTTTCTGATTGGTGAGCCCAGGTGCCTAAAGAAGGCAACAGAATCCTGAAATTTATACTAGAAATCATTCTTATAGGAGAAACTAGAAAAGCATCAGAAACAGGGATATGCTTTTAGAAATGGGACTAGCCTTGGAGAAAAGAGGTGGGAGGAATATTGTCTGACAGGCATTAGGACACAGGAGGCAAGGGTCAGGATAGATGGGATAGATGTGTCAGTCTTGCTTGGGCAACATAACTTTGAGAGTTCTGCTCATGGCTGTAGGGTCAACCAACTTTTTGTCAGGACCCCGGAGCTGAATGACTTTCCTCTCTGTCAACCCTTGGCTCAGTCCAGAAGTACAGGTAAAGCAGAAGCTGGTTCCAGGCAAACCAATGCTCTGAACTCCGAACAGTTGGGGGTTGTTATTACTTTCCCAGAAGGCCTGACACCAGTGTCTTTAGTCCAGCAGCTGTGCTAGTCACTTTTAACTGCCTAACAGGTGCCTGGTGTTTAGCCCCCAAATTCTAAGGAAAAATAGGACAGAAGATCAAGTGAAAGGGGACCGATGGTACTCACCATGTGGTGATACCCCAGGCAAGCCCCCAAGATGTGTCCAGAGTTGGTTCCTTCCAGTGGATTTGTGGTGTCACTGACTTCAAGAATGAAGCTGTGGACCTTCGCGGTGAGTGCTACCACTCTTAAAGATGGCACAGATGCAAAGAGTGAGTGGTAGCAAGGTTTATTTTGAATAGCAAAAGAACAAAGCTTCCACAGCATGGACGGGGACCTGAGAGGGTTGCCACTGCTGGCTGGGGTGGCCAGGCTTTATTCCCTTATTTGTCCCCTCCCATGTTCTGTTTGTGTCCTACCAGAGTGCTCTTTTTTCAATCTTCCCTGTGGTTGGCTACCTTTAGACTCCTGCTCATTGGTGCATTTTACAGAGTGCTGATTAGGGCGTTTTACAGAGTGATGATTGGTGCATTTTACAGGGCACTGATTGGTGCATTTGACAATCCTCTGCTAGCTACAGAGAGCTGATTGGTGTGTTTTTACAGAGTGCTGATTGATGCATTTTACAATCCCTTTGCTAGCTACACAGGACTGATGGGTGTGTTTCACAATCCTCTTGTAAGACAGAAAAATTCTCCAAGTCCCCACTTGACTCAGGAAGCCCAGCTGGCTTCATCTCTCACCACCACTGTAATTCACCTTCCCTTTCCTTTTTCTTACTTGAGAAATTACTCACAAGTAGCCAATTGGGTCATCTTAGATTGTGTGGTCTGACGCCAGCCCATGGGCTAGTGACACAGAGGTAGAGACTATGTATTAGAGATCAAAACCCTTTCCTTTCTTTATTCAGTGTCCTCTTGCCATTGTGACTGATGCAGACAGTGTCCTTCTGCAGAGGTAAATTTGCTTTGTTGAGAAGTATTTTGTTTGAGTGCTCATTTTCTTTGGGACTCCAAGCTCTTATTTCTAACATAACTGCTGCTAATCCAAGCATCTAAGTGTATATACAGGGCAACTTGAATCTACTCTTTCAGTTTGCAAGCATCAAGTTTGGCCAAAATAAACTCTATTTATAGTAATTTTACCTGAGTTGCTTCTTTTTAGGTTGACTGTCCCAAACAAGCAGAACCACACTCTAGTCGTCCTTTTGCACCTGACTTATTTCACTTAGTGTAATGCTCTCAAGGTTCATCCACATTGTAGACTGTGTTAGAATTTCCTTCCCATTGAAGGCTGAATGTTTCAATCAATAGCAATTTGAAACAAAAACTTTCAGGCAGGGCTTAATCTTCCAAGAAGAAGATAATTTTAAATACTTGGGCAATTTGAAAGATACTTTAAAACTGGCAAGGAAACACTTTATGGTAACCGCAATTGCCAATTAACTTGATGCTGAAGTCACATTGGCAAAGAAAAGATGAGTAAAGAGACTGCCAGAATGGCTGGGTTCCTCTTAATTGTCTTATTGTACACTGGAAAAGCTGCTTGGTTTGCAAAGACAGGTGTTTGCAGGAATCTACAGCACTTAGAATTGCTTCTGGGTGAGCTAGCTCTTCCACGGGAAAACCTGTTGACTCAGCTTGGCCACTTTTCCAATGTGGAAAATTAACAGCTCTCAGAAAGGCAGTTTAGAGCAGCAAGTGCTACAGTTTGGCTTTTGGAGAAACCCAGGTCCTCTTCTGTCTGCCTCCTGGGTTTCTGATGTTTCCTTGGAGTTTCTGCCTGTTGCCTTGGGATCTAAGGAACAGAAATGTCAGTCAGAGCTCTCATTTCACCTTAAATGTTTTTCTCTACACACCTCTCTACTGAATACTTAAGACCCGGTAGGCAGGTTTTTTAGAGGTTATCTTGTTGAATACAGAAAGAATTGAATTTGTCCAGCTTGGAGACTTCTCCAAAGAAAAAAAAAAAGAAGAGAAGAGAAAAGATTGGGCTTGGGGCTTAGGGAGGCAACCGGCTCCACAGATATCCCTAGGGAGTTTTCAGAAGAAAGCAGATGCAATGTAAATAGAATGCAATCTCCCCAACCTTTCCCTTGCAGATCCCCAGGGAGAGGAGGCTTTAGGAAAAGGCAGACTTCACAATTCCTCTTTCAAACTGTCCCTTCGAAGACCTGCCCTAGATCTGTCTGCAGAAGCCTCACCCCAAGTGGAGGAAGAGCCTTTGTAAAAATAATTTTTGTTTTGTTTTGCTTTGATTTTTGCAGACAGGTGGGTCCTACCCGAGGCTACCAACAATGAGATCCTTAAGGTGATAAGGGATCAGGACAGGTCTCGCAGCCTCAGCAAAGCAGGTCACTGCAGGGCTTGGGAATGGGTTTATGTGATACCCATCTGTGGTTACCAGGGCTTCTTTTCAGGTAGATTTTTTGTGAATGAGAAAAAGAAGAGTTTGGGGCAGTGAGTTTTGGGGAACTGCAAGGGAAGCACATTTTTTGTTTTTTTGTTTTTTTTTACAAGGCAGTAGCAGAGATCAGCTGCAATTCAATGGAGGGAAAGTGGTCCTAGGAGATGCCTAAGAGGATTTAAAGATGAACTTGGGGTCTTGTGCCTCCTACTGTTACAGAACACGGTCCTGAGACCATATAGGGTAACTTCCTGATGTTGCCACGGCATTTGTAAACTGTCACGGTGCTGGTGGGAGTGTAGCAGTGGGGACAACCAGAGGTCACTCTTGTTGCCATTTTGATTTTGGAGGTTTTGGCAGACTCCTTTACTGCAACCTGTTTTATTAGCAAGGTCTTTATGACCTGTATTTTTTGCTGACCTCCTCCCTTATCCTGTGACTTAGAATCCTTCAGTCATCTGGAAATGATGTCCAGTAGGTTTTAGCCTCATTTTACCCAGCTCCTAGTTAAGATGGAGTTGTTCTGGTTCACATGCCCCTGATACTACTGTTAGGGTAGGTAGCATGCCAGGCATGAACAGGGCATAAGATGGGCTCCCCCTGCTCCCCTCGCCACACACATAAGAAATGTCAGAAGGTGATGGTCAAGAGGTTAATAAACTGTCTCTTTAAAATAACAATTGGTCACAGCCAGCACCAGTACATACAAAACACCTGAAACTGGTGGTCAGCAGCTTCCCAATATGATCTCAGGGGGTGAGTGAGTGGGCTCAAACATGCACACTGAGAGGCAAAATGGTGGAGTTTAACTGGTCTACAAACTTCTAGGAACACTCGACTGGTAAGGGAAGAATGCCTAAAGTGAGCATGCGTCCAACTCCAGTAAACACACAGTGCATGCTCCCCTCCCAAGTGCTGGCAGGCTGCTGTGCATGCGGGCAGCCCACCCCAAGGGAAGACTCAGGGGCGAAGAGATGCAAGACCCTGTGCTGTAGACCCATATGGCTTCACCACCAGTAATGCCACTACTCCAATGCTTCCCAGGTGTCCCTTCTCCACAACTCTCTGGATGGCTGGGGAATGGGGCACCCAGGAAGGCAAGCTCTCTCAGAGGAGGAAGGGTCCCTGCTCAGTGAGTGTGCATAAGTGGGCTCCTGGCACCCAGCTGCTGCCTGGAATAAGATGAGGATACCTGTGACAGCTCCCCATAATCTCAGCCTCAGAGGATAGATGAGATGCAACCACAGCTGGAAACTGGGAAAAACGTTATCCCAAAGACAGGAGCAGGAGACTAGATGTCATTTCCTTCAGGGTTGGACCTGGATACCACAAAGCACTCCAAAAAATGGCATGGTGAAAAAAAGGTTGTCCGTAGGAAACTGCCCATGAAACGGGATGAAAACCAGTGCCCATCCTGGGCCTTCTTCCTAGCTCCAAGTCCCAGCAGGACATCAGCCATGGAGGTTTGGTTGTGCTATCTCTGAGACTGGGTCATTTTAGTTTAATGTTTTAATTGTTGCAAGATGCACATAACCTATAATTTACAATTTTTAGTCACTTTTGCAATTTGATGGCATTAAGTGCATTCACAACAGTGAATTAATGTTTAGCACACAGCAGTGCTGAGCAGTGATCATGCCAATCGATGAAACATTTTTTTTTTTTTTTTTGAGACAGGGTCTTACTCTGTTGCCCAGGCTGGAGTGCAGTGGCGCCATCTCGGCTCACTGCAACCTCTGCCTCCCAGGTTGAAGTGATTGTCCTTCCTCAGCTTCCCAAGAAGCTGGGATTACAGGTGCGTGCCACCACTACCAGCTAATTTTTGTATTTTTAGTAGAGTTACCCTCAAAGAAATTACACCCAATAGTTATCGGCCCCTCACTCTGAAATCCTCTCCCCAGGAAGCTTCCAGCAGATACCACTCTGCTATCTGTCTCTCTGCCTATTCTGGGTCTTTCATGTAAATAGAATCACACAATATGAGACCTTTTTGTCTGTCTTTTTAAACTTAGCATTATGTTTTCAAGGAGTATTCACGCAGCATGTGTGAGAGTTCCAGTCTTTTTTATGGTGCAATCATAGACTGTCATTATGTGTGAGCTATATTTACATAACTGCATTCATGCTCCGGTGAATGTTTAAGTTGTTTCTATTTTTGGCTCTTGTGCATTATGCTGCTGTTCATCTATTTATTTATTTATTCATTTGTTTTGAGACAGGGTCTTGCTCTGTCACCCAGGCTGGAGTGCAGTGGCATCATCTTGGCTCACTGCAACCCCTGCCTCCTGGGCTCAAGCAATTCTTTCATCTCAGGCTCCTAAGTAGTTGTGACTACAGGTGTGCACCACCTTCAGCTAATTTTTGTGTGTGTTTTTTTGTGTGTATGTGTACAGACTGGGTTTAACCACATTGGCCAGGCTAGCCTCAAATTCCTAGACTCAAGTAACCCACTCACCTTGGCTTCCCAAAGCACTGGGATTACAGGTGTGAGCCAAACTTCCTGACCCATGGTGCTGCTATGAATATGGTGTGTACATATCTGTTGGAGTCCCAATTCTTTTTAAAATTATTTTTATTTTTAGTGATGAGGCTCTTGCTGTATTGATCAGGCAGGCTGGTCTCAAACTCCTGGTCCCAAGTGACCTTCTCATCTTGGCTTCCCAAAGTGCTAGCATTACAGGCATGGGGCACTATGTCAAGCCCCCATTTGTTGTTGTTATTGTTGATGATGATGATGATGTTTAGGTGGAGTCTCAGTTTCCCCCAGGCTGGAGTGCAGTGGCAAGATCTCAGCTCACTGCAACCTCTGCCTCCTGGGTTCAAGTGATTCTTGTGCCTCAGCCTTCTGAGTAGCTGGGACTACAGGCACATGTCACCATGGCCCGCTAATTTTTTTTTTTTTTTGTATTTTTAGTCGAGATGGGGTTTCACCATGTTGGTTAGGCTTGTCTTGAACCCCTGACGTCAAGTGATCCTCCTGCCTTGGTTTCCCAAAGTGCTGAGATTACAGGTGTGAGCCACTGCACCTGGCCTCCAATTCTTTTCTGTATCAACTCAGGAGTGGAATTACTGGTTATGCAGTTGAGACTGTGTTTCATGTTGGCTATGCATCAGCCTTCAACCTCCATCCCATCCTGGAAAGAGGTACTGGTGGTTTCATAATTATATCTGACTAGTATCAGACCCACTTTTGTTTGGCTGATTGGTACTCTTTTTTATGTCTTTCATCACATTCCCTTGACAAGTATCTGGGAATGCTTGACTGTGTGGCATTGGTTGTGTGGAGTGCTCAAAGTGAGAAGAAAGAAAGAAGGAAGGAAGGAATGGATGATGAGAGGAAGGGAAGAAAAAAGGAAGCAAGAGAAAGGAAGATGGAAAGGGGAAGAGGAAGAGGAAGATGAGAAAGGAGAAGGAGATGAAGGAAGATAAGAAGGAGGAGGAAAAGGAAGAGGAGGAGGAGAAAGAGAAGGAAAACTAGGAGAGGGAGGAGGAAAAATAGGAGGAGGAGGAGGAGCAGGAGGAGAAAAAAAGAAAAATTTGGAGGGAGAAGGAGAAGGAGGAGAAAGAGAAGGAAAAATAGGAGGAGAAGGAGGAGGATGATAGGAAGAGGAGGAGAAAAAGAAAGAAAACTTAGAGGAAGCAGAAGAAAGCAGAGGGAGGAAGGAGGAGCTGGAGGAGGAGGAGAGGAGGAAGAAAGAAGGGTATTCACACCCTGAAAATTCTTTTACATTGTCCACACAGATTTTTGTGCAGTTATATGACTAACTCAAGGCTGTAACATAATGTAGCAAAAAAAAAAAAAAAAAAAAAATTCAACAAAATAGAGGGTACTCCTGGACATATCTAAGTTTCACAGGTTGGTGTCAGTTTGTGTCTTCTGAGAAGCACATGAAAGTACTAGATGGTTTTTTAAAAAGGAGGAAGAGGAGGAACAGAGTGGAGAGGAGAGTGGGGAGGTCTTGCAGCCTGAGAGATGTCTGACATGACCTCAAAGTTACTGCTGCACCTGCACCATGGGGAGACTGTTCTGGGTCATTGTTTACCCATTGTTTAGTCTTTGATGGTTGTCTATGGAGGTGTCCCCAAGTTCTGGCAGGGGGACCCGGCTGTCAGGTCAGGAGGACTCTGGACCAAGTCTTGAATGTTTCCAGCTTCACCCCATACAAAGGGTCTGTCTCAGGACTCCTACAGCTGAGGGAATTTACAAATTCTGCTTCCCATCTTGGTCTGCTCTGTCTAGCCCCCTCACCTGGATGCATTCCTATACCCATACTCAGTGGCTGTGGTCCAATTTTATTCTAAAAGTTTTCATTAGGAACACATGCTTCAACCATCATCCAAGACTAGAACCTTCCCAGCATGTTCACAGGGCACCTGCTCGGAGATTTTACCTCCTGGGGAGAGAAAGGATGAGATTCTAGGGTGTGCGTTTTATTTATTTAATTTTTTTTCTAAAGTGAATTGGAAAACAAAAGAATGAAGCTCCTCAAACTTCAGTATGGCATGGAATTGGACGATGACAAGAGAAGCCAGTGGAATTATAGAGACATCTTGAACTTAAGAAATGCTGTGTACCTATGGTTCCACAGAGAGTAGTGGATTCCCTGACATTAGCCTGTGTGACCTGAAATAAAGCTGCAGGTATCCCATGCTAAGCAGGACGTGTGACTTCTTAGTGGGGGCCATTGGAGGAAATTCTTAGGTGATAGAGAGTCAGATACTGGCAGATCAGAAGATTTGGATGGAACTAGGAAACAGACATTAAAAAAAATTGCAGTAAGAATTCCTAACATGAAATTTATCTTCTCAATTTTTAAGTACCAAATACAGAATTATTACTACTTTTTAATTAACTCTTTAAAAATTATTTGAATAGTTTTTGGGAAACATGTAGTGTTTGGTTACATGGATAAGTTCTTTAGCGGTGATTTCTGAGATTTTGGTGCGCCTGTCACCTGAGCAGTGTGCACTGTACCCAATGTGTCCTCTTTGATCCCTCACCCCTCCCACCCTTCCCCCTGAGTCTCCAGAGTCCATTATGCCATTCTTACGCGTTTGCATCCTCATAGCTTAGCTTCTGCTTATAAGTAAAAGCATACAATGTTTGGTTTTCCATAACTTAGAATAATGGTCTCCAATTCCTTCCAGGTTGCTGCTATTGCCATTATTTCATTCCTTTTTATGGCTGAGTGGTACAGAATATGGTATTATTAACTACAGGTGCAGTGTTGTAGACAGCAGATCAGAGCTTATTTGTCTTGTGTAACTGAAACTTTATACCCACAGAACAACTTCCTACTACCACTCCTCAGAGCACCTGGCAACCACCATTCATCCTCTGCTTCTATGAGTTTCATGAGTTTATACTCTGCATATAAGTGAGACATGGCAGTATTTGTCTTTCTGTGCCTGGCTGATTCTGCTTAGCATAATGTCCTCCAGGTTTATCTGTGTTGTTGCCAATGATTGGTTGCCTTTCTTTCTTAAAGCTGAATAGGATTCCACTGTATATATGCATGACATTTTCTTTACCGATTCATCCATCCATGGACACTTAGATGTTTTCTATAGTGAATGATGCTGCAGTGAACATGGGGGTGCAGATGTCTGTTTAAGATCTTGATTTTATTTCATTTGGAAAAATATGAGTAGGGTTGCTCAGCCACATGGCAGATTTATTTTTAATTTTTTGAGGAACAGGAAATGGGCATTTTTTAAAACCACATCTGGAAGAGAGGAGGAGCCACTGAGTTAATTTCCAGCATCTTCCTGTGTGTTCTTTTCTGGTAGTTGTGCATAGTGTATCATACATAAGTTAGCTGCTTTGCAAACAGTGTATAGTTTAATCTTTCCTTACCTGTGGAAACAACTTGGTCTCAAAAAGCTTACCTGTGTTGTCTCTGAAATAACGTTTGGGTGAGTCTCTACAGTTAAACCATGTGAATTCAGTAACTTGCAGCTAACGCTTTTGCTATCCTTATAAAATGAGGAGACAGAGACTTGATCCTGACCTAGCTCTTGATATGGTTTGGATTTGTGTCACCACCCAAATCTCATGCTGAATTGTAATTCCCAGTGTTAGAGGAGGGATCTGGTGGGAGATGATTGGATCATGGAGGCAGATTTCTTCCTTAATGTTCTTGTGGTAGTGACTGAGTTCTCACAAGATCTAGTTGTTTAAAAGTATGTGACACTTCCCCCTTCTCTCTCTCTCTCTCTCTCCTGCTGGGCATGTAGAGATTGTGCCTGCTTCCCATTCACTTCCACCATGATTATATGTTTTCTGAGGCCTCCCTACCCAGGCCTCCTGTACAGCCTGTGGAAATGTAAGCTAAACTTCTTTTCTCCATAAATTATTCCATCTCAGATATGTCTTTATAGCAGTGTGAAAATGAACACATGCAGCTCTATTGAGTCTGAGAGTCCCAACTTCAGGCATTCCTGTCTGGGGACAAACCTTCACCATATTAGTCTGCTAGGTCCCACAGTCCTCAGAAATTTATTTTCTCACAGTTCTGCAGGCTGGAAGTCCAAGAACAGGATGCTGTTAAGATTGGGGTCTGGTGAGGACTCTTTTCCTGGCTGGCAGATGGCCACCTTCTCACTGTATCCTCACATGGCCTTTCCTTTGTCCTAAAGCAGAAAAGCATTGGTGGAAAAAGAGAGAGAGAGAGAAAGAGAGAGAGAGGGAAAGGGGGAGAGAGAGAGAAAGGGAGAGAGAGAGAGAGATAATGAAGGAATTGTGGTTGTCCAGGGTTGGCAGAAGAAGGAATGGGGAATTGTTTAGTGGGTACAGAGTTTCAGTTATGCAAGACATACAAGCTCTGATCTACTGTACAGAATCATGCCTATAGTTAACAATACAGTATTGTGTACTTAAGTATTTAAGAGGGTAAATCTCATATTAAGGGTTCTTATTACAATAAAAGAGAAAGAGAGAGAGAGAATCTCTCTTCATCTTCTTATGAGGACACCAGTCCTATAGGATGAGGGCCCCACACCTATGAGCTCATTGAGTCTTTATTATCTGCTGATAGACTCTATCTCCAAATACAGCCACATTAGGGTTAGGGTTTCCAAATATGAATTTTGAAGAGACATGGTTCAGTCCATAACACCTGCTACAGCCTGTAGCAGTGTGCTCTCTTTCCTTTGTCTGGTGGTCTTGATGGAGTAGGAAGAACTTAATCATCATCCTATACAGCACCTGCAGATGCTGGGACTTCTCTAGTGGGATGCAACTTATTTCCAAAATATGTAAGTGAAAGTCGGGGCACAGTGGCTCATGCCCATAACCTTAGCTCTCTGGAAGGCAAGGGCAGAGGATTCCTTGAGCCCAGGAATTTGAAACCAGTTTGGACAACATAATAAGACCTTGTCTTTACCAAAAATTTGAAATTAGCCAGGTACAGTGGTGCATGTCTGTGGTCCCAGCTACTTGGGAGGCTGGAAGGTGGGAGGATTACTTGAGACTGGGTGTTTGAGAATGTAGTGAGTTATGATCATGTCACTGCACTCCAGCCTGGGCAACAGATGGAGCCCCTGCCCTCCAATCCCCCCGCCACCTCCCTCCCCCCCACCCACACCAGAAAAGTAAGTGAAAACTTCAGGGACATGCTGGGACAGAATTGAAAACTCATAGTTTTCTCCCCAGGTCAGCCAGCACTGGAAGCTCTATATGCTTGAGGTACTTTCAGATGTTTCTAACCACATGATAAGTAGAATTATCTTTTCACACCACTGATTGTTTGTTACTTCTAACTAGGATATAATTGGTGTGCCACTTACCTGCACTTTTTTCATGATGAGGCCAATGTTATTATATTATAAATAAATATGGATCTTAATTTATAAACATTCTGCTAATTCTATATTACCCCTCCCTTCTACAGGTCCATCAGGTTTCTGTGTTGTTGTCTTCTAGGAAACCTGTGAAAGGTTGTAAAATCAATAGGATTTAAACATCTTGAGGGGGAGGAGCCAAGATGGCTGAATAGGAACAGCTCCAGTCTACAGCTCCCAGCGTGAGCGATGCAGAAGACGGGTGATTTCTGCATTTCCATCTGAGGTACCGGGTTCATCTCACTAGGGAGTGCCAGACAGTGGGCGCAAGCCAGTGGGTGCGCACACCGTGTGCGAGCCGAAGCAGGGCGAGGCATTGCCGCACCTGGGAAGCGCAAGGGGTCAGGGAGTTCCCTTTCCGAGTCAAAGAAAGGGGTGACGGACACACCTGGAAAATCGGGTCACTCCCACCCGAATATTGCGCTTTTCAGACCGGCTTAAAAAACGGCGCACCACGAGACTATATCCCACACCTGGCTCGGAGGGTCCTACGCCCACGGAATCTCGCTGATTGCTAGCACAGCAGTCTGAGATCAAACTGCAAGGCGGCAGCGAGGCTGGGGGAGGGGCGCCCGCCATTGCCCAGGCTTGCTTAGGTAAACAAAGCAGCCCGGAAGTTCAAACTGGGTGGAGCCCACCACAGCTCAAGGAGGCCTGCAGGCCTCTGTAGGCTCCACCTCTGGGGGCAGGGCACAGACAAACAAAAAGAGAGCAGTAACCTCTGCAGACTTAAATGTCCCTGTCTGACACCTTTGAAGAGAGCAGTGGTTCTCCCAGCATGCAGCTGGACATCTGAGAACGGGCAGACTGCCTCCTCAAGTGGGTCCCTGACCCCTGACCCCAGAGCAGCCTAACTGGGAGGCACCCCCCAGCAGGGGCACACTGACACCTCACACGGCAGGGTATTCCAACAGACCTGCAGCTGAGGGTCCTGTCTGTTAGAAGGAAAACTAACAAACAGAAAGGACATCCACACCAAAAACCCATCTGTACATCACCATCATCAAAGACCAAAAGTAGATAAAACCACAAAGATGGGGAAAAAACAGAACAGAAAAACTGGAAACTCTAAAACGCAGAGCGCCTCTCCTCCTCCAAAGGAACGCAGTTCCTCACCAGCAACGGAACAAAGCTGGATGGAGAATGATTTTGACGAGCTGAGAGAGGAAGGCTTCAGATGATCAAATTACTCTGAGCTACGGGAGGACATTCAAACCAAAGGCAAAGAAGTTGAAAACTTTGAAAAAAATTTAGAAGAATGTATAACTAGAATAACCAATACAGAGAAGTGCTTAAAGGAGCTGATGGAGCTGAAAACCAAGGCTCGAGAACTACATGAAGAATGCAGAAGCCTCAGGAGCCGATGCGATCAACTGGAAGAAAGGGTATCAGCAGTGGAAGATGAAATGAATGAAATGAAGCAAAAAGGGAAGTTTAGAGAAAAAAGAATAAAAAGAAATGAGCAAAGCCTCCAAGAAATATGGGACTATGTGAAAAGACCAAATCTACATCTGATTGGTGTACCTGAAAGTGATGGGGAGAATGGAACCAAGTTGGAAAACACTCTGCAGGATATTATCCAGGAGAACTCCCCCAATCTAGCAAGGCAGGCCAACGTTCAGATTCAGGAAATACAGAGAACGCCACAAAGATACTCCTCGAGAAGAGCAACTCCAAGACACATAATTGTCAGATTCACCAAAGTTGAAATGAAGGAAAAAATGTTAAGGGTAGCCAGAGAGAAAGGTCGGGTTACCCTCAAAGGGAAGCCCATCAGACTAACAGCGGATCTCTCGGCAGAAACCCTACAAGCCAGAAGAGAGTGGGGGCCAATATTCAACATTCTTAAAGAAAAGAATTTTCAACCCAGAATTTCATATCCAGCCAAACTAAGCTTCATAAGTGAAGGAGAAATAAAATACTTTACAGACAAGCAAATGCTGAGAGATTTTGTCACCACCAGGCCTGCCCTAAAAGAGCTCCTGAAGGAAGCGCTAAACATGGAAAGGAACAACCGGTACCAGCCGCTGCAAAATCATGCCAAAATGTAAAGACCATCAAGACTAGGAAGAAACTGCATCAACTAACGAGCAAAATCACCAGCTAACATCATAATGACAGGATCAAACTCACACATAACAATATTAACTTTAAATGTAAATGGACTAAATTCTCCAATTAAAAGACACAGACTGGAAAGTTGGATAAAGAGTCAAGACCCATCAGTGTGCTGTATTCAGGAAGCCCATCTCACATGCAGAGACACACATAGGCTCAAAATAAAAGGATGGAGGAAGATCTACCAAGCAAATGGAAAATAAAAAAAGGCAGGGGTTGCAATCCTAGTCTCTGATAAAACAGACTTTAAACCAACAAAGATCAAAAGAGACAAAGAAGGCCATTACATAATGGTAAAGGGATCAATTCAACAAGAGGAGCTAACTATCCTAAATATATATGCACCCAATACAGGAGCACCCAGATTCATAAAGCAAGTCCTGAGTGACCTACAAGAGACTTAGACTCCCACACATTAATAATGGGAGACTTTAACACCCCACTGTCAACATTAGACAGATCAAAGAGACAGAAAGTTAACAAGGATACCCAGGAATTGAACTCAGCTCTGCACCAAGCAGACCTAATAGACATCTACAGAACTCTCCACCCCAAATCAACAGAATACACATTTTTTTCAGCACCACACCATATCTATTCCAAAATTGACCACATTCTTGGAAGTAAAGCTCTCCTCAGCAAATGTAAAAGAACAGAAATTATAACAAACTATCTCTCAGACCACAGTGCAATCAAACTAGAACTCAGGATTAAGAATCTCACTCAAAGCCGCTCAACTACATGGAAACTGAACAACCTGCTCCTGAATGACTACTGGGTACATAACGAAATGAAGGCAGAAATAAAGATGTTCTTTGAAACCAACAAGAACAAAGACACAACATACCAGAATCTCTGCGACGCATTCAAAGCAGTGTGTAGAGGGAAATTTATAGCACTAAATGCCCACAAGAGAAAGCAGGAAAGATCCAAAATTGACACCCTAACATCACAATTAAAAGAACTAGAAAAGCAAGAGCAAACACATTCAAAAGCTAGCAGAAGGCAAGAAATAACTAAAATCAGAGCAGAACTGAAGGAAATAGAGACACAAAAAACCCTTCAAAAAATCAATGAATCCAGGAGCTGGTTTTTTGAAAGGATCAACAAAATTGATAGACCGCTAGAAAGACTAACAAAGAAAAAAAGAGAGAAGAATCAAATAGACACAATAAAAAATGATAAAGGGGATATCATCACCAATCCCACAGAAATACAAACTACCATCAGAGAATACTACAAACACCTCTATGCAAATAAACTAGAAAATCTAGAAGAAATGGATACATTCCTTGACACATACACTCTCCCAAGACTAAACCAGGAAGAAGTTGAATCTCTGAATAGACCAATAAGAGGAGCTGAAATTGTGGCAATAATCAATAGTTTACCAACCAAAAAGAGTCCAGGACCAGATGGATTCACAGCTGAATTCTACCAGAGGTACAAAGAGGAACTGGTACCATTCCTTCTGAAACTATTCCAATCAATAGAAAAAGAGGGAATCCTCCCTAACTCATTTTATGAGGCCAGCATCATTCTGATACCAAAGCCGGGCAGAGACACATCCAAAAAAGAGAATTTTAGACCAATATCCTTGATGAACATTGATGCAAAAATCCTCAATAAAATACTGGCAAACCGAATGCAGCAGCACATCAAAAAGCTTATCCACCATGATCAAGTGGACTTCATCCCTGGGATGCAAGCCTGGTTCAATATACGCAAATCAATAAATGTAATCCAGCATATAAACAGAGCCAAAGACAAAAACCACATGATTATCTCAATAGATGCAGAAAAAGCCTTTGACAAAATTCAACAACACTTCATGCTAAAAACTCTCAATAAATTAGGTATTGATGGGACGTATTTCAAAATAGTAAGAGCTATCTATGACAAACCCACAGCCAATATCATACTGAATGGGCAAAAACTGGAAGCATTCCCTTTGAAAACTGGCACAAGACAGGGATGCCCTCTCTCACCGTTCCTATTCAACATAGTGTTGGAAGTTCTGGCCAGGGCAATCAGGCAGGAGAAGGAAATAAAGGGTATTCAGTTAGGAAAAGAGGAAGTCAAATTGTCCCTGTTTGCAGACGACATGATTGTTTATCTAGAAAACCCCATCATCTCAGCCCAAAATCTCCTTAAGCTGATAAGCAACTTCAGCAAAGTCTCAGGATACAATATCAATGTACAAAAATCACAAGCATTCCTATACACCAACAACAGACAAACAGAGAGCCAAATCGTGAGTGAACTCCCATTCACAATTGCTTCAAAGAGAATAAAATACCTAGGAATCCAACTTACAAGGGATGGGAAGGACCTCTTCAAGGAGAACTACAAACCACTGCTCAAGGAAATAAAAGAGGATGCAAACAAATGGAAGAACATTCCGTGCTCATGGGTAGGAAGAATCAATATCGTGAAAATGGCCATACTGCCCAAGGTAATTTACACATTCAATGCCATCCCCATGAAGCTACCAATGACTTTCTCCACAGAATTGGAAAAAACTACTTTAAAGTTCATATGGAACCAAAAAAGAGCCCGCATCGCCAAGTCAATCCTAAGCCAAAAGAACAAAGCTGGAGGCATCACATTACCTGACTTCAAACTATACTACAAGGCTACAGTAACCAAAACAGCATGGTACTGGTACCAAAACAGAGATATAGATCAATGGAACAGAACAGAGCCCTCAGAAATAACGCCACATTCCTACAACTATCTGATCTTTGACAAACCTGAGAAAAACAAGCAATGGGGAAAGGATTCCCTATTTAATAAATGGTGCTGGCAAAACTGGCTAGCCATATGTAGAAAGCTGAAACTGGATCCCTTCCTTACACCTTATGCAAAAATCAATGCAAGATGGATTAAAGATTTAAACGTTAGACCTAAAACCATAAAAACCCTAGAAGAAAACCTAGGCATTACCATTCAGGACATAGGCGTGGGCAAGGACTTCATGTCCAAAACACCAAAAGCAATGGCAACCAAAGCCAAAATTGACAAATGGGATCTAATTAAACTAAAGAGCTTCTGCACAGCAAAAGAAACTACCATCAGAGTGAACAGGCAACCTACAACATGGGAGAAAATTTTCGCAACCTACTCATCTGACAAAGGGCTAATATCCAGAATCTACAATGAACTCAAACAAATTTACAAGAAAAAAACAAACAACCCCATCAAAAAGTGGGCGAGGGACATGAACAGACACTTCTCAAAAGAAGACACTTATGCAGCCAAAAAACACATGAAAAAATGTTCATCATCACTGGCCATCAGAGAAATGCAAATCAAAACCACTATGAGATATCATCTCACACCAGTTAGAATGGCAATCATTAAAAAGTCAGGAAACAACAGGTGCTGGAGAGGATGTGGAGAAATAGGAACACTTTTACACTGTTGGTGGGACTGTAAACTAGTTCAACCATTCTGGAAGTCAGTGTGGCGATTCCTCAGGGATCTAGAACTAGAAATACCATTTGACCCAGCCATCCCATTACTGGGTATATACCCAAATGACTATAAATCATGCTGCTATAAAGACACATGCACACGTATGTTTATTGCAGCATTATTCACAATAGCAAAGACTTGGAAGCAACCCAAATGTCCAACAATGATAGACTGGATTAAGAAAATGTGGCACATATACACCATGGAATACTATGCAGCCATAAAAAATGAAGAGTTCATGTCCTTTGTAGGGACATGGATGAAACTGGAAACCATCATTCTCAGTAAACTATCGCAAGAACAAAAAACCAAACACCGCATATTCTCACTCATAGGTGGGAATTGAACAATGAGATCACATGGACACAGGAAGGGGAATATCACACTCTGGGGACTGTGGTGGGGACGGGGGAGGGGGGAGGGATAGCATTGGGAGATATACCTAATGCTAGATGACGAGTTAGTGGGTGCAGCGCACCAGCATGGCACATGCATACATATGTAACTAACCTGCACAATGTGCACATGTACCCTAAAACTTAAAGTATAATTAAAAATAATAATAATAATAATAGTAATAATAAAAAAAATAAAATAAAATAAAACATCTTTCAAATTCCCAGTGGCTGGACAGAAACATTTGTTTGCAAATTTCCCCAAAGAGTTGCACAGATAAATCTTTTAAGATGAAGCCATGCAGGCTGGGCACTGTGGCTCACATCTGTAATCCCAGCACTTTGGGAGTTCAAGGCAGGCAGATCACAAGGTCAGAAGATCAAGAGCATCCTGGCTAACAGTAGAAACCCTCTCTCTACTAAAAAAGTACAAAAAATTAGCTGGGCATGTTGGCAAGCGCCTATAGTCCCAGATACACGGGAGGCTGAGGCAGGAGAATGGCGTGAACCTGGCAGGCAGAGGTTGCAGTGAGTTGAGATTGTACCACTGCACCCCAGCCTGGGCAACAGAGCGAGACTCTGTCTCAAAAAAAAAAAAAAAAAGATGAAGCCATGCAAAAATATAAAGGAAAGGGCATTGTGGCTCATGCCTGTAATTCCAGCAGTTTGAGAGGCCAAGATGGGTGCATCACTTGAAATCAGGAGCTTGAGACCAGCCTGGCCAACATGGTGAAACCCTGTCTCTACTAAAAGTACAAAAATTAGCCGCATGTGGTGGCACATGCCTGTAATCCCATCTACTCGGGAGACTGAAGCAGGAGAATTGCTTGAACCTGGGAGGCGGAGGTTGCAGTGAGCTGAGATTGCACCACTGCATTCCAGCCTGGGAAACAGAGTGAGACTGTCTCAAAAAAGAAAAAAATATATAAAGGAAGACTGGTATCTGTTTGTCTGTTGAGCATTGGACAATGCGGGGATGGGGAGGACAGGATTGCCTCTGCTCTTAACTTTCTTTTTAAATTGAACTTTTTTTGGAGATGAGGTCTTGCTCTGTTGCCCAGGCTGGAGTGTGGTTGTGCAATCATGGTTCACTGCAGCCTTGACTTCCTGGGCTGAAGTGATCCTCCCAGCTTAGCCTCCTGAGTTCCTCAGACTACAGGTGTGCTCTACCATGCCCAGTTAGTTTTTTATTTTATTTTTTGTAAGGATGGGGTCTTGCTGTGTTGCCTTGGCTGGTCTTGAGCTCCTGAGCTCTAGTGATCCTTTTCCTTAGGCCTCCCAAAATGCTGAGATTACATGTGTGAGCCACTGTGCCTGGCCCTGGCTCTTAACTTTTGGGGTGATGCCCACCGTAGGCTTTCAGAGTTAGGAGAAGACTAATTTTTTCTCTATGGAGAGGAAATTTATAGAACATGAAACTCACCATTTTGTTATTTTTATTATTTATTTATTTATTTATTTTTGAGACAGAGTCTCACTCTGTTGCCCAAGCTGTAGTGCAGTGGTATAATCTTGGCTCACTGCAACCTCTGCCTCCTGGTTTCAAGCAATTCTCCTGCCTCAGCCTCCTGAGTACCTGGAATTACAGGCACCCACCACCATGCCCAGCTAGTTTTGTATTTTCAGTAGAGACGGGGTTTCACCACGTTGGTCAGGCTGGTCTCGAACTCCTGACCTCAGGTGATCCACCACCTTGGACTGCCAAAGTGTTGGGATTACAGGCAAGAGCTGCTGCACCTGGTGAAATTCACCATTTTAAAGTGTACAACTCAGTGAGATTTAGTATTTTCGTAATCACATCTCTATCTAGTTCCAGAGCATTTTCATATTTCCAAAACGGGACCCTGTACCCAGTAGCAGTCACTTCCCATTCCACCTCCCCGGCCCCTAATGACCATGTATTTTCTGTCTTTGTGGATTTGACTATTTGGGACACTTTATATAAATGGCATCATATACCACATAGTCTTTTGTGTCTGACTTGCTTTGCTGAGTGTGCTGTTATTCAGGTGCACCCACACTGTAGCCTGTGTCTGAGCCCCATTCCTCCTTAGGGTTGCATCATGTTCCCTTGTGTGGATGGACCATGTTGTGTTTTTCTTCATCCACTGATGGTCATTTGGGTTGATTCCACTTGAGATGTTTTTTAACCTACGACTCAGGACACCTGGACTAGATTATTCATGATTTCTTCCAGATCTGCAATCTTAGATTTAAATAAATAGCAGTGTGCCATTTGGATCCCATGTGCCAATTCTGTGTGAAGCATAGGATTAGATAGGAAGAAGAAGTTTAAAGAAGAAAAGAAGATACAGATGGGCTGTGAAAAGTACCTGAGAAGTAGAAACTGCAACAGGGAAATGATGATAAACTTTTTGATGTGAAATGGATTATAAAAGGTGCTGTACAACAGAGAGGATATGTTTTTACTGTGTTCAGAGGATGAGAAGGATTCCAAAATGAGCTCATCCTGGGTTAGAGAGGGTCCTGCATCCAATGTCAGGTATCCTTCTAAGAGACAAAAGAGGAGACACAGACACAGAGAAGAAGGCCACTTGGAGATGGAGGCAGAGACTGGAGGCATGCGGCCACAAGCCTGAGGATGCCTGGAGCCCCCAGGAGCTGAGAGAGGGAGGAAGGAGCCTCCCCTAGAACCTCCAGAGGGAGCACAGCCCCAACATTCCTTGATTTCAGACTCCTGGCCTCTGGGACTGGGAAATGATAAATTCCTCTTGTTTTAAGCTGCTCAGATTGTGATACTGTATTACGGCAGCCCCAAGAAAATCACTTGGGATAAACACCTTTGACACCCAAGAAGTGCTTCCTGCTGGGTGCAGTGTCTCACACCTATAATTCCAGCACTTTGGGAAGCTGAAGTGGGAGGATTTCTTTAGCTCAGGAGTTTGAGACCAGCCTGGGCAGCAGACGGAGACCCTGTATCTACAAAAAATTAAAAAAAAAAAAATGGGCTGGGCACAGTGACTTACACCTGTAATCCCAACACTTTGGGAAACTGAGGTGGGTGGATCACCTGAGGTCAGGAGTTCAAGACTAGCCTGGCCAACATGTTGAAACTACAATCTCTACTAATAATACAAAAATTAGCTGGGTGTGGTAGTGCACACCCATAATGCGAGCTACTTGGGAGGCTGAGGCATGAGAATCTCTTGATTCTCAGAGGTGGAGGTTGCAGTGAGCCAAGATTGAACCACTGCACTCCAACCTGGGCAGCAGAGTGAGATTCTATCTTAAAAAAAATTTTTTTTTTTAATTAGCTGGGTGTGGTGGTGTGTGCTTGTAATCCCAGCTACTTGGGAGGCTGAGGTGGGACATGGGTTGAGCCCAGGAATTTGGAGGCTGCAATGAGCCATGACCCCAACACTGCACTCTAGCCTGGGCAATAGAGTGAGACACTGTCTCAAAAAGAAAAAGGAGGGGGAAAAAAAGAGCTCTGTGTTTTGTTTACCTAGCCTCTTTGTAGAGGAAGGGGTGGATGGGAGGTTAAAAAGATCTTCAGTTCAGAAAGCAGTATTTCCAATAAACTATCAGAAGGAATAGATGAAAAGCACCTTAATTCACAGTAGATAACTTTAGGATGAACCAGTTGCTTATTATGGGAAGTACACAGGAGAATTTTGGTTCCTCTAGCCTCTAGGCAGTTGTCTCTAGGCAAGTGTCTGTACCATTGACATTTGAGACTGTGTCATTCATTCTTTGTGGTGGGGGCTGGCCTGTGGACTGCAGGATGTTTAGGAATATCCTTGGTGTCCACCCACTAGGATCCAGTAGCAGCCCCTCCACCTCAAGTTATGACAACCAAAAATGTCCTCCAGAGGTTGACAAGTATTCCCTGCAGGGGCAGAATTTTCCTTGATTGGAAATCACTGGTCTAGCCCAAGGAGTTGCACTATGGATTGAGAAAATGCTCTGTCCCTAGACATAGCTCCTTGAGTGTTAACTTGGAAAGAGATCACTGGGGCACTTGTGTGAAAATACAGAAAGTTATTTCAGAGGGCTGGTTGGGTCTAGATTGTGTTTCTTCCTAACCAGCTCTTGGGTGCTGCCAAGATTGTTGGTGCTTGGATGATAGCAAGGAGTAATGTCTGTTGGCATCTAGAAATAGGATAAGATAAAAGATCTGCCCTGGGTGTGGTGGCTCATGTCTGTAATCCCAGCACTTTCGGAAGCTGAGGCAGGCAGATCACCGGAGGTCAGGAGTTCGAGACAAGCATGGCCAACATGATGAAATCCTGTCTCTACTAAAAAAAAAAAAAAAAAAAAAAAATTAGCTGGGCATGGTAGCAGGCACCTGTAGTCCCAGCTACTTGGGATGCTGAGGAAGGAGAATTGCTTGAACCAGGAGGCAGAGGCTACAATGAGCCAAGATCATGCCTCTGCACTACAGCCCAGGTGATAACAGCAAAACTGCATCTCAAAAGAAAAAAAGCTAAAAAGTAGAATTCACATGGTATGTCCTTCCTTCATCCTTTATAAAAAGAACATCAAAACAGTAGCAAAATGACACCAATGTTTTCTATCCTCTGGGGTAGAAAACTGGAGCTCTGACTTAATTCATTTTGACTGCTATGACAAAATACAAAATATAATGAATGGCTTTTAACCCATTTCCCATTTAGAAAAAAAAATGGTGCAGCTCACTGCCTGCGTTCATTTAATTTTACATAAACATGCTTGCTCTTTGAGGCTGAAGCAAATCTGATTGATTTTCAGTGTGAAAATAAAATACAAAAACTGTTCTTGGAGTTATTTCTAAACAGAGCTTGTGTCTAATTCTAATGTAAAATCATATACATTTCTGTTACATTGGGATTAGAGTCAAGAGTATTCTCGGGGCACATGGGAATTGGGTTAAACAAAAGAGATTTATTGCTCACAGCTCTGGAGTCCAGGATCAAGGTGTGGCAGATTCATTGTCTGGTGAGGGCTTCCTGCTTCATAGACTTGGCACCTTCTCGCCACGTCCTCACATGATGGAAAGGGTGAGGGAGCTCTCTGAGGTCCGTTTTATAAGGGCACTAGTGCCATTCATGAGGCTCCTGACTTCATCACATTCCAAAGGCCTCACCTCCTAACACCATCACCTTGGGGTTCAATTTTTATTTAAGGGTAATATAAATCCTGTCTTTAGCAAGCTCTATCAATGCAAGTCATTGTTAGACTACAGATTTCATCAAAATCACTTTGTCCTAATGTTGTACAACTAAGGTAATTTTCTTCTTCTCAAAAAAGCATTTTTTTGTTTTGGTCTCCCTAAAATGGTAACTACTGGTGTGAAAATACTCTCATTCAACTCATGGATCATGAGTTTTTGGGAAATGGGCAAGCTATAAAATACAAATCACTAAGTACCAGAAGCAAAGCCTGAACTTTATCATTTTTAGTTGCCTTTTCACATGGGAGACTGTTGTACATCATTTGCAGGCATGAGTTTTGCATGAAACTATGAACCCACCTGCCTACTTAAAAGTAAGATTTGTTAAAGGATACAAAGTTACAGGTAGAGAGTGGGAATAAGTTCTAGTGTTCTATAGCACTGTAGGATGACTCTAGGCAACAATAATATACAGTTTCAAGTAGCCGAGAGGATATTAAATGTTGCCAACACAAAGAAATGGTACATGTGTAAGATGATGAATATGCCAATTACCCTGCTGTGACCACTATACATTATATATATTGAAATATCACTGTGTATCCCAGGAATATGGACAGTTATTATATGTCAATGGAAACAACAAAATTCTTAAAAAAAGATTTGGCAGGAAGGATATTTATTATTGATTTATTGATTGATTGAGATGGAGTCTCACTCTGTCCCCCAGGCTGGAGTCTAGTGGCACAATCTCAGCTCACTGGAAACTCCACCTCCCTGGTTCAAGCAATTCTCCTGCCTCAGCCTTCTGAATAGCTGGGATTATAGGTGCATGCCACCACACCCAGCTAATTTTTGTACTTTTAGTAGAGATGGGGTTTCACCATGTTCGCCAGATTGGTCTCAAACCCCTGACTTCAGGTGATCCACCCACCTCACCTTCCAAAGTGCTGGGATTACAGGTATGAGCCACTGTGCCCAGCCTTTTCTTTTTTCTTTTTAAAAATTGCATATATTTATGGAGCATAATATCACCTTTTTTTTTTTTTTTTGAGATAGAGTTTCGCTCTTGTTGCCTAGGCTGGAGTGCAATGGCGCAATCTCGGCTCACCACAACCTCCACCTCCTGGGTTCAAGTGATTCTCCTGTCTCAGCCTCCCAAGTAGCTGGAATTACAGGGATGTGCAAACACGCCTAGCTAATTTTGTATTTTTAGTGGAGATGGGGTTTCTCCATGTTGGTCAGGCTAGTCTTGAACTCCTGATTTCAGGTGAGGCACCTGCCTCAGCCTCCCAAAGTGCTTGGATTACAGGCATGAGGCACACCTGGCCACAATGTTTTGAAATATATGCACATTGCAGAGTGGCTAAATTGAACTAATTAACTCATATATCACCTTATATATTTATCTTTTTTGTGTCAGATGAGAATATTTAAAATCTGCTCTCAGTAATTTTCAAGTATGTAATACATTGTTGTGAACTACAGTCCCCGTATTGTACAATGGATCCCTTGAACTTATTCCTCCTAACTGAAATTTTATATTGTTTGTTTTTGAAATAAAAGTGTCACCCAGGAGTGGAGGCTCACACCTGTCATCCCAGTACTTTGGGAGTCCAAGGTGGGTAGATCACCTGAGGTCAGGAGTTTGAGACCAGCCTGGTCAACATGGTGAAATCCCATCTCTACTAAAAACATGAAAGTTAGCCAGGTGTGGTGGCATGCGCCTGTAGTCCCAGCTACTCAGGAGCCTGAGGCAGGGAAATCACTTGAACCCGGGAGACGGATCTTGCAGTGAGCCAAGATCACACCATTGGACTGCAGCCAGGGTGACAAAGGGAGACTCCATCTCAAAAAAAAAAAAAAAAAAAAAAAGTGTCTCCCCCCTGTGGTACACATGGATCATGTTTCCTTGGCTTTTTTTCTAATATAATTCTAATTGCCTTTTTCTGCAAAAAGCAGAGAAAGAAAATGAGGCCTGGCGTAGTAGCTCATGCCTGTAATCCCAGCACCTTGGGAAGCTGATGCAGTAGGATCACTTGAGCCCAGGAGTTTGATAGCAGCCTGGGCAACACTATAGGACTCTGTGTCTACAAAAAATAAAAAATTAGCTGAGTGTGTTTGCACACACCTATAGTCTCAAGCACTTGGGAGGCTGAAGTGAGGCAATTGTTGAGCCCAGAAGTTTGAGACTAGACTGGGCAACACATTGAGACTCCACGTCTACAAAAATTTTTAAAAAATAGCTATGTGTGGTGGCACCCACTTGTAGTTTCAACGACTCAGGAGGCTGAGGAGTTCAGCACCAGCATGGGGAACATTGTGAGACCCCCATCTCTACAAAATACTAAAAATTAGCTGAGTGTGGTGGTGCACACCTGTAGCCCCAGTAACTAGAGAGGTTGAAGCAGGTGGATTGCTTGAGCTCAGGAGTTTGAGGCTGCAGTGAGCTGTGATTGCACTGCTACACTCCAGCCTGGAAGACAGAGAGACCCTGTCTCTCTCTCTCTCTGTCTCTCTCTCTCAAATATATATGTATATATATTTGGTTATATATATACATATATATATTTGGTTATATATATATACACATATATATATTTGGTTATATATACACTTGTTTATATATATACACTCATTTATATAAACATATATAAAAAACATATATATATAAACAAATATTTTAACTTGGGTACATTCTCAAACCTTTTAATCATTCACCTTTGAAGTACTGGTTTGTCATGTTCTGAAGCTCCCTGTAATGGGATGGGTTTCTGATCACCCTTGGGCTGTATTGGGCTGACATCATTTAAATATCCCTGCATTTAGATTGGTTCCTGATAGGGAAACTTCATGTTTATTTCACGTGTAGGCTAATCGGTCTGTCTGTGAGCCCTGAGGAATTATGAAGGAAAACCATGCCTGTTTCTTCTTTCCCACTAGCAGTGAGAGAATTCCTGGGAGAGAGGCAATCCCTGGGGTGTTCATTACCAGCCTCAGCCACTGACGCACTGTCAGCCTGCAGGGAAGCCCTGGGGCTTCACTAACCACAGGCTGGGGCTGCCACACACCAGCTCCAGTGAGATCGGGGTTTTCATTTTCATCCAACACTTTCAATCCAGTTTCTGATGAAAGGACTTCTTACAGTCACCAGAAAGTGATTTTGTATATTCTTCCTCCAGAGCATTGCTACGTGGTTCACGAGTAGGGCTGCTTATGACAAAATATCAACTTTGGCAGTTTTGCAGAAAAAGAGCAAATAAAATAATGCATTCCTGGGAGAGGTGTGCAGCACATGGGCTGCGATGGGTCACAGGGACGGGTGCCTGGAAACCAGGGATCAAAGATGAGCCTCTGAAACCTTGGCTGTCTTTCTAGTCTGCACTAGACTGCACTAAAGGAAGAGACTTCACTGCTCTTCCTTTATAAAGATACCAAGTCTGTGTGTGTCATTTTAGGAACTGTGGCAAACACTGGGCACAGTGGCTTATGCCTGTAATTTCAGCACTATGGGAGACTGAGGTGGGAAGATCACTTGAGGGCGGGAGTTCAAGACCTGCCTGGCCCACATACCAAGACACCATCTCAAAAAAAAAAAAATTGTGTGGCAAAGTATACATAAGACAAAATTGACCATTTTAGCTATTTTCAAGTGTACAGTTGAGTGGCATTAAGTGCACTCATATTGTGCAACTGCCACCACCATCCATCTCTGGAAATTCTTTATCTTCCATACTGAAACTCTGTCCCATTAAACACTAACACCCTGTTCTCTACTTCCCCACCTCCTAGTAACCACCATTCTACTTTGTCTCCATGAATTTGCCTATTATAGAGGTACTCATATATGTGAAATCATACAATATATGTCCTTTAGAGTGTATTTCTTTTTAAAAAAAATGACTTTTATTTTAGATTCAGGGGGTTCATGTGTGGGTTTTTTACATGGATATAATGTATGATACTGCGGTCTGGGGGTTGAATGATCCTGAAGTGGCATCATTCATCTAGGGTGACACCTGAGGTTCGTTGTCTCACACTGAGGAAATCAAGGACAGGGACACAAGGAGTGAAGTTAAGGGAGGAAGTTTAACAGGTGAAGGAACGAGAAGAGCTCTCTTCTGCAAAGAGGGGGTCCTGAGTGTGTTTTCTGGTCTGCGACAAAACGTAATGGTTTTATAGATGAGCTTGATGACACCGTGTCTGATTTAGATTGCATGCAAGAGATTGGTTGGACCAGGTGTGTTATTTGCATAGGGTAAAAAAACTGGTTAGGGCTAGGCATGCCATTTGCACAGGGCACCAAAACCTGGCCACCTTCACCCTAATCTTTAATTATGCAGATGGATTCTCTACCTGGTTGGCACTATGTTGCCTGTTCCTTTAAGGTACACGTTGTGAAAAAGAAAAGGGAAGATGGAGCCTCCATGTTGAACGTGCCTGGCCCCCAGGTAGCCCTTTTCTATTGGCACAGCTGCCGGCATTCACCTGTGCAAGCTTCCGCCTTGTTTATCTAGGTCTGCAGCATGATTTTTCAGGCTGCTCTTTGTTAGAAAAGATATGATTTTGGAGCTTCCTTTTGTTAAGAGAAATTCCACCGAGGACTCTTTTACCCTCACTATTTGTCTGAATAATTTCTTTCTAGCTCCTGTATGAATCTCATCACCCAGGTAGTGAGCATAGTACCCAGGGGGTACTTTCCCAGCCCTGTCTCCCTTCCTTCCTCTCCCCTCTAGTAGTCCCCAGTGTCTATTGTTCGTATCCTTATGTCCATGAGTACCCAATGTTTACTTCCCACTTTATAAGTGAGAATAGGCCATCTTTGGTTTTCTGTTCTTGCATTAATTTGCTTAGAATAATGGCCTCCAGCTGCATCTTTGTTGCTACAAAGGACATGATTTTATTCTTTTTTATGGCTGTGTATTCCATGGTGTATAAGTACCATATTTTCCTTACCCACTCCACATGGATGGGCACTAGGGTTGATTCTGTGTCTTTGCTATTGTAAGTAGAGCTGCAATGAACATGTGTGTGCAGGTGTCTTTATGTCAGAAGGTTATATTTTTCCTTGGGTATATAAGCAGTAATGGGATTGATGGGTCTAATGGTAGTTCTGAGTTCCTTGAGAACTCTCCAAACAGCTTTTGACTGCTGGTGAATTAATTTACATTGCCATCAAGAGTCTATTTCTGTGTTTAGCATCCATGCTTTGAGTTTGCCAGAAGATGATGGATTTGATTCTACCCTGGGAGTAATGGTGCATGTATCTTATTCTTCCACTTCCAATGTGTACACTGGAGCTGTAGTTTTACACTTGGCAATGATGACTGAGGGCCAGATGAATCTTGGAATTTGATCTCAGAATGTGGCAGAGGCTACATCCTCATGACCCAGCAGGAAGAACATGCCTCCTGCATCCCATGGCTGAGGAGAAAGTGGCTTTTACAGACAGTTACAGGCACCAATTGTTCCACTTCCCTGAGAAGCTGCGTATTTTTTCATGCTGTTCTGAAGTATAGTTGCTGGAGGATTTGCGTAGACCAAAATGTAAGCTTATATTAGGTTGGTGTAAACATAATTGTGGTTTTTACAGCATTAAAATGGCTAGACTGGGTGTGGTGGCTCATGCCTGTAATCTCAGCACTTTGGGAGGCCAAGGTGGGTGGATCACTTGAGGTCAGGAGTTTGAGACCAGCCTGGTCAACATGGTGAAATCCCATCTCTACTAAAAATACAAAAATTAGCTGGGCATGGTGGTGCATGTCTGTGGTCCCAGCTACTTGGGAGGCTGAGGTATGAGAATCACTTGAGCCCAGGGGGGCCAAGATCATGCCACTGCACTCCAGCCTGGGCAATAAAGTGAGACTCCATTTTACACACACATACACACACACACACACATGCAGACAAAAATGCAATCACTTTTGTGCCAATCTAGTATAATTGGGGAATTGTTTGTTTGTTTGTTTGTTTTAATTCCAAAAAAAGCCTGTTCCCACTGGGGCAATGTGCCAGAGGAGGGGGAGGTTAGAACTGTTAAGCTTCAAGATGACCCTTATATCCTGTGAGTGTCCTTGGTATTCATTCTGCAGGTCATTATCAGTCTTGAGGGGGCTGCTACAACATTCTATGGAAAGAGTGAGCATTGCTGTGTCAGGAAATACTTACTATTTTTTTCTGCCTCTTTCTCTACCTTAAAAGTATATGCTCAGAATGAGTCGAAATATGGCCATTTCTTTTCCCTGAAATTGAGAGCCCATTGTTTACTTGGAATCATTCAATGTCTCCATTTGTTTTGGGTTAGATTGTTTGAATGGAGGATTCTACTACCAAACACTCATAAGATGGCTTTGAGCAGAAACAAGGTTGATCAGCCAATGTGTATACATTTCATGGCTTTACAATATTTCTTGGGATATTCTTGGGTTTAAAATATTGCCACACCTCTGCAGTGATAGATAAAAGAGCCTCTGTCCCAGACCTCAGGTCTCTGGATGTCACACACCAGATTGGGACTCCCAATCTTCTCATGCTGGTGATGCATTTTGACAAGGATCCTTCTCCTTAGTCAGTTCCTGTATCTGTTATTGAATATTTTGAATAGCATTAAATATTTTGTTGAATATTGAATATTTGTTGAATATACTGAATATCTTGAATAACATTCCAAGCAGAAATAAATATTGGGACACTGATCTGGCTGACAGTCTCAGATCTCAGTTCTGACCATATGAGTCTTGGGCCATTCATCATTGTGAAGACCCTACAAAGTAAGATGGATGTATGGTGAAGAATAACAAAAGATAAATAAAGGTGCAGTCTCGAAGTGAACTTGCCATGTCCCATGGAAGCATGAATGTGGTAAGCCATTGTTGTTTAACGTGGTTCTAGGCTAGGTGTGGCTCATGCCTGTAATTCCAGCACTTAGGAAGGCTGAAGAGGGTGGATCACCACGTCAGGAGTTCGAGACCAGCCTGGCCAATATGGTGAAACCCTGTCTCTACTAAAAATACAAAAATTAGCTGGGCATGATGGCATGCACCTGTAATCCCAGCTACTCAGGAAGCTGAGGCACGAGAATTGTTTGAACCTGGGAGATGGAGTTTGCAGTGGGCTGAGATTGCACCACTGCACTCCAGCCTGGGTGACAGAATGAGACTCCATCTCAAAAAAAGAAAAAAAAATGAAAGAAGAGAAAATGGTTCCAGCGTCCCCAAGTCTGCCCTTGAGAATGTGGATTGAGAGGAAAGGTGAATTCTTTCAGTGGTGTTCACAGAGTAATTGAAACGTTGGATTTCTCAGAGTGAGATAGTTTACTAAAGCCTACATATTTGAAAACATAAACGATTTCTTCATCAAATGTGCCCTTTAAGCCAGAAACAAACTCAGCTACCAACCACCAAACCCACCAACAAAAACAAAACCAAACCACTGCAGAGGTGTTTCACATGAGTGAAAGAAAGTGGTGATGGTGGTAACGACGATATGATCAAAACTGCTGTTGCTCCATGGAAAGACCTTTGAGATGAGTACGTGGCTGTGCAGTTTGCAGGGTATTTGCCTAAAACATCATCTGGCTACCACATGGAGGAAGAACACTGTTTGCTTTCCTGGCCTTTGTTTTTATAATTCTTCATTTTCTCTTTATGCTCTTAAAAATTATACATAATACCACTTTTAACATTTCATTCATTCTCCTTTTTTTTCTCTTAGAAAACAACAAGGGTTGGCTGGGCTCGGTGGCTCATGCCTGTAACCCTAGCACTCTGGGAGGCTGAGGCGGATGAATTACAAAGTCAAGAGATCCAGACCCTGTCTGGACTAAACCGTGTCTCTACTAAAAATACAAAAATTAGCCAGTCGTGGTGGTGGGCACCTGTAGTCCCAGCTACTCAGGAGGCTGAGGCAGGAGAACCGAGGAGGTGAAGGTTGCAGTGAGCTGTTATCTGGTCACTGTACCCCAGCCTGGGTGACAGAGTGAGACTCTGGCTCCAAAAAAAAAAAAAAAAAAAGAAAAACGGCAAGGGTTGTCATTAAGAAATAAGTCATATCACTGCAGGAGAACAAGTACAACTCTTAACAGGTCTCTCTCCCTCCCTCTCTCTCTTTCTCTCCGCAGGCTCGGGGTGGAGGATTCAAATGAAATTTTTCTTGAGAAACTGGCCTGCTCACTTGAGAAAATTGAATACTTTATTCAAAAAACATTAATTCTGCAGAACCAATTTGGCACACCTTTACATCGTTCACACTACCTTCCCTGCCCCGTTATTTAGAGAAATCTAAGAAATACAATCTATACATGCACACAAAGTTGGGAACAGTAGATACTAGGGAATACTAGAGGGTGGAGAGATGGAGGGGCCAGGGCTGAAACACTACCTGTGGGGTGCTATGCTCAGTACCTGGGTGATGGGATCATCTGCATTCCAAACCTCAGTGTCACATGATATACCCATGAAACAAACCTGTACCTGTACCACTCAAATCTAAAATAAAAGGTAAAATTATATATAAAAAAGGAATATGATCCACAGAATGTATCAGACAAAAGGTGTCTGTTATGGTGGCTAATACACTCGGGGTTCAGAAAGTCAGTGGTGGCCACACATGGTGGCTCATGCCTGTAATACTAGTGCTTTGGGAGGCTTAAGAAGGAGGGTTATGTGAAGCTAGGACATCAAGACTTCACTGCTACAAAAAGTAAAAACAAAAATAGCTGGATGTGACTGTGCACACTTGTGGTTCCAATAATTAGGGAGGCCGAGGTAGGAGGATCACCTGAGCCTGGGAGGTCGAGGCTGCAGTGAGCTATGATCGCACCACTGCACTCCAGCCCAGGCAATAGAGCAAGACCCTGTTCTTTTATTATTATTATTATTATTATTATTATTATTATTGTTATTATACTTTAAGTTTTAGGGTACATGTGCACAATGTGCAGGTTAGTTACATATGTATACATGTGCCATGCTGGTGTGCCGCACCCATTAACTCGTCATCTAGCATTAGGTATATCTTCTAATGCTATCCTTCCCCACTACCCCTACCCCACAACAGTCCCCAGAGTGTGATGTTCCCCTTCCTGTGTCCATGTGTTCTCATTGTTCAAATCCCACTTATGAGTGAGAACATGCGGTGTTTGGTTTTTTGTCCTTGCGATAGTTTACTGAGAATGATGATTTCCAATTTTATCCATGTCCCTACAAAGGATGTGAACTTATCATTTTTTATGGCTGCATAGTATTCCATGGTGTATATATGCCATACTTTCTTAATCCAGTCTATCATTGTTGGACATTTGGGTTGGTTCCAAGTCTTTGCTATTGTGAATAGTGCCACAATAAACATACGTGTGCATGTGTCTTTATAGCAGCATGATTTATAGTCATTTGGATATATACCCAGTAATGGGATGGCTGGGTCAAATGGTATTTCTAGTTCTAGATCCCTGAGGAATCGCCACATTGACTTCCACAATGGTTAAACTAGTTTACAATCCCACCAACAGTGTCAAAGTGTTCCTATTTCTCCACATCCTCTCCAGCACCTGTTGTTTCCTACTTTTTAATGATTGCCATTCTAACTGGTGTGAGATGGTATCTCATTGTGGTTTTAATTTGCATTTCTCTGATGGCCAGTGATGGTGAGCATTTTTTCATGTGTTTTTTGGCTGCATAAATGTCTTTTGAGAAGTGTCTGTTCATGTACTTTGCCCACTTTTTGATGGGGTTGCTTGTTTTTTTCTTGTAAATTGGTTTGAGTTCATTGTAGATTCTGGATATTAGCCCTTTGTCAGATGAGTAGGTTGTGAAAATTTTCTCCCATTTTGTAGGTTGTCTGTTCACTCTGATGGTAGTTTCTTTTGCTGTGCAGAAGCTCTTTAGTTTAATTAGATCCCATTTGTCAATTTTGGCTTTTGTTGCCATTGCTTTTGGTGTTTTATACATGAAGTCCTCGCCCATACCTGTGTCCTGAATGGTAATGCCTAGGTTTTCTTCTAGGGTTTTTATGGTGTTAGGTCTAACGTTTAAGTATTTAATCCATCTTGAATTAATTTTTGTGTAAGGTGTAAGGAAGGGATCCAGTTTCAGCTTTCTACATATGGCTACCCAGTTTTCCCAGCACCATTTATTAAATAGGGAATCCTTTCCCCGTTGCTTGTTTTTCTCAGGTTTGTCAAAGATCAGGTAGTTGTAGATATGTGGCGTTATTTCTGAGGGCTCTGTTCTGTTCCATTGATCTATATCTCTGTTTTGGTACCAGTACCATGCTGTTTTGGTTACTGTAGCCTTGTAGTATAGTTTGAAGTCAGGTAGTGTGATGCCTCCAGCTTTGTTCTTTTGGCTTAGGATTGACTTGGCTATGCGGGCTCTTTTTTGGTTCCATATGAACTTTAAAGTAGTTTTTTCCAATTCTGTGAAGAAAGTCATTGGTAGCTTCATGGGGATCGCATTGAATCTATAAATTACCTTGGGCAGTATGGCCATTTGCATGACATTGATTCTTCCTACCCATGAGCATGGAATGTTCTTCCATTTGTTTGTATCCTCTCTTATTTCCTTGAGCAGTGGTTTGTAGTTCTCCTAATTTATTGAGAGTTTTTAGCATGAACAGTTGTTGAATTTTGTCAAAGGCCTTTTCTGCATCTATTGAGATAATCAGGTGGTTTTTGTCTTTGGTTGTGTTTATATGCTGGGTTACATTTATTTATTTGCATATATTGAACCAGCCTTGAATCCCAGGGATGAGGCCCACTTGATCATTGTGGATAAGCTTTTTGATGTGCTGCTGGATTCGGTTTGCCAATATTTTATTGAGGATTTTTGCATCAATGTTCATCAAGGATATTGGTCTAAAAGTCTCTTTTTTGGTTGTGTCTCTGCCCGGCTTTGGTATCAGGATGATGCTGGCCTCATAAAATGAGTTAGGGAGGATTCCCTCTTTTTCTGTTGATTGGAATAGTTTCAGAAGGAATGGTAGCAGTTCCTCCTTGTACCTCTGGTAGAATTCAGCTGTGAATCCATCTCATCCTGGACTCTTTTTGGTTGGTAAGCTATTGATTATTGCCATAATTTCAGAGCCTGTTATTGGTCTATTCAGAGATTCAACTTCTTCCTGGTTTAGTCTTGGGAGGGTGTATGTGTCGGGGAATTTATCCATGTCTTCTAGATTTTCTAGTTTATTTGTGTAGAGGTGTTTGTAGTATTCTCTGATGGTAGTTTGTATTTCTGTGGGATAAGTGGTGATATCCCCTTTGTCATTTTTTATTGCTTCTATTTGATTCTTCTCTCTTTTCTTCTTTATTAGTCTTGCTAGTGGTCTGTCAATTTTGTTGATCCTTTCAAAAAACCAGCTTCTGCATTCATTGATTTTTTTTTGGAAGGGTTTTTTGTGTCTCTGTCTCCTTCAGTTCTGCTCTGATATTAGTTATTTCTTGCCTTCTGCTAGCTTTTGAATGTGTTTGCTCTTGCTTTTCTAGTTCTTTTAATTGTGATGGTAAGTTGTCAATTTTGGATCTTTCTTGCTTTCTCTTGTGGGCATTTAGTGTTATAAATTTCCCTCTATACACTCCTTTGAAAGTGTCCTAGAGATTCTGGTATGTTGTGTCTTTGTTCTTCTTGGTTTCAAAGAACATCTTTATTTCTGTCTTCATTTCATTATGTACCCAGTAGTCATTCAGGAGCAGGTTGTTCTGTTTCCATGTAGTTGAGCAGTTTTGAATGAGTTTCTTAATCCTAAGTGCTAGTTTGATTGCATTGTAGTCTGAGAGAAAGTTTGTTATAATTTCTGTTCTTTTACATTTGCTGAGGAGAGCTTTACTTCCAACTATGTGGTCCATTTTGGAATAGATGTGGTGTGGTGCTGAAAAAAATGTATATTCTGTTGATTTGTGGTGGAGAGTTCTGTAGATGTCTATTAGGTCCGCTTGGTGCAGAGCTGAGTTCAATTCCTGATATCCTTGTTAACTTTCTGTCTCATTGATCTGTCTAATGTTCACAGTGGGGTGTTAAAAAGTCTCCCATTATTATTGTGTGGGAGTCTAAGTCTCTTTGTAGGTCACTCAGGACTTGCTTTATGAATCTGGGTGCTCCCATATTGGGTGCATGTATATTTAGGATAGTTAGCTCTTGTTGAATTGATCCCTTTACCATTATATAATGGCCTTCTTTGTCTCTTTTGATCTTTGTTGGTTTAAAGTCTGTTTTATCAGAGACTAGGATTGCAACCCCTGCCTTTTTTTGTTTTCCATTTGCTTGGCAGGTCTTCCTCCATCCTTTTATTTTGAGCCTATGTGTGTCTCTGCACATGAGATGAGTTTCCTGAATACAGCACACTGATGGGTCTTGACTCTCTACCCAATTTGCCAGTCTGTGTCTTCTAACTGGAGCATTTAGTCCATTTCCATTTAAAATTAATATTGTTATGTGTGAATTTGATCCTGTCATTATGATGTTAGCTGGTTATTTTGCTCATTAGTTGATGCAGTTTCTTCCTAGCCTCAATGGTCTTTACAACTTGGCATGATTTTGCAGTGGCTGGTACCGGTTGTTCCTTTCCATGTTTAGCGCTACCTTCAGGAGCTCTTTTAGGGCAGGCCTGGTGGTGACAAAATCTCTCAGCATTTGCTTGTCTGTAAAGTATTTTATTTCTCCTTCACTTATGAAGCTTAGTTTGGCTGGATGTGAAATTCTGGGTTGAAAATTCTTTTCTTTAAGAATGTTGAATATTGGCCCCACTCTCTTCTGGCTTGTAGAGTTTCTGCCAAGAGATCAGCTGTTAGTCTGATGGGCTTCCCTTTGAGGGTAACCCGACCTATCTCTCTGGCTGCCCTTAACATTTTTTCCTTCATTTCAACTTTGGTGAATCTGACAATTATGTGTCTTGGAGTTGCTCTTCTTGAAGAGTATCTTTGTGGTGTTCTCTGTATTTCCTGAATCTGAATGTTGACCTGTCTTGCTAGATTGGGGAAGTCCTTCTGGATAATATCCTGCAGAGTGTTTTCCAACTTGGTTCCATTCTCCCCATCACTTTCAGTACACCAATCAGACGTAGATTTGGTCTTTTCACATAGTCCCATATTTCTTGAGGCTTTCTTCATTTTTTTTTAATTCTTTTTTCTCTAAACTTCCCTTCTTGCTTCATTTTATTCATTTCATCTTCCATCACTGATACACTTTCTTCCAGTTGTTCGCATCAGCTCCTGAGGCTTCTGAATTCTTCACGTAGTTCTCAAGCCTTGGCTTTCAGCTCCATCAACTCCTTTAAGCACTTCTCTGTATTGGTTATTCTAGTTAGACATTCATCTAAATTTTTTTCAAAGTTTTCAACTTCTTTGCCTTTGGTTTGAATTTCCTCCTATAGCTCAGAGTAGTTTGATCATCTGAAGCCTTCTTCTCTCAACTCGCCAAAGTCATCCTCTGTCCAGCTTTGTTCCATTGCTGATGAGGAACTCTGTTCCTTTGAAGGAGGAGAGGTGCTCTGCTTTTTAGAGTTTCCAGTTTTTCTGCTCTGTTTTTTCCCCATCTTTGTGATTTTATCTACTTTTGGTCTTTGATGATGGTGATGTACAGATGGGTTTTTGGTGTGGATGTCCTTTCTGTTTGTTAGTTTTCCTTCTAACCGACAGGACCCTCAGCTGCAGGTCTGTTGGAGTTTGCTAGAGACCCACTCCAGACCCTGTTTGCCTGGGTATCAGCAGTGGTGGCTGCAGAACAGCGGATTTTTGTGAACTGCGAATGCTGCTGTCTGATCATTCCTCTGGAAGTTTTGTCTCAGAGGAGTACCTGGCCATGTGAGGTGTCAGTCTGCCCCTACTGGGGGGTGCCTCCCAGTTAGGCTGCTTGGGGGTCAGGGGTCAGGGACCCACTTGAGGAGGCAGTCTGCCCCTTCTCAGATCTCCAGCTGCGTGCTGGGAGAACCACTGCTCTCTTCAAAGCTGTCAGACAGGGACATGTAAGTCTGCAGAGGTTACTGATGTCTTTTTGTTTTTCTGTGCCCTGTCCCCAGAGGTGGAGCCTACAGAGGCAGGCAGGCCTCCTTGAGCTGTGGTGGGCTCCACCCAGTTTGAGCTTCCCGGCTGCTTAGTTTACCTACGCAAGCCTGGGCAATGGCGGGCACCCCTCCCCCAGCCTCACTGCCACCTTGCAGTTTGATCTCAGACTGCTGTGCTAGCAATCAGTGAGACTCCGTGGGTGTAGGACCCTCTGAGCCATGTGCAGGATATAATCTCCTGGTGCGCCGTTTTTTAAGCCCATCAGAAAAGCGCAGTATTAGGGTGGGAGTGATCCGATTTTCCAGGTGCCATCTGTCACCCCTTTCTTTGACTAGGAAAGGGAACTCCCTGGCCCCGTGTGCTTCCTGAGTGAGGCAATGCCTCACCCTGCTTTAGCTCACGCATGGTGAGCTGCACCCACTGTCCTGCGCCCGCTGTCTGGCACTCCCTAGTGAGATGAACCTGGTACCTCAGATGGAAATGCAGAAATCACCCATCTTCTGCGTTGCTCACACTGGGAGCTGTAGAGCAGAGCTGTTCCTATTCAGCCATCTTGGCAGCCCCCTCCACATGGACAAATTTCAATAGCCAATTTGATCAAGTGGAAGAAAGCGTATCAGTGACTGAAGATCAAATGAATGAAATGAAGCAAGAAGTTTAGAGAAAAAAGAGTAAAAAGAAATGAACAAAGCCTCCAAGAAATATGGGACTATGTGAAAAGACCATATCTACATCTGATTGGTGTAACTAAAAGTGATGATGAGAATGGAACCAAGTTGGAAAACACTGTTCAAGATATTATCCAGAAGAACTTCCCCAATCTAGCAAGGCAGGCCAACATTCAAATTCAGGAAATACAGAGAACACCACAAAGATACTCCTCAAGAAGAGCAACTCCAAGACACATAACTGTCAGATTCACCAAAGTTGAAATGAAGGAAAACATGTTAAGGACTGCCAGAGAGAAAGGTCAGTTACCCACAAAGGGAAGCCCATCAGACTAACAGTGGATCTCTTGGCAGAAACTCTACAAGCCAGAAGAGAGTGGGGGCCAATATTCAATATTCTTAAAAGAATTTTCACCCCAAAATTTCATATCCAGCCAAACTAAGCTTCATAAATGAAAGAGAAATAAAAGCCTTTACAGACAAAAAAATGCTGGGAGATTTTGTCACCACCAGGCCTGCCCTAAAGGAGCTCCTGAAGGAAGCACTAAACATGGAAAGAAACAACCGGTACGAGCCACTGCAAAAACATGCCAAATGGTAAAGACCATTGATGCTGGGAAGAAACTACATCAACTAATGAGCAAAATAACCAGCTAACATCATAATGACAGGATCAAATTCACACATAACAATATTAATCTTAAAGGTAAGTGGACTAAATGCTCCAATTAAAAGACACAGACAGGCAAACTGGATAAAGAGTTAAGACCCATCAGTGTGCTGTATTCAGGAAACCCATCTCACGTGCAGTGACACACACAGGCTCAAAATAAAGGGTTGGAGGAAGATCTACCTAGCAAATGGAAAACAAAAAAAAAAAGCAGGGTTGCATCCTAGTCTCTGATAAAACAGACTTTAAACCAACAAAGATCAAAAGAGACAAAGAAGGCCATTACATAATGGTAAAGGGATCAATTCAACAAGAATTTACTATCCTAAATATATATGCACCCAATACAGGAACACCCCGATTCATAAAGCAAGTCATTAGAGACCTACAAAGAGACTTAGGCTCCCACACAATAACAATGGGAGACTTTGACACCCCACTGTCAACATTAGACAGATCAATGAGACAGAAAGTTAACAAGGATATCAGGAATTGAACTCAGCTCTGCACCAAGCAGACCGAATAGACATCTACAGAAATCTGCACTCCAAATCAACAGAACATACATTCTTCTCACCACCACATCACACTTATTCCAAAATTGACCACATAGTTGGAAGTAAAGCACTCCTCAGCAAATGTAAAAGAACAGAAATCACAATCAACTGTCTCTCAGACCACAGTGTAATCAAATTAGAACTCAGGATTAAGAAACTCATTCAAAACCACACAACTACATGGAAAGTGAACAACCTGCTCCTGAGTGACTGCTGGGTACATAATGAAATGAAGGCAGAAATAAAGATGTTCTTTGAAACCAATGAGAACAAAGACACAACATACCAGAATCTCTGGGACACATTTAAAGCAGTGTTTAGAGGGAAATTTATAGCACTAAATGCCCACAAGAGAAAGCAGAAAAGATCTAAAATTGACACCCCAACATCACAAGTAAAAGACCTAGAGAAGCAAGAGCAAACACATTCAAAAGCTAGCAGAAGGCAAGAAATAACTAATATCAGAGCAGAACTGAAGGAGAGAGAGACACAAAAAACCCTTCAAAAAAAAATCAATGAATCCAGCAGGTGGTTTTTTGAAAACAATCAACAAAATTGATAGACCACTAGGAAGACTAATAAAGAAGAGTCAAATAGACACTATAAAAAATGATAAAGGGGATATTACTACTGATCCCACAGAAATACAAACTACATCAGAGAATACTATGAACAGCTCTATGCAAATAAACTAGAAAATAAAAAGAAACGGATAAATTCCGGGACACATACACCCTTGCAAGACTAATCCAAGAAGAAGTTGAATCCCTGAATAGACAAATAATAGGCTCTGAAATTGAGGCAATGATTAATAGACTACCAACCAAAAAAACTCCAGGACCAGATGGATTCAGAGGAGAATTCTTCCAGAGGTACAAAGAGGAACTGGTACCATTCCTCCTGAAACTATTCCAATCAATGGAAAAAGAAGGAATCCTCCCTAACTCATTTATGAGGCCAGCATCATCTTGATACCAAAACCTGACAGAGACACAACAAAAAAAGGCAATTTTTGACCAATATCCCTGAACATCGATGCAAAAATTCTCAATAAAATACTGGCAAACCGAATCCAACATCACATCAAAAAAGCTGATCCACCACAATTAAGTTGGCTTCTTCCCTGGGATACAACACTGGTTCAACATATGCAAATCAATAAACGTAATCCATCACATAAACAGAACCAAAGACAAAAACCACATGATTATCTTAAGAGATGCAGAAAAGGCCTTTGACATAATTCAGCACTCTTCTTGCTAAAAACTCTAAATAAACTATGTATTGATGGGACATATCTCAAAATAATCAGAGCTATTTATGACAATCCCACAGCCAATATCATACTGAGTGGGAAAAAAACTGGAAGCACTCCCTTTGAAAACTGGCACAAGACAGGGATGCCCTCTTTCACCACTCCTATTCAATATAGTGTTGGAAGTTCTGGCCAGGTCAATCAGGCAGGGGAAAGAAATAAAGGGTATTCAATTAGGAAAAGAGGAAGTCAAATTGTCCTTGTTGCAGATAACATGATTGTATATTTAGGAAACCCCATCATCTCATCCCAAAATCTCCTCAAGCAGGTAAGCAACTTCAGCAAAGTCTCAGGATAAAAAATCAATGTGCAAAAGTCACAAGCATTCCCATACATCAATAACAGACAAACAGAGAGCCAAATCATGAGTGAACTCCCATTCACAATTGCTTCAAAGAGAATAAAAAACCTACAAATCCAATTTACAAGGGATGTGAAGGACGTCTTCAAGGTGAGGTCAATGAAATGAAAGAGGACACAAACAAAGGGAAGAACATTCCATGCTCATGGATAGGAAGAATCAATATCATGAAAATGGCCATACTGTCCAAGGTAATTTATAGATTCAATGCCATCCCCATCAAGCTACCAATGACTTTCTTCACAGAATTGGAAAAAACTACTTTAAAGTTCATATGGAAACAAAAAAGAGCCCGCACTGCCAAGACAACCCTAAGCCAAAAGAACAAAGCTGGAGGCATCACACTACCTGAGTTCAAATGATACTACAAGGTTACAGTAACCAAAACAGCATGGTACTGGTACCAAAACAGAGATATAGACCAATGGAACAGAACAGAGCCCTCGGAAATAATACCACACATCTACCACCATCTGATCTTTGACAAACCTGACAAAAACAAGAAATGGGGAAAGGATTCCCTATTTAACAAATGGTGCTGGGAAAACTGGCTAACAATATGTAGGAAGCTGAAACTAGATCCCTTCCTTACACCTTATACAAAAATTAATTCAAGATGGATTAAAGACTTAAATGTTAGTCCTAAAACCACAAAAACCCTAGAAGAAAACCTAGGCATTACCATTCAGGACACAGGCATGGGCGAGTACTTCATGTATAAAACACCAAAAGCAATGGCAACAAAAGCCAACATTAACAAATGGGATCTAATTAAACTAAAGAGCTTCTGCATGGCAAAAGAAACTACCATCAGAGTGAACAGACAACCTACAAAATGGGAGAAAATTTTTACAATCTACCCATCTGACAAACAGCTAATATCCAGAATCTATAAAGAACTTAAACAAATTTACTAGAAAAAAATCAAACAACCCCATCAAAAAGTGGGCAAAGGATCTGAACAGACACTTCTCAAAAGAAGACATTTATGCAGCCAATAAACACATGAAAAAATGCTCATCGTCACTGGCCATCAGAGAAATGCAAATCAAAACCACAATGAGATAGCATCTCACACCAGTTAGAATGGCAATCACTAAAAAGTCAGGGAACAGCAGGTGCTGGAGAGGATATGGAGAAATAGGAACACTTTGACACTGTTGGTGGGACTGTAAACTAGTTCAACCATTGCGGAAGACAGTGTGGTGATTCCTCAAGGATCTAGAACTAGAAATACCATTTGACCCAGTGATCCCATTACTGTGTATATACCCGAAGGATTATAAATCATGCTGCTGTAAAGACACATGCACACATATGTTTATTGTGGCACTATTCACAATAACAAAGACCTGGAACCAACCCAAATATCCATCAACGATATTCTGGATTAAGAAAATGTGGCACATATCCATCATGGAATACTATGCAGCCATAAAAGAGGATGAGATCATGTCCTTTGTAGGGACATGGGTGAAGCTGGAAAGCATCATTGTGAGCAAACTATTGCAAGGATAGAAAACCAAACACCACATGTTCTCACTCATACATGGGAATTCAACAATAAGAACACTTGGACACAGGGTGGAGAACATCACACACTGGGGTCTGTCATCGGGTGGGGGGAGGGGGAGATGGATAGCAATAGGAGATAAACCTAATGTAAATGTCGAGTTGACAGGTGCAACACACCATCATTGCACATGTATACATATGTAACAAACCTGTACTTTGTGCACATGTACCCTAGAACTTAAAGTATAATAAAATAACAAAGAAACCATCAGTCCCAGGTGACTTACCTGGTCATTTGTACTATATGTTTAAAGAATTAAATCAGTACATAGATCCCCTTTAACAGCAGAGGAGGGTATGCATCCCAGTCTTACTATGAATCAGGGACACGTTGTTGCCAAAATTAGAGAAATACCCACAGTAATAGAGATATAAATTAAATTATAGCAGATATAAAGGATAACGATACTTCATGAGCAAGTGGGGTTTCTCTCAGAAGTTCAAATTTGGTTTAGCCTTTAAAAATTTATGTAATATACCATATTCACATAATAAAATAAGTGCCATAAGCTCATGTAAGAAGGTATTTTTTAAAAATGATATTTGAGGGCCAACACGGTGGCTCATGCCTGTAATCCCAGCACTTTGGGAGGATGAGATGGGAGGACTGTTTTGTCCAGGAGCTACAGATCAGCCTGAGCAACATGGTGAAAGCCCGTGTCTAAAAAAAGTACAAAAATTAGCCGGGCATGGTGGTGCAACTGTAGTCCCACCTACTCTGGAGGCTGAGGCAGGAGGATCATTTGAGCCCAGGAGGTGGAGGCTGCAGTGAGCCAAGACCACACCTGCACTCCAGCCTGGGCAACAAAGTGAGATACTGTCTCAAAAAAAAAAATTTTTTTTGTAATTCCATACCCATTTACAAGGAAAGTTCTCTGCAAAGTAAGAACAGAGGGGAATTTCCTCAGTTTGATGGAGAACATTCTGAGAAACACCTACAGCTGACTGTTCTGAGAACAGTAAGGATGATACCATCCTTACTGGTGAAAAACAATGTTTTTCCTAATGTTGGAACTGTTTGCAGTCACTTCTTTTTATTCTTTCTTTTTTTTTTTTAAGTAACCTTTATTGGCTGGGCACAGTGGCTGTCACCTGTAATCCCAGCACTTTGGGATGCCAAGGTAGGCAGATCATGAGGTCAGGAGATGGAGACCATCCTGGCGAACATGGCAAAACCCCATCTCTACTAAAATACAAAAAATTAGCCAGGTGTGATGGCGTGCACCTGTAGTCCCAGTTCCTCAGGAGGCTGAGGCAGGGGAATCACTTGAACCCGGGAGGCAGAGGTTGCAGAGAGCCGAGATCACACCACTGCACTCCAGCCTGGCAGCAAAGTGAGACTCCGTCTCAAAAAAAAAAAAAAAGTAACCTTTATTACTGAAGTAGTACTCAACATTTTAGAAAATTAGGAGAAACCAGTAAGTAAAAATAGAATGTAAAATAATCACATTTTCACTACCTGAAGAACAGATCTTTTTTTATGTGTACATGTTTATATGCACAAATACATGTACACACCAGTCTGATGGTCAGGTTTATGTGTCAGTTTTTTGAAGCTACACTGCTGGATGACTCAAAGAAGCATGCACCCAGGTGCTGGTGTGGCAGTGTTTGGTGGATGCTGCTCTGATCTGCAGCATGTTGGACTGAGTCAAGCCAGATGTCCCAGGTGGCGTGATGGGCTTGACTCAGGCTGCAGAGAGGCCTTGGGGTTAGAACCAAGGCTCCTACCCGAAAGCCTGCCCAGCATTCCCACAGTCGTGTGCAGCAGTTCCTCACAGTAAATCTCTCAACATATACCACCTACTTAATCCATGAACTCTGACTGATACAAATATGTTATAATGTATATATTTATGTTTAAAAAATCTATTTTTTTATTCACCTTTCCATTTCAGCAAGCTTCTTTCTGTTTCCTCTAAAGTCCAGACCAAGGAGAGGCATGCCATGGGCCCAGCACTTCACTCCAGCCTCAGCCCACCTATGTGTGCTCGGTCACCCCCTGTAGGTGGCCTTTCACCCAGCAGAGCCTTTTCTTCCTCCTACTAAACAGCCATGGAGATTGGGCCATTTGCTTTGCAGAAAGTTCTCTCCTTCCTATTTTGTCGTGTTACTTTCCTATTTTGTCATTTAGCTTGTTCTCTGTTTACCTTATAGATAATTTAAAATAAAACTCATCTTTGACTTTTTTATCTCTGTTACATTTGCTTTTTATGTTCTTATATTTCTCATGTTTTCTTTCTGTTATATTCTAATTTTTAGAACTTGTTTATTTATGTGCTTTCTAGAAACAAGTATAAATACTTTTCCCTCTAAGAACTGCTTCACCTGAATCTCCCAATTTGCTATGTAACATCTCTGTCATTTCCAATTTTAATATTTTTAATTCCCACCCTGTTCTCCCCTTGTCCCTCATAGTTAGAAATGCATTTCTAATTCCCAGATTTGTCGTCATGTTTTCTAGGCACCCTTCCTCCCATCTGAATTGCATTGTTATTTCAGAAGATGACTCTTTAACAGTTTTTAGGCTAACTCTATAGTTCTGTGTGTGGTAAAGTTTTGATGACTGTTCCCTGTGACCCTGAAAAATGGTGATTTTTGGATGATTTGGATTATTTTATATGTGCTTGGTATCTCAAGCTTGGTATTGCTTTCAGATCTTCTCCTTCTAGATTTGGTGGGGTTACTTCCTTGGTCTGTTCTCTACTGAAAGGCACTTTAATATCTGCTCCGTGGCTGAGGCTCATGTTCTCTGTTCTGTTGATTTGTTTTCTTCTATTTTGAGACAGATTGGTTCTGTCACCCAGGCTGGAGTGCAATTTCAGCTCACTGCAACCTCTGCCTCCTGGGTTCAAGGGATTCTCCTGCCTCAGCCTCACAAGTACCTGGGATTAAAAGCACCCACCACCATGCCTGGCTATTTTTTTTTTTTTGTAGTGTTAGCAGAGATGGGGTTTCACTATGTTGTCCAGGCTGGTCTCCAACTCCTGACCTCAAGTGATCTGTCTGCCTTGGCCTCCCAAATTGCTGGGATTATAAGCTACCATGTCTGGCCTGTTCTGCTGATTCTTGCCCTTTACTCAGAGGCTTTCTTATTTGCATAAATGTTTGGATCGTCTTAGTTCTCCTAGGAAAGAAACTTTCTGCCATATTATAGTGGCTCATTTTATCTCCTGAAATGCATTCTGGCCTCAGGTCTGTACCCGGCATTGGTAGAAGAAGCCCAGTCTGATGTGTGCAATATGTGCCCAGTTTGTCTTTTCTGAAATGTTTGCCAGTTTTCATGGTTTAGGTATCGCTTAACTCATGCTGCGCTAGCTGGGTTAGTTTTTCCATTCCTGTCTGACAAACTTTGTCTTTAAATTGGATTTCTTAGTGCATTTCCTTTTTTTTCCTTAGCCCATTTATGCTGCTATAACAATGTCTGAGACTGGGTCATTTATATAGAACAGAAATTTATTTCTTACAGTTCTGGAAGCTGGAAGTTGGAAAGCCTGGTGCCACTGGAGGGCCTGGTCTCTGCCTACATGTGGTGCTTGGTGCTGTGTCCTCCCATGGCTGTAGGGACAGAGGAGTGAAAGGGGACTGCCTCCCAGGTCCAGCCCTTCATAGCAGTGCTCATCTACCCCTAAGGGCAGAGCCCCCTAAGCGGGATACTAAGGGAGAGCATGGCATTGAGTCTTTTGGTGAGTGCTGCTGCTCCAGCCACCTCTGGCCTCACGTCTGTCCCTCTACTGTGTTCCCATGCCCTCGTGCTTGGGAGCTCTTTGTTCTTCCCAGTCTGAAGGTGTTGGCAGCTCCCAGCATGTGTGAGGGCACTTTCATTTCTGGCCCTCTCTAATCCTGGGGGCCTCGGCACAGACTGTCTTCCTATATGCTTGCATTTTTCATCGTGGGCTTATCCTCCAGATGCTGAGGCAACGTTCAGGAGGAGGCTTTATTCGTGGGTCATCTTGACAGATGGGATTATTTTATCCTCAAGAGGATAAAATCAATGTCGGTCAGTCCAGACACACAGATATTTTCCAGGAGTGTGCAGACAGCAGTGGGCTGTGTTGGCTCTGATGGGGTCTGAAGTTGATGGTCCTGCCTGGAGGGCTGACCAGGCATTCACAGCAAGGGAGTGTCTTTGGATGGTTGCAGCTACCATCTGTTTGTTTGCAATGTGGAAATAATACCATCTGTTAGCTGAGGCTCATTAGAGGCTCCAAATAAAATAACATATGAAAGTAAAGCATTGTGCAGATGTAATTTGAAATGGATAGTTAAGCCTTAGTCATGACTTAGGGCTGGGAAACTGTCCTGAGTCAGGGTTGCTTGTGTGTGCTCAGCACACACGGTGCTGTGTGCTCCTTCCAGAGCACAGTGCAGACCCCAGGGATTGTTCCCAGTATGCAGACGAGGAGATTGAGGCCCAGGAAGTCCTAGACTTACAACTTCAGTCGGGAGCAGAAAGTGTGGGGGCTGGGCTTGAGGAGCAGCTGGCTGCCTGTGCCAACTTTTTTATGTCCATAATGTGACCCTGGGTTCAGAGGGTTAGAGCTGGCCCTGCATGGATGGGTGAATTCCCCACACCCCAAACAGCTTGGAATCCTTAGTTTCCCCTACTCTGTTGGTCCACAGGAGCAAAGAACAGAGCCTCATGACCCGTGAAGCATAAACTGTGTAAGACACTGATGACAGAGACAGCTGCAGGGAGGTGCACCATGACTGTGTCTGCCCTGTGACTTCTTAGTTGGAAGCCCTTCCTTGGAAAACGTGAGCTGTGAATCATTTGTAATAAACCTGTTAGTCTTTATCTGAAGGTAAATGGTGGTTTATGGATGCTTCTCTTTGGGAAGTGACTGACCAAATTCAGACCCTTTGCTGCTTTGTGTTTTCTGACAGGTGAGGTTCTGAACTAGGTTAATTCTCTGGCAAATCCAAGAGTAGGCATTGTGTTCTCTGTGGTACCCTTACCATCCTTCTAGTCAGCCTCAGGCTCTGTCTCATTTGCTCATGCATGCACACATACACTATGTGTTAGGAATGCCTGTGTACCCTGGCTTTTAACAGATTACACTGAAAAACACAAATCTGAGCTGATTTTTACTTAGAAATAGTTTGCCACAAATTCAGTTTAAGCAATTAAGCGTTGGAGCTTATAATTAAATGTTGATTTTCCCGTCTTTTGGGGAACATAGGTACTGCTTTTAAAAAATGCACTTTGGGCCAGGCATGGTGGCTTGCACCTGTAATCCCAGCATTTTGGGAGGCTGAGGCTGGTGGATCACATGAGGTCAGCAGTTCGAGACCAGCCTGGCCAAAAAGGTGAAATCCTGTCTCTACTAAAAATACAAAATTAGCCGGGTGTGGTGGCGGGCATCTTAAATCCCAGCTAACTAAGAGACTGAAGCAGGAGAATTGCTTAAATCCAAGAGGTGGAGGTTGCAGTGAGCTGAGATCGCACCACTGCACTCCAACCTGGGTGAGACAGCAAGATTCTGTCTCAAAAAAAAAAAAAAAAAGAAAAGAAAGAAAAGGAATTAGGCCAGACATGCTATCTCACGCCTGTAATCCCAGCACTGTGAGAGGCCAAGATAGGCAGCTCACATAAGGTCAGGAGTTGGAGACCACTAGTTTGGCCAATATGGTGAAACCCTGTCTCTACTAAAAATACAAAACAATTAGCCAAGTGTGGTGACACACACCTGGAATCCCAGCTACTTGAGAGGCTGAGACAGGAGAATCACTTGAAACTGGGAGGCGGACGCTGGGCTGCAGTGAGCTGAGATTGTGCCACTGCACACCAGCTTGGGCGACAGAGCAAGACTTCATCTCAAAAAAAAAAATGCACTTAGATTTGCAAACAGTCCTGAGTACATAATTTTTATGGGTTTTGCATCCTGAGTTCAGAATTATGAAGCATGTAAATGACGCCTGTTTTCAGATCTGTGATATGAGCCTCTTTCCATTCTCCTTCCCATTCTCCCTCTGGCCACTCCTTTGTCACCTGGATGTAAAATATTGCAGAAAAGGCTCTGTGAGGGAACAAAAGCTTGGTTATTCTGCAATAATTTTTTCATGTCTTAACATGCAATTGTGTTTTTCCTTGGAGTATTTAGTATGTAATTATAATGAGGACTGTAATGAGAACTATATCTGTAGGGCCCACAATAGATTTTTACACTATGAAACATCAAGTTTGTTTTTTCTCTTGAGAATGTCAGCTCCTAATTGGGGATTTATTCACCTAGTTTTCCATCTAATGCTTCAAAAAGATGATAGTGAAGAAGTAAGGAAAAGTCATATCCTGCTTAAGCACCTGGAGTACTGGAAGATCTGACTGCAGGCGGCAAGGAGTTCACATGGCTTCTCCCTGCTTTGTCTCTCCTCATCCTTCACCTTGATAATGTTGGGCCATTAATTTTTGCAAACCTGGTCGAGAGTATTGCTGGTTTATCCTGGACTAAATGCTGTCTTCCCAAAGCCTCAGCATCTCTGGGAAATTCAATGTTTTCCAACTCTCAGGTGAAATGGATTGCGTTCTTCAAAGACAGAAACTGGTTCTGAGGTCTGAGCCTGGACTGTCACTCTACTTTACCAGACATGCTTGATATTCTGCCTGGAACCTTTGCCCAGGCAGTTAACCTCATCTTTGTCTCTCTTCTGATGGAGATCTGCCTGTCAGTACCTGCATTGCACTTTGAGGCCCAGAGGACCAGAAGCCGAGATCTGGAAAGGCCCTGAGAGAGAGGACCAATAGCCCATTGAGGTATGAGGCAGAGAGTGGGAAGCAGAGCTGTGGCTGGTGAATGTACAGCACTCCCATAGGTGGGCTGTGGCTGCTGTGGGCTAGTCTGCTGTTGCCAGATTCGGCCATCTCTTGGCCATTTTTTGTCTGTGCACATGTTTGTGCAGAGTTAATCTAAAGACCTTATTTAGCTTTTGTAGGCATGTGATTATGCAGATAAATTGGTATGTGAGGGGGATTAAAGCTATGTTTGCATATGTTGCATTGCCTCCAGGGTTAGCAGTGGGATTTAGGGGTTGGGTGGGGTGGAAGAGGTGGTGGTGTGTGTTCCTTACTTGAATCTGGAATTTATGCCATTGTTCCATTTTTACATCTTTCAGAAATCAGCTGGTGTCACTGTACATATGTTTAGAGTCGTTGCTAAGGTGAAAAGCCCAGCAGCCCACACAGGGTTTCTGGAAGGCTGGGAAGCTGCGTGGCGGGGTCTGTTCACATTGGGGCCCCATCCCTCCAATCTGTGGGAATCTCCTGTTCCAACTTAAATTGTCTGCTTCCTTTTGTTTGATTGCCTGATTACCTAATAATTAAAAAAGAAAAATTGTGTGGCATATTTAATACAGAGAGAAATAGTCCCACAGCATTATTTCCAAACCGTGTCTCCTTTCCATGATTGAAATAGCAGTTCAGTGTTCTCAGCCAGTCTTAACTATCTCACTGAGGTTAGAAAAAAGCTGTGGACTTCAGGCTTTTCCCAGTGGAAACCTTGATTTATTTTCTAATATTGCATATAAACAGCAGTCCACATTACTTGAATTATGACTCATTATTTTTTCCTGAGTATATGTTAAAGGATTCTGAAGTCAATTATATTTAAAAAAATGTTCTTTCCAGGTATGTTGGTGAGTCATTCGTCTGCTTTGGAAGGTAGAGTGTCCATCCACGGTTCTGTCGGCTGTTGGCTGATGTTCACTCCCACATTGCTGCCCAAGTTTGGAATTGAAAAAATGCCTTTCTAAAGTTTTTTTGGGTCTGGACTCTCAGATAATTTGGTAAAAGCTATGGATCCTCTCCCCAAGAAAACGCAGATACTTGTACATTTTCTATGTGATTCCTGGGATTTCAAAACTCTCTGGGTCCTTGTGCCTCTTCTGAGATGCTCTTTTGCCAATGGAGAGCCTCCTGTTATTGCCTGAGTTTATAGTTTTTATTTAAATGAGATTTGTTAACTATATTTTCTGTTTTTGTAGAATGTAATCTTGTGACAGAAAAAGAGTATATGCAAAGTACTGTTTCCCCTTTTCCAACCAAGATCTCTTGATAAAAATTTTGTAACATAAGACATCTGGCCTAATAAGAAGTGAAAGAGGACATGTTTGTGAATGACCATACAGTATGACACTTCATCACATTTTTTACAAAGCATTTACACTTTTTTGCAGTTCCATTTCTAGTTGTAAACCTTAGATATGGATATGTAAAGAAACAGACAAATACGTATTTAGTGTTATATTCACAAAAAAGTTGGAAAAAATAAATGTCAGTCAACAGGAGGATGGATTTTTCAGACAATGAGGAGCACACTGCAATTGTCATAAATACAGTAGAACTGCCTGTATCTACACAGATAAATCCCAAAGCACAACTTGGAGAGAAAAGGTATGGCAGGAACTGTACACTATGTTACCTGCAAAGACATCAGCTGTCCTTGGTGTAGGCTTACCTGTAGTGTGAGTGCAAAAGTACTGATAGGAATGATTAGCTTCAAAATCAGATTTGCACTGTGGAGGAACTAGAGCAGGATGGGAGTTATATAAGGGGCTTCGAACATTATGTAATTTTTAAGTATTAAAAATCTAAAGCAAATATGGCAAAATGAACGGATGGCAGATGTGTCTGTATTATTCTTCATACTTTTCTGTGTGCTTGAAAAATTTTAAAGGAAACATTAGCTATTGTTAATTTGTTATAAAATGATATGGTTAGAAAATATTTTCTATGTAGAAATCATAAAACATAATAACCCATTCTATAAATTCAGGGTTTGTCTACATTCTGGAAATGGTTTGAAAAAGAGCCACCTTTACACTTGACTCTTTACAGACACTGAGTGCACTCAGGGCAGGTTGGGTTTCTTGGACCATAGCACTTTCACTTCTGACCCGTGCCGTGCTACCAACCAGTTTTCCCAGTTTTCAGGTTTTTTTTTTTTTTTTTTTTTTTAATTTCACTAGTGTAAGCCTTCAAGCAAAAGTGGGCTCTTCTTACTCCTTTGGTTGTACCAAGGAGGAATTCTTACATCTCTTGGTCCTTTTATTGCCTGATGCACGATTTCACCTAATTAGCAAAAACTTCACCTTCATTATGATAATGAACTGAAAAGTAGACCTTTTGGCAGGCATCAGAGAAAGAAGTTTCTAGATGGGATGTGGGTTGTGGTCCTGGTGTTCTTGAGAACCTGTAGTTACAGGGATCCTGGGGGTGCAATACGTACCTATCCGCAGTTACCCAGGACGTCTGTCCACCTGGTTTAGAGGGTTATGTCAGGAGCATATGGATACATCATTTCTCATTTCTACCTTGGTTCTAAGTCTGATGGTGACTTTGGGGGAAAGGAGGTTCCCATATGCTTTCATTGTGGGTTTATATCTGGGTGATTTAGTTGTTACTAATTAGGCTTATTTTGCTCCAAGTATTCACTTTGCAAAACTTAGAGGGCAACTGTTGTTTTGCTTGACTGATTCTCTAAATGGTGAGAAGAACAGAGATTTGTTATTTTTAACCTGTTTTTTCAAAAGCTCTTCTATTTCTTGCTCTGTCACCCAGGCTGGAGTGCAATAGTGAGATCTTTTGCAACCTCCACCTCCCAAGTTCAAGCAATTCTCCTGTCTCAGCCTCCTGAGTAGCTGGGACTACAGGCGCCCACCACTACACCTGGCTAATTTCTGTGTTTTTAGTAGAGACAAGGTTTCACCATATGGGTCAGGCTGGTCTTAAATTCCTGAACTTAGGTGATCCACCTGCCTTGGGCTCTCAAAATGCTGGAATTACAGGTGTGAGCCACCATGCCCAGCCCTATTTTTTTTTAAACAGAGTATGTGTGAAGTACAGGATTTCCACTACAGACAGGCCTTTTTCAAACCAGTGTTTGCATTTTGCAGGTAGTCAGTATTTGTCAGCGCCCCTATAAACCTGTTTTTGCAAAAGCATGGGCACTGAGCCGGCTGCAGAGGTAATGAAGCTGGTGCTTGGGGCCATGCCCTGGGATCCTGATAGGCCAGCATCCTGGGATGGCCATATTGGTGGCCCCTGGGGTTCCTGAATGGCACAGTGACATGGTGGTCCTGGTGTGTAGGGAGTCACTGTGATAATGGCACCAATTGACAATGGGAGGCAGGTCACAATGTTGCTTGTCACCCATGGGATAGTGAGCTTGGAATTCATGCTCAACAGGTGTTTGCAGCCTCGGAGCTGTGGTCCTAACTGAGGGAGATTCAACACACAGTAGAGTAAAAGTCAGGGTGAACTGTTGGCTCTAAAGAGAACAGAGGGAGAGGAATAGGCATTGCTTGGTTCAGCTGACTCCAGCCCCAATTTTGCGACTTGGTCAAGCTTATTTTGTGGTGCCCATCCACTGAGGAAAGACCTACACATTGTCTGCATGGTTAGAATTGCTTAGCCCATGTTAATATATTGCGCAGTAGAGTTAAAAATGATGAAAACTGAGTGAATGATGACAAATCCAGTGAGACCTATCACTTTGCTGTGCTTGGTCACATGGTGCTGTTGAATCCAAGCCACCTGAAGCCCTCTCCTTTTTGACATTTCATACAGAGCATTTGGCATGGCACTTTAATCCATTGATCTGTGTGTTTTGGAATTTTAATTTGCATTTGGGTTTTTTGTTTTTATTTTTGAGACAGGGTCTCACTCTGTTGCACAAGCTGGAATGCAGTGGTGTGATCTCAGCTCACTGCAGCCTCTGCCTCCCAGGTTCAGGTTATCCTCCTACCTCAGCCTCCCCAAAGTGCTGGCATTACAGGCATGAGCCACTGTGCCTGACCTATTACTAGATGTTAAGAGAAGTACACTGAATGCCTTTGGTAATGCTGAATAATAAAATCTTAATGGCCACTTATATGACAAATACTTCCTGAGCATTTCAAAAATACAATTTTGTGAAACTGGCAAAAAAATTTGAGGAGGTAAATAACAGTGTCCTTATATTATCAGTAAATTCAATGAGTCTGTGCTGTGTTGTTTTGAAGAGATTCAGCTTGCACTTATTACGGTGGCATAGTCCAACACTTGGAGATGGTAGTTGAAGTGTTCTGTAAAATTGCCATGAAGAAAGATGCAACAGGAAGGGGACACATGTGCACGTGCATACACACACAAACACAACACCCAGACACAGAGGAAGTGAAGAGAACCAAGGAGAAAAATTGCAACAGGTAAGAGGCAGCAACTTTTGTAGAGAAGAGGAGTCTCCTTAATAGGGTGCAGCCAGGGATTCCCTTCTATCAAATGACATTTGAGCCTAGACCTGGGAGAAGTTGAGGGAGTGAATCAAGTGGTTATCTGGAAGGGTGAGTGCTCTAGGCAGAAAGACAAAGAGAAAAGTCTGAGGCAGGAGTGAGATTTGCATACTTAAGAAACAGTGAGGTGAGAGCACAGCTGAAGGCAAGATATCAAGGATGCACATTCTAAGAGAGAAGGATGAACACTCTAAGACAGAAGGTTGAAGATGGGGTTAAGGGGATAGACCAGTCACTTGGCTTCTTGTCCACCATTGCAAAGACTTGCCTTTTGTTCTGAGAAAGGCAGGATGCCCCTGGCAGGCTTTGAATAGAAGAGTGACCTGCTCTTTCACTTATCTCTTTGAATGCTCTACTGTATGCTATGATCTGAATGTTAGTATCTCGCCAAAATGTGTATATTGAAACGAAATTCCCCATGTGATGGCATCAGAAGACAGAGACTTTGGGAAGGGATTATGTCTTGAGGGTTCCACCCTTATGAATGGTATTAGTAGCTTTATAAAAGAGATTGAAGGGAGTGTATTTGCCCTTTTCGCCATATGAGGTCACAGAAAGAATATGACATCTTGGAAGCAGAAATGTAGTTCTCAGGAAGCATTGAGTCTGCTTGTGCCTTGATCTTGTATTTCTAGTCTATCACTACTGTGAACAATAAATTTCTGTTATTTATAAATTAACCCAGTCAAAAGTATTAGCAGCATGCATGGACTAAGACACTGTGTGAGGAATAAACAGGTATAGGGACAGACTCAGGGACCAGTTGGGAAGTCACTTCAGTATCTAAGTGAAGGATGGAGGTGGTGGCAAGGGTCTGATTGAGGATACATTTTCAAAGTATAGCTGAGTCTCTCAGGAGTTGAAAGTCTGTCAGATCATAGGATGATACTACCACCACTCCGCAGGCAACTGGTGGCTATGGCTTCCTTGTGGCTTCAGACCATTGTGGAAACACCAACCTAATGGGTGCTAATTGGATCCTCTAAGTGTCCGGAGGGAAGGGCTGCATGATCTATCTGATAATGAAGAGAGAGGAAGCCAAGTATTTACTTGAAGCCACCATTATATTTTCTTTCTGTTATCTCTGTAGATTTCATTTTCACCAGACAAGCTAAAACTGCTAGATCTTCCAGCAACCTTATATCACACTGTTTTCCAATATGTATTCTGTGACAGTTAGTCACTTCATCATGGTAGGGAAATGTAGAAAGCCTGGCGTTTTCACATCTCAATGGATTATGTATCTGTAATTTGCAAAATAATAAATCACCAAGCCATAAATTGTTACTGCTATGTGCTGTTGACAAGAGATTTGAATCATAGGATTGCATTATTGGAAACTTAATAAATGGCAGTTTGTTTTTTCCCAAAGTGCAAGACAGATTGATTCCATACTAGATAAGTTAGAGAGCTATATTTTACTCAAAGTGTTTTCCATGAAAGTACTGGATGGCTTTGTTAGTGAGTCATTATTTTCCTTTTCTTACAGTGGTTTGGTAGCCAGTTCTTCTCTACAGAACCACAAATAGACTTGCTTTGACCATAATCTTCAACTTTGTAGGGATTAGGCTCATCTCAATTGTTTTGAGCAGCAGGAGTAACAGATCTTGGAGAAGGTCTGTTACCTTCTAAATCAAGGTTCAGCATAGCCAACACGTGCGCGCGTGCATGCACACACACACACACACACACCCTACACAAGAGCTCAATTGTTCTGAGCAGCAGGAGTAACAGATCTTGGAGAAGAGACACTAAATCAAGGTTCAGCATAACACACACATGTTGTGGGAAGTCAGGGACCCCGAACAGAAGGATGGGCTGAAGCCATGGCAGAAGAACATAAATTGTGACGATTTCATGGACATTTATTAGTTCCCAAAATTAATACTTTTATAATTTCTTATGCCTGTGTTTACTGCAATCTGAATATAACTTGTGAAGATTTCATGGACATTTATCACTTCCCCAATCAATACTCTTATAATTTCCTATGCCTGTCTTTACTTTAATCTCTTAATCCCATCATCTTCATAAGCTGAGGATGTATGTTGCCTCAGGATCCTGTGATGATTGCGTTAACTGCACAAATTGTAAAACGGGCTGGGCACGGTGGCTCACACCTATAATCCCAGCACTTTGGGAGGCCAACGTGGGTGGATCACGAGGTCAGGAGATCAAGACCATCCTGGCTAACACAGTGAAACCCCATCTGTACTAAAAATACAAAAAATTAGCCAGGCGTGGTGGCAGGTGCCTGTAGTCCCAGCTACTCGGGAGGCTGAGGCAGGAGAATGGCATGAACCTGGGAGGCAGAGCTTGCAGTAAGCCTCTGTACTCCAGCCTGGGCGACAGAGCGAGACTCCGTCTCAAAACAAACAAACAGACAAAAACAAATTGTAAAACGTGTGTTTGAACAATATGAAATCTGGGCATCCTAAAAAAGAATAGGATAACAGCGATTTTCAGGAAACCAGGGAGATACCCATAAGGTCTGACTGCCTGTGCGGCCAGGCGGAACAGAGTCATATTTCTCTTCTTGCAGAAAGCAAATAGGAGAAATATCACTGAATTACTTTCCCAGTAAGGAATAACCCTGGGGAAGAAGTGCATTCCCAGGGGTAGGCCTATGGATGGCCGCTCTGGGAGTGTCTGCCTGATGCAGTTGAAGATAAGGGATGAAACACACCCTGGTCTCCTGTAGTGCCCTGAGGCTTGCTAGGATTGGGAAATTCCAGCCTGGTGAATTCTAGTCAGACTGATTCTCTGCTCTTAAACACTGTTTCCTGTTAAAATGTTTATCAAGACAATACGTGCCCAGTGGGACATGGAACCTCATCAGTAATTCTAATTTCGCCCTGGTCTTGTGATCTTGCTCTGCCATTTGCCTTGTGATCTTTTATTGCCTTTTGAAGCATGTGATCTCTGTGACCCACTCCCTATTTGTACACCCCTCCCCTTTTGAAATCCCTAATAAGAACTTGCTGGTTTTGCAGCTCAGGGGGGCATCATGGAACCTGCTAATATATTATGTCACCCCCGGAGGCCTAGCTTTAAAATTTCTCTCTTTTTACTCTTTCTGTTTATTTCTCAGACCAGCCAACACTTAGGGAAAACAGAAAAGAACCTACGTTGAAATATTAGGAGCTCGTTCCCCTGATACAGACACACACACACACACACACACACACACACACACACACACAGAGCAGCTCAGTTGTTTTGAGCAGCAGAAGTGACAGATCTTGGAGAAGAGACACTAAATTAAGGTTCAGCATAACACATACACACACACATCCCAAAACAGACACTAAAGGTCCAGCATAATGCACAAACCAGCATAATGAGATTGTCTTGTAAGAATTTTCTACAGGATTCATCTGGGAGAAAAAAAAATCTGTTTTTTAATTAGAGTTGTCAGATTTGCTCTGCTTTTGCTAACATAGTGTGTTAGCCACCCTGATTACATTTAATGTTACTCTGACTAAGCTGATTAAAAGCTGTGTGTTTTGGCACACATTGGAAAAGGCTAAAGTGTTGTAATAGAAGACAGTAATGAAATAGAGCACAAACTTGTTCCATGTCACAGAATATCATGGTTCCTCCTAACTCATGACTACAATGACATGAATATTCATTTCTCATCGAAATCTGGATTTTTTAAAGACAATGTACAGACACATTTTAAGAGGCATCACTCTTTTATCTTTTTTTATTAGAGAAAAATGTACTTTTCCATGACTGTATTTTCTACATTTTTGGAACTGATGAAGGTTCACAGGCTAAACCTAAAACTAAATTATATTTAATGTTTAACAGATCACAGAAATGAGGTCTGGCACTTAACTAACAGACAAATAATAGATGATATATACTGATTACAGAATTATCAAAACATTGTCATGGTTTAGTGTAGCTCAAGTTATGCTTGTATCATAGAAAGTAGGTTCAAGTTATTTCTTCGGTCATCAGAATAACAGAGGTTGAAGAGACAACTGAATAAGTGCTAACTCTTCCTACAGCTGTTTCAAAAAAAAATTAAGTAATGTGATACACATTTCTGCAAATAAAGTATTCCAGTGCTTACATCAATCCTGAGTTTTTAAGATTAAATATGCACTACTTACAGTTTCTGACACAAAACTTTGTGATAATCCTCTTCAAAGCCCTTGGCAGCCTAAAAGAAAAAGTCTAGTCCACTAGCAAACCACCACTTTACATCTCACGTTTTAAACAGGGTTAATTAAATGTCAAAAGGAAACAGCTTTTAGTATTCAAAGGACGCTTATTTATTTCAAATTGAAAAAAAACTGTAATCATTACATGGAGCTCCAAATACCCACTTAAATTTTTTAATGCCAGATTTCAGTGAAATATTATTTTAGCAGGTCCAACAGTCTAATGTACTTTGCTTGGATAAAATGGGTTGATGAACATCTTAAGGTCAAGATGGAGCAAAGACCAAAAAAGATTGGCAGTCTTATGTCATGAAATATATTTTTTCACTGGGTAGTGACCCATTTAACAACAGACTATGTAACATGGCTTCCATTGAAGGGATAAGATAGTCAGTGATATGGCCTCAAATTAGAAAAAACTTAACTGTGTTTGAAAATACATACTATTTACTCAACAAATAGTTCAACAGTTCCTACTCCCTAAAATGTTGTATGTATTTGACTTAATCTGTGTACACTAAAAGGAATGAATAGAACTGTTTCTCATCCAGTGTCTTCCAATATCCCCCAAAGAATTAAATTTCCACGTGTATGAAAGGAAAGCCATCCCTCTGGCTTCAGCATTATTACAAGCATTCTTACATTCCACATCAACAATTAAAAAGGTAAGAAAAATTTGTCAAACAAATTACATTAAATACTTAATGTTAAATGCTATGTATGAAAAGAAGGCATTTAAAACAGTCTTGTCCTCCACTAATTCATATAACCTACTGTAACAGTTCCAACGAAGTTATAAATACAGATGTTTGACACGAGCATTCGTCTTAGATATCTACCCGAGTTGTCTGAGTTTGAGTTTGGGAAACTTTCTTTATTCCCTACATTTTCAGGGGAAAAGTTAATTTACTTTGACTTTTTAAAAAGCGTGTTTGGTGTTGTTAGGTGTTCAGCTATTTTGGAGGAGGTATGTCATGAAATCTAATTAGGAGAATTCAATGCCTCCACAAAAGGCTCCCAGGTCTTGGCTATACTAGTTTTTGTAAATGCAGCTGGACAGATGCACCCGCGGAGTTTTGTTTTTTTTTTCCGGTGGTTTCTTTTTTTTTGTTTTTGTTTTTGTTTTTGAGACGGAGTCTTGGTCTCTCGCCCAGGCTGGAGTCCAGTGGCTCGATCTCAGCTCACTGCAACCTCTGCCTCCAGGGTTCAAGCGATTTTCCTGCCTCAGCCTCTGGAGTAGCTGGGACTACAGGCATCTGCCGGCACCCGGCTAATTTTTGTGTTTGTATTTGCATTTTTTTAATTTTATTTTTTATTTTTTTTGAGACGGAGTGTCGCTCTGTCGCCCAGGCTGGAGTGCAGTGGCGCCGTCTGGGCTCACTGGAAGCTCCGACTCCCGGGTTCACGCCATTCTCCTGCCTCAGCCTCCCGAGTAGCTGGGACTACAGGCGCCCGCCACCACGCCAGGCTAATTTTTTGTATTTTTAGTAGAGACGGGGTTTCACCATGTTGATCAGGCTGGTCGAACTCCTGACCTCAATTGATCCACCCGCCTCAGCCTCCCAAAGTGTTGGGACGACAGGCTTGAGCCACCGCGCCTGGACATTTCCGGTAGTTTTAATGAGCCATCTGCTGCCTGAAGACAGAGTGGGAGTCTAGTTTCCCATCCCCCATCGCTGTCCATCTCTTCTCACCCTGAGCCTCTGAAGTATTCTCAGTGACTGTCAATCAGGTGTGCTGCTAAGAGGCATAGTCTTCAAAAAGAACGCTTGATCCCCTGCCTGACTACATACACAAACCAAGTTACATGAGGGGACTTGTTGGCATTGGCTTTCTTACCTCCTCATAGAAGTCGCATTAGAAGTAAAAGTGGGTGGGTCTTGTCAGCCCTTTAGTAACAAAACTGTGTACCTTATCACTAGTAACGAAAACACTAAGTATCTCTACCACTGGGATACCTTTGCATAGTTATGCCTTATTGCACGGTTGTGCCTCACTGGAGTCTGGCATTCAGGGCAGATGGTTAAGAGAGTCACACTTCACAGAACCACTTATAGTTCAAGGTGGTTGAGCAACTTGATGACTGTATTTGATGATTCTTATAAGTTCTATTTCTCTAAGCCCATATGATGACCATGGGGTAGCAAATGCACGTGTGGCATGATTGTATAGGCTAATATGAATGCCCTCCAGACACAAGGGTATACATTCATGGTCATGGGTGTTGGACAGCCAACGAGCAGAGGGCGTCTCCTATGGGCCCTCCTAGGGCTCAGAGTAGACACATGCCAGTTAATTCATCATTTAGTTTCCAAGTGTTTCTGACCCTCCAGGAAACTGGAAACTGTGTCACTGTTGGAAACGGTGAATAAATTGTTTCAAGTATTACAATTTGACTGAGGCTCCTTTTAAAAACTCAGTTAAGTATGTGTGCTTTTAATACATGGGTTGGTGGTGAGGGATGTCGATGTTCTTCTGGAAAGAAAGTCTTCTTAAGAATTTTGGGGGGGATTTTTTTTTTTTTTTTTGAGATGGAGTCCACTCTGGGTGCACACGTGCATGGATTCTTTTGTATTTTGCACTGTGTGTTCTCCTCCACCATGTTTTGTGACATTAAATCCCTTCCCTATCCGGGCTTTTTGGGTTTGGTTTTTCCATCACAAGTGCACAAACTGCAGCCTATGACCCAAATCCTGCCAGTATTCTAGAATCCACAAGCTAAGAATGATTTTACATCTTACTTTTGTTCTTTGTTTTTGTTTGTTTTTTTTTTTGTTTGTTTGTTTTTGTTTTTGTTTTTTTAAAGATAGGGTCTCATTCTGTTGTCCAGGCTGGGATTGTATTTTCACTTCAGCCTCGACCTCCTGGGCTGAGACTACAAGTGCACACCACCAAACGTGGCTAATTTTTTAAGTTTTTGTAAAGATAAGATATCACTGTGTTGCTAGGCTAGTCTCCAACTCCTGGGCTCAGGAGATCTTCCCACCTCGGCATCTTAAAGTGCTGGGATTACAGGTCTGAACCACCTTACCCAGCCTTAAAGTGTTTTTAGAAATCAAAATTTAAAAAAAAAGTTTTTCCTGTCATGTGAATATACATGAAACTTAAATGTTAGTGTCCACACATAAACATTGATGGGAAATGCAGCTATGTTGTGCACTGCAGCCTAGGTGACATGGTAAAACCTGGACTCTAATAGCTTGCACCCTGTGGTCATTCTCCCTGCTTCTGCTTTTCTCATTTGTGTGCATAGGTGCCTGTGCACACAAGCATGCATACAAAGCTTTCAGCATATCTTCTTCCATGTAAGTCTGCATGCAGAATTTTTGGTGTATTCCCAACACCCGTATTGGTGCACTTTTAAATTTTTGTTCTTCAAGCTTCCTCTGAATGATCAGGTGAGCTTAACATTCTAAGAATGAGTGTAGGATAATGTGGAAGAAGCCAAAGGGGGCCTTGGGAAGAGCTCCTTCTCCAGCTCTCCTTCCTATGCTTTCACACTTCTCTTTCCTCGTGCACACAGAGGGAGATGTGGCCACTGAAACTGTCCCAAACAACAGATACAGGGGGATGTAACCGCTGGAACTGTCTCAGGCATTTCCTCAAATTTACATTCCTATCTGTGCAACCCTTAGTTGCAAAGCCAAGGTCTTTCCAGGGATATGTACTGTAACTTGCGGTGCAAAACTGGTAAACAGAAATGAACAGTGTCTTTATCTGTGATTTTATAACAGGGATCAGCACAGGGCAGCCCTCAGGACAAATCTGGGCCGCATCTGTTTTTGTAAATAAAGTCTTATTGGATTACAGACACATCCATTTCTTTATGTACTGCCTGTGGCTGCTTTTGCACTACATTAGAGTCGAGTGGTAGTTGCAACGGAGACCACAGTGTGGCCCATGATGCTAAAAATATTTACTATATGTTCCTTTACAAAAAAAGTTTGCTGACCCATGGTGTATGTTGTAAATAAAGTTCAAGTGCCGCAAAAGAAATAGCACTTGAATATAAAATTTTCTTTTTAATTCTCAGCAAGGCAAGGTACTTCTATAGAAGAATGGGCCCTTACAGATGGAGCAGTGGTGAGCACACACCTGGACAAGGGAGGGCAAGGGGTTCTTATCCCTGATGCCCGTGGCCCCTGCTGCTGTGTTGTTCCCCTATTAGCTAGGGTTAGACCACACAGACTAAACTAATCCTCATTGGCTAATTTCAAGACAGTGATGGGGTGAGTGGTTTGGTGGGAAAAAATGGTTATAACAGAGCAGGTAATTGGATTGAGTCAGGGTGGAGCAGGTAATCGGAATGAGTCAGGGTGGAGCAGGTAATTGGAATGAGTCAGGGTGGAGCAGGTGATTGAAATGAGTCAGAGTGGAACAGCTAATCGACAAAGGTGGCTTTATGAGGAAGTTAAGTTTAAAAATAGAAGACAAAGAATTGAACCTACTGACATACTGATTCCTTGAAAAGAAATTTAGAACTTGTATCTAACAATCCCTCCTTTTGCATTTCCTTACAGCTCTTTCATTTCAAACTTTTTAATATGTCTTGGCTTAGTTGTTTTGCTTGGTTTTCCAAAAGAAGCAGCTTCTCTGGATAAGGCAGAGGATAGTTAGGGGAGGTTTTAGTAAGTGTTGAGCCTCTGCACCAATCCATGGATGCATGATATGACACGGCACCCGACAAGAATAAGTATACCCATTACGGTTGTGAGGGAAGTAAGAATTAAGGATATTACCTTTTTCCATGTACCGAATCACTATTGTAGTCATTCTGTAAAGGGGTCAATTACCCCTGAGTTTTTGGCAAACACATTGGACAGAGCAGTTAGACCTTGCAATGCCTTTGTTATACTTCCATGAGGGACCATGTTGTTTGGGATGAAGGTGCAACACTGAGTTTTAATCATGATGAAAACTCCTCCTCTTTCTGCTAATGTCATGTCTAAGGCTATCCTATTTTCCCAAGCCATCTGGCTATTACCCCTTAATTGCTCAGTTATTCCCTTAACAGCATCTCTAGTGTAGTTAATAAATCGCTGTTGGTTTGTAGTAGATGTAGTCTATCCAATCTATATTTTTATTAATTGTCGCTTAGCAAAATATTGACTCAAATCCTGCAGCTATTTGATTTCAGGCTTTAAATTGACTGGTATTCCCCATGGGACCCTAATTGTGTCTAAATAGATATGAGAGTCGAAGGACCCATAAGGGGCTTCTCTCACTTTACAGTGTCTTATTCTTTCCTTCCTCTTGTTGATGAAATGCCAGGGTGAAAGGGATAGCCAACTGGACTAAAGCACAAGTGCCAATCTAGTTATTTGGCAGAGTGTCCAGTAAAAATCCACTACAATACCACCAAACATCTGCTCAGGGACGAACAAGGGCTGACTGATTGATAAGCTCTTGAAAATTCTTAAGCTCACTGCATTCCTTCAGGTCTCCAAGTAACACAAAGTTTCCTCCCTGTCTGAGAGACACGAAATGAACTTAGTGTTGGGAGACGGAGGCTTGTTGGCCCTTGGGGGCTGACCTGCAGGGTGCCAGACTTCAGGATACAGTGAGAGAGAGCTTGGCATGACTTATTACTCCAGGCTGTAGAATCCAGGAAAAGAGCTACCATACAGCCCACACCCAGTCAACTGGAGGACCACCCTAGGGGAAAGGGGACAATCTGGGCCTCTGGCCTGCCATTCACCCAAGCATAACAATTGCTGTTGTTTAACATGCAGAAGGAATATTGGATCCATCCCAACTAGGCATTTGCATCTTGGTATCCTGTCTTAATTGCCAAAGTTTAAGTCTGTAAATTTTATGATAGCTATCTTGGTCTTGTCATTAGATGGAGGAGGAGCAATTTTTCTATCACGAGGGGTTTTGAAAGAAGGCTTAGAGAAAGGTTCAGGTGGTGGGGGATCAAAGTAACATATTTCAAAGAATCTAACGAGGTCTGCCCTTGGAATCTCAGCCCCCATACCATAAAACCAGCTTAAAGAAGGGAACCGGCTTAGGAATGGGGAAGAACTTTGAGGGTTTGAGATAATAACCTGTATAGAATTACACTGGTTTAGCTGACGGTTAGGGAGGGCTGTTCCTCTAGTAAAATGAATGTATGGTTTTAGGAAATTACAAAAACTGGTTGGGGCAGTCCATTCTTGCTCTTTAATGGTCCACAGATCATTGGACCAACTATGGCATAAAAGCTCTACATGGGGGAGCAAGACTCCTGGCTGACACTGAGGCCTTTACTGAAATCTCTCTGGATTAAATGGTCCCAATACACTAATGCTCGGTCTGAGGAGAGTCAGGAGGGACAGAGATACCTTTCTGAAGTAGAGAGCTGTCTCTGACTTGGCAAGTCCCCAAGGGTATAACAAGGCAAGCATTAAATGCAATAGTTTGAGGCAAAATTGACTAGGTTATGTTAATAACTAGGTCAGCAATAGAGCAAAGAAGAAAGAGAAATAGAATAGATGAAAGAGTTAAATTTTTCTTAGCTTTAGTTTGGTAGGGTTTTCCCCTGGGACTACACCCCACGACTCTGGAGGGGGTGGCGCTTTCTTGACTCGGGTGTGATGAATCCATCCCCTTCCACTGTATGAACAGGAGTCTCCGTGGTTAGCAGCACAAAGTAGATTCCTTCCCAGGCTGGCTGGGGTTTTCCTTCTTTCCACCCTTTGATGAGAATGTGATCCTCAGGCTGGTGCTGGTTTACCAGAAATTCTAGGAGTGGTACCTGTGCTAAAAGACTTTAGTTTTCAGGAAAAGGAAAGTGGAAGATAAACTAAGTATGTAATTTCTAAGAAATTGACCTTTTGTTTTAAATGTGGGGACGTCAGCAGTGGGCTTTATAGTCCTTGGTGCCTTCTTACTGAGAAATTTCCTTTAGCACCTATTTTTATCCTACCCCTTTACCTTTCAGTTCTCTTTTCCTCTGTGCCATTTTGTTTCTCTCCTACCTTAAGCATTTCACAGCTAACGGTTGTTACCTTGGTAATGTTAAATACGAATTCTGAATTCTAAATTTATCTTCAAAGAATATGTCAATGTGTTTAATTCTTTGCCTTCTACTTTTGAACTTAACTTCCATGTAATGCAACCTTTTCCAATTACCTGCTCCACCCTGACTCATTCTCCACCCTAACTCATTCTCCATCCTGACTCATTCTGATTACCTGCTCCACCCTGACTAATTTCATAGACATTTTTCCCGCCAAACCACTCATCCCATCATTCTCTTTAAATTAGTCAATCAGAACTAGTTTAACCTGTGCGGTCTAACCCTAGCCAAGAGGGAAACGACACGGCAGGAGGCTATGGGCCTCAGGGATAAGAACCCCTTCCCCTCCCTTTTCCAGGTGTGCGCTCACCATTGCTCCATCTGTAAGGGTGCACCCTTCTATAGAAGTACCTTGCCTTGCTGAGAATTAAAAAGAAAATCTTATATTTGAGTGCTATTTCTTTTGCAGCACCGAAACTTTATAATAATAACATGATTGTGAGGCCCTCCAGCATGTTCTGTGATGACCAGTGACTCCTATGAGCCATCAGTAGAAATCATTGTCCTCTTCCCTGACAAGAATCTCTGAAACTATTGTTATCCATAACCATGAGAATACATTTTCTCTGAAATACATAGCTGATATATTTTGGGTTGTTCAAGCCCAGTGACTGTATCTTATTTGTGTTATTGCCCAAAGCCATGTAGTAACCCCTCAAAACCAAACTACTTAATGGAGTGCCTTTGTTTTTTCACTGAGACCCAGTGGAGGGAATCCACCATCCCAGAGTGTCATTTCCTTTTCCACCTTTTCCCAGCAGGAACCTTTAAAAGCTCTCTCCATTGGAACACCTTAGAGGACATCCCATTTCTGAGACAGAAACATAGCTGATCTCCCTTACTATCCTGCAATTAACTGCTTGTTCCAGACATGACAAATGACTCTCATTTCCTTTGAGCAGTCAGAAGCAGATTTACGCATTTCCCTTTCTGTTTTCATCCTCTTATCTTGGCTTCCAGGTAAGTGGCCAAAGCTTTGTTTTTGAGAAGAATGATTTGGTTTTCCTCTCTCAGGTGTAAGCTGGGCCTGGACCACTCCATCCCCCACTGTGTTACCAGGTACCTGCCCCTGCTGCTGGTCCTCATGGTCAACCCCATCCTGTTCAGAAAGACAGTGATTGCAAGTAAATAGTAGGGAGGCTCTCTGGGTACACAGCCACTGGGAGTGGCTATGCCTTGGGCTCAGACAGTGACATGTCCTCCTGGAATTATCTGAAACCATTGACTTCATTCATCGTCCTTCAGAGACATCAACAGAATGCAGCTGCAGAAAGCAAGCAGGTTCAATAAATAAAATGTAAATGTGCAGCCCTCTGCCAGCACAAGTTCTGTGCCATTGCTTGTTAGCTCAGCACCAGGACTAAGTGACTTTTCATTTCAGTGCTGGGACCCTCCTGGGTTTGCTGCAGGACTGCCATTGGAGCTCCGTGGAGGTGTGTGAGGAACAGGAGAGGAGAGAAAAGAGGGAAGTCCAAAACTGAGTGAGGACTGAAGAGGCTCTAGTCCATAATGCATTTAGCTGATGTCTTTTCTCAGGAAAGAAAACAGGAAGCAGAGCATAGCAAATGAGTCAAGGGCAATGGTTAGAAAAGGTTAAGAGGAATGGAGTCCTTAACAACATGCTTGGAAAAGCCTCCTGGGCTGTGGCTGGGGAAGTGCAGTCCAGCCCCTACTTCTTCCTCTAGGAAATGAGTCCTGGAGTGAGCCGCCCACCTCCTCATGTTAGCAGTGGTGAATCCACATAGGTCTGAAAGATCCTCACTTCTTGCCTCCTTAAAAGAAAGAATTCCACTGAGAGGCATAAGGGAGAGTGACAGACTGAGCCATGTTTCAGAGCAAGAGGGAAAGTTTATTAAAAAGCTTTAGAAGAGGAATGAAAGGGAGTTAAGTACACTTGGAAGAGGGCCAAGCAGGCAACTTGAGAGAGTCAAGTGCACTGTTTAGACCTTGATGTCGGATCTTATATGTTGCCACGGTTTCTGGGGTCTTGCATCCCTTCTTCCATGATTATTCTCTTGGGGCAGGCTGTCTGCATGCAATAGTGGCCTGCTACCATTTGGGAGAGGCCACATGTGCAGTGTTTCCTGGAGTTTTGTGCATGCTCACCAGCTCAGTGTTCCTAGAGGAAGGTCATATGCCAGAAAGATTCTTCCATCTTGCCTCACATTGTGCATACTTGAGCCCACTTTCCCAACCCCTGAGATTTTATGGGGAAGCTGCTGATCGACAGTTTCCGGTGTTTCTATCTATTTGGAGACTGCCTTCTGCTGGTAGCAGCTGAAACCAATAATTATGTTAGAGAGACAGTTTACCAACCACCTGAGAATAACTTGATGGTCGCCTCACATTCCTGGGGACAGAGACCTTTTCCTGTCATACTCATATGTGTCTGAAAACCTACTGTAACAATCAAGAGATGCGAAAAATCTCTCAGTGGTATTGGAATTAGAAGAAGAAAGCTTGCTTTAACTAAGAGGTCCTTTGAATATCATCTGTTGACTGTAGAACTTTTTTTTCCTTTTTCCTTTCAAAACAGCATCTCACTCTGTTGCCCAGGCTGGAATGCAGTGGGACAATCATAGCTCGTGGCAGCCTCCACCTCCTGGGCCCAGTTCATGCTCCCACCTCAGCCTCCCAAGTAGCTGAGATTATAGGCATGTACCACCACACCTGGCTAATTTTTGTATATACTTTTTTTGTAGACATAGGCTCTTGCCATGTGTCTTAGGCTAGTTTCAAACTCGTGGGTTCAAGCGAGCCTTCCACCTTGACCTCCCAAAGTGCTGGGATTACAGGCTTGAGTCACTGTGCCAGGCCTGATTGTACAAGTTTTTAAAAACATTGTTTTATCCAGGCGCTGTGGCTCATGCCTGTAATCCCAGCACTTCTGGGAGGCCAAAGTGGGTGGATCACATGAGGCTAGGAGTTTGAGACCAGCCTGGACAACATGGTACAACTCTGTCTCTACTAAAAACACAAAAGTTAGCCAGGCCTGGAGGTGCATGTTTGTAATCTCAGCTACTTGGGAGGCTGACTCACAACAATCACTTGAACCCTAGAGGCAGAAGTTGCAGTGAGTAAAGAAGCCAAGACTAAGCCTGGGGAACAGAGTGAGACCACGTGAAACAACAACAACAACAAAAACAATTGTTTAAAGTTCCCTATCACTAGACATAAAAAATTACTGTGTTTCTTTGGACTAACCTCCTTGTACATACATTTAAATATAGTATACTAAATACAGCTTTTTTTAAAAAAACAAAATCTCAGTTATTCAAACTCATCAAATAAAATGAAATGACTTATATATGGTAAGATGTTAACAGTGGTTGTCTCTGGGTGGAGGGACCATGAGTCATTCATACTTCTCTAAAGTTTTTTATATTTCCTGACTTTTCTATAAGGCAAAATTATTTTCCACATTTTAACAAGTATGAATTATTTTTATAATAGAGAAAATGAAACTTTAACAATATAATTTCTGGACTAGAAAATTCAAATAATAAATACTTCTAAAAAATAATAAAAAGAGCCACCATATGACACCCCAGCCCAGAGTCTGTTTGAAAAGAACCGCAGAAATCACACACAAGTTTGCTTGAATCCATGACATCCTCATAAACAGTGGGTGACCTGGTGAGAATCAAGTCTTTTTTGTTTTTTTTTTTTTTGAGACAGAGTCTGGCCCTGTCGCCCAGGCTGGAATGCAGTGGCGCGATCTGGGCTCAGTGCAAGCTCCGCCTCCCGGATTCACGCCATTCTCCCGCCTCAGCCTAGTGAGTAGCTGGGACTACAGGCGCCTGCCACCACGCCCGGCTAATTTTTTGTATTTTTAGTAGAGAAGGGATTTCACTGTGTTAGCCAGCATGGTCTCAATCTCCTGACCTCGTGATCCGCCCGCCTCAGCCTCCCAAAGTGCTGGGATTACAGGCGTGAACATAATGTGCCCGGCCAGAATCAAATCTTTTTGATGTGCCACCAGCCCCCTCTAGCAGGAATGCTGCTCCAGAACTGCAAGGCTTCTTTAGAAGTTTTCCCAGCTGGTGTCTTGGCTCCAGGAAAGGCAGGTTTACCACCCTAGCAAAACCAGCTCTCCACCATCCTTGTCAGCCACCCAGGCTCTCCTCAAAATCTGGCTGTGTCATCCATGGCCAGTCCTCCCCCATTGCTCAATCTCTTTACCCACTGTTTGAGCAGCTCATCACACTTTCTCTGAGTTAACTCAGACCAAGATTCCTCCAGATTCACCTTAATCCAACCCTGGGAGGAAGATCTGAGTGCCATGTTCTCCCACAGCCCATAGTGCATGCGTATGTTTCAGAGACACAACAGTATTGCAGTTGCCTTTTTTTTGAGGTAGGATCTCACTGTTGCCTAGGCTGGAGTGAAGTGGTGTGATTATGGTTCATTGCAGCCTTGAACTCCTAGGTTCAAGCAATCCTTTCACTTCAGCTTGCCAAGTTACTGGGACCACAGGTGTACACTGCTACAACTGGCTTGTTTTAAAATTTTTATCATAGAGATGGGGTCTTTCTGTATTTCCCAGGCTGGTCCTGCATTTCTGGCCTCAAGCGATCTTCCTGTTTCAGCCTCCTAAAGCACTAGTTAGAGGTGTGAACCACACTTGCCTTCTTGGTAAAAGGCAATATTGTTATTGCCTTAAAGTGGCAGGACCAAGCCTGGCTCAGGCTTTCTTAGTTCTTTACAACCACATCTCTCATAGTGCCACAACTTCTGACTGCCTCTTTTCCATATAACTCTCATGTTCTTTTTTTCCCCTAAAATATTCTCCCAAACTCTGCATGTATCTCTTTTAAAATTGAGCTTGTTACTACCCTTCTTTGTACTCATATCTTAATGAGTGCTCCAAAGTAGTAGTGCTGCATCCCATTGCTGTCAGGCACTTAACATGACTGTACTGACCCATTCCCCATGTTGATTGAGCACCCTCTATATACCAGGTGTTATCTGGGGCATCGGGTACAGTCACTATGACACATTCCCTGTCCACTGAGACTCTCCACTGTAGTGGCAGAGACAGAGAATGAAAAACACAAATAATGATATGATATTCCATCCAGGTAATGGGAAGTGCTGTGAAGAAAAATCAGGGACGGTTGGGAGCATGATTTTAGAGAGGTTGTCCCAGAGTCTCCCTGAGCATGAGGTAACATTAGCATTGAGACCCGAATCAAGTGTAGGAACCACAAGAAAATCAGAAGAGCCTTACAGACAGAAAAATAGAGTTGCAGAGGCCCAGTGGCAGGACCAAGCCTGGAGTGGGAGGGAGAGAAGCAGTATGCCTAAGGGTGTGAGGAAACAGAGAGGGACTCATAGGAGGTTGTGATTGTCAGCAAGCCCCAAGGGTGGAGGGCTTTGGAGGCTCTTTGGAGGCTTTTTGGGGTCATTTGCCCTGTCTGTGGTTGGAAAGGCAACCCTCCTTCATGTTTTCCACCTCTGTATTCCCCACACACAGCTTGCAACCTGGGATGGAGCAAGTATTCTAGTATATTTGGGGATCGGAAGAATAATTCTGACAGTGGTTTCAAAGGGTCTAACAGAAAGAAGGTGTATTGCTGGAATGATGACCAGTGCCCAAGATTATTCTTTTGATGGGATTCACATTAGCTCTCACACTGCTGACTGATGCTCACATTTTTTTCCTTTTGTTCTGTATCCTTTTAAACCATGTCATATTCTGGAAGAACAACATGGGGAAATTGATTAATAAATGAAACAGGAACTAAAGGAAAATGATAATGAAATAGAAAGCCAGCTAGAATTAGCCCCAGATAACTATTTAAAATGGATGGTAGTTTGGCTTTGAGCTTCTTAGCAGGGGAGTAAAGAGAAAAATGTGAGCAATTATTAGACTCTTAATTATTTTCTAGAAAATACTGCATGCGAGAGCAAAACCATCCTGAAATCCACACCTGATAAAAATGTCTCATGAAGGAAATGCTGAGCACATTGGGACAAATACATTCCTGTATTTACAAAAACATTATTTGTCACTTTATCATCTTATGTAGGGTCATGATCGGAATGAGCTCAATTTCACAAAGGGTTACCAGGCATGTAGTACTGTGTATTTAAATGAGGCTGGATGTGTATCCAATTTGGGACTTGAGATGACAGTTTTCCATGAGTAGATGCTGATGGGGAGGAGCTGCTTGCTATAAACATGTGTCATTGCCCATGAAAACACATTGGGAGGTGGTGTAGTTTTTCACAGTTGTGGTCTCCCTCCCTTCCAGCACTTCCTGGAGTTGAGTGTAGGTAGCCAGCCAACCATAGGGTCCCTGTTGCCTGAGTTACCATCCCTAGTAGAAGCTGTACCAGCTGTCACAATAGCGCTCTCTGCTCCTAAATTAGAGAGCACACGTCCTGGGTCTCTAAAACTTTCCTAAACCAACAGTTTTTTTGCCTGCACATCTGTGCCATGATCAGCCATTAACTGGCCTAGAAAATTCTGTAGGACTTGTTTCATCTATTGTAATGATTTAATAAAATGTAGATGGAAAGATGGTGTAGGTTTTTTTTTTCTCATAGATGAAATGAATGCTGCAATTTTGACCAAAGTTGCCACATGAAAAACTCAGTGCAGTGAGTACTGAGAGCATTTTCCGAAGCTGAGGACAAACTGGCAAAGAGATGGACACTCACAATTTTTGTTTTTTCCTCTTCAGGTTCTGATGCCAGCACATTTGAAATCCATACTGCAAGTGAATCCTGCAACAAAAATAAGGGTGACCCTGCTTGCCAAACCCACAGAAACCTGTGAAGTGGATGTGCCAAGGGTCCAACCCCCATATTCCTCAGACTCTTCTATTGTCATTCTTTAGAACTTTGTTCTCATTTTTTCATCACTGCACTGCCAAAGTGTAGCAGCCCCCAGACATTGCCCTCATCACCAGTTACATGATCTTCTCGAAGAGCTTCTAGGATAAGAGAAATGTTTCATGCACATGCATGTGGTAATGGAAGAGCCCCCTCCGGACCACTCTGCTGCTTCTCTAGCCTATTAGTTGTCACTAGGAAGTTTTCTGAGGCTGGCTATAAAGCTGAGTGCAAGATCCATGTCCTTGGGAAAGTAGTTAAATAAAGTAATTGTGACTGAGCTCTCAGCCTCACTTGAATGCTGTCTTAACAACTGTTGTAGCCAAAGAAAATATATGCATAGCTTAATACTAAGGATGAGTTTTGAGAAGTGTGTCATTATGTGATATATAATGTTGTATGATACCACACAGTGTACTTACACAAACCTAGATGGCACAGTCTACAGCACAACTAGGCTAGATGGTAGTGCCTATTTCTCCTAGGCTGCAAACCTGACTGTACTGAATACTGAAACATGTGACTGTACCGAATACTGTCAGCAACTGTAACACAATGGTATTTGTATATCAAAACATAGAAAAAGTGCAGTAAACATGTGTTTTCTAGAGCAGATGCCCTCGACTAAGCTTACTGATGTCGCCAAACAGCAGCAAGGTAGAGAAGCAGCAAGATAAATAGGGAACCAGGGCCCCAGTGGAGCAACAGCAAAGCCTGGGCTGCTAACACCCACTAGAGGGCAAAGAAGGGAGAGTGGCTTTCTTTTTTTTGAGACAAGATATTGCTTCATTGCCCAGGCTGGAGTACAGTGGTGAGATCTTGGCTCACTGCAGCTTCTGCTTCCCAGTTTCAAGCTATTCACCTGCCTCAACCTCCCGAGTAGCTGGGACTACAGGCATACACCACTATGTCTGGCTACTTTTTGTATGTTTTGTACAAATGAGTTTTTGCCATGTTGGTCAGGCTGGTCTCAAACTCCTGATCTCAGGTGATCTGCCCACCTTGACCTCCCAAAGTGCTGCGATTACATGCATGAGCCACCTTGCTCAGCTGGGAGTGTATCTTTCATCATGAATTTAGCCTTTTGGTCCCAATGCTGTCCTGAATAACAACATAGTCTAACTGGAACCTGATTAATGCCCAGAAAATTGCCTGTGTTCTCATCTTTCCATCAGTTAAGGAAAGGAACTTCAAAAAGTCCATTAAAAAAATAGAATAAAAATGGAAATAAAAAATAGAAACTTCATTTCTCAACGTTGATAAGCTCATCAAGTTCAACACATTATGTAAACGACAGCAGCCATTTAATCCAACCCTAAAGAACTGAAGGTCCTCAGCACTTAACCATGTCAATGCAGTCTTTTCTACACTAACAACTGAAAAAAAAATACAAAAAAGATGCCCCTTAAAGATTAAGAAACAAGAGAAGTCAGAAGGAACCACATCAGGACTGTACGGTGGATGCCCAATGATTTCCCATGGAAACTTTTGCAAGACTGCCCTTGTTTGATGAGATTAATGAGCAGGAACCTTGTTGTGCTGGAAAAGGACACCCTGGTGAAACTTCTGGGCATTTTTCTGCTAAAGCTTTGACGTTCTCAAAACCATTTTTGTATAAGCAGATGCTATCATTCTTTGGCCCTCCAGAAAATCAGCAAGGAAAATGCCCTAAGCATGAAAAAAAAAAAAGGAAAAGAAAAGAAAAGAAAAGAAAGAAAGAAAACTGTTGTCATGACCTACTGACCACTCTACTTATGCTTTCACTTGGTAGCCATTCCTTTGAGTGTGCTTTGCCTTCAGGATTGTATTGATAAAGCTGTGTTTGGTCTCCTGTTACAATTCTTTGTAGAAAGCCCTCAGGATCTTCATCCCACTTGTTTCAAATTTCCACTGAAAGCTTAACTCTTGTCTGCAACTAATGTGGGCACAACAGTTTTGGAACCTGAGTGTAAAGTTTGCACAACTTGAATGTTCCAGTCAGATTGTGTAAGTTGAACCAGTTGAGATGTCTGTGGTGCTAGCTGTTGTTTCTGCTGTTAATCACTGGTCCTCATCAATTAGGGCATGAACAAGAATTTGTTTCTTACAAATTGATGTGCATGGTCTGCCACTGCAGGCTTCATCTTCAATATCATCATTCCTTATTAAAACAAGTTATCCATTTGTAAACTGCTTATCTCTTTGGGACACTGTGCTCATAAACTTTTTATAAAACATCAATGATTTCACAATTCTTCCCCCCAGACTTCACCTTAACTTTGATGTTATTGTTTCAATTTTAACAAAATGTTGCTCTGCTTTAATCAAACTGATGTCTCACACTTTATAGTGCTTCAAACTAGATACTATTCAAACATGTTGTAACAAGTTAGCATGAGCTTATTTTGATGAAAAAAGTGTTGTGAAATCCACTGCTTTTTCATATGTATGTTCTGAACTTTTTGAAGTTCCCTTGTGTGTATGTATAGTATTATTGTTTTACATTTTACAAAAATGTTGCAATATGCATGGGGATTATAAACCACCAGTAGGTATACAGAAAAGCAAGACAGAATATTTTCTCAGGATACTGCAGACAGCTCTGCCATGTGACACCTCCCTTTGTATCAGGAATATCGAGCGCAGGAAGGTTCTTCATGTGTACTTCTGGAGTCACAGGGTTGCAGATGGATTCTGAGCACACTATAAGGTAGTGCCTGCCCAGGGCTGCCCCAACTCTCTCCATAACTGTTTCTTCACCCTCCTAAGGGTCAGCCTGGGCTAGACTTCACACACCTTGACCAAAAGTATCAAGGAAATGTGAACACATTTTAGATTTTCTAGGGAAATGTGCATTCTTCATCTCAGTAGGGGCATTCTGTCTCCACTCCCCTGAGCTCCCAACATCAGAAGGCCTTCCTCTATTTGGGGATATCTTCCTACCTGATGAGGCACAGCCCTACCCCCCAGTTCAAAAGCAAAGAGGCTTTTATAGCCTCCCTTGCAGCTAGAGCAAGGCATGTGACCTGGCAGAGCCAATTAGGCACCTCTCTCAAGTTACCAGCTCACGTCCAAGGGAATGAGCTGCAGAAAAGCACTTCTGGAGAGGCCACGGCAGCAGGCAAGCCCACTCTGGGAGGCAGCGTTGAGTGTGCCTCCAGAGCCAGTCCAGCCTTCAGGGTGTGGGCAACACCCACTGCCATATCGATGATCTTCATGAGCCCAGTGTTGCAGCCTGCTTTTGGCAGTTCTTGTCTGTGTGCCCTCTGAGCCTCATTCTCCAATTTCTCAAAGCTTGCCAGTATCAGGCCCATTTATTCCTTTGGGCTTACATTAGCCAGAGTCGGATTTTGAAGCTCTCCAACAAGAATGCTGAGAACCGATTATTCAGCCAAGATGATGACTCCCAGTTGAGACACCAAGCATCACCAGCTGATACTCATGCATGTGGCTTTGACCTGAAGAGCACAGCTAAGTGAGAGGGTGACTGGATGCCTTGTCAAGGTGACTTGACAGGAACTGGGCCAAGCCTACGTACTGGGGATGGAAAAATGATCATCAGGATGTGTATTAGGGCAACACAGGAAATGAGGAGACAATTGGGCAAACACATGAAAAGATGAGAAGCTGGCCAGTCTTGGTTCTGAGTGACTTCCCTGTAAGACTGTTTGCTGCAGAGAATTTGGCTTGTTTTGTTATTACTGTTTTGAAGATGGCAAGTGCTCAAGTCACGTTTTGAAGATGGCAGGTGCTCGAGTACCTTGGGGGTGCTACAGGAATGACGGAGTGGAGAGAAAGTAATGGTGATGATTGCAGGAAAGTTCTTGAAGAGGTATGAGGGAACTGGAATGTACAGCAAGAAGTGTAGGTTGGCCTGTGAGAAGGAGGTGACAACAGAGGTGTAGCTTGGAGTGAAGATGACTGTTCCATCAGAGGGATTGTATTTGATTTTAGTTTACTGCCTAGTTTATCTGCCTCAACATAAAAAAAGTGTTTTGCTTTGTTTGGCAGGATCTCACTCTGTCACTTAGGATTAAGGAAAGTGGTGGTCTTGTCATGGGTCACTGCAGGCAGCCTCAACCTCCTGGGCTTAATGATCCTCTCACCTCAGCCTCCCAACCTGCTGAGATCACAGGCACTCGACACCATGCCTGAGTAATTTTTTTTGTAGATATGTGGTCTCACTATGTTGCCTAGGCTAAAAAACTTTCTTATAGTCTACTCATTTCACCCCATTTCAAAGTGAGACTATCATCATCATCATGTGCAGATATTGTTACAGAAGAGAGCATACTCCCACCTGTTTACTTCCTGCAGAGTGTCTCTAAATAAGTATCTTTTTCATGAGGATGTAACTATTCCTAACAAAAGCCCCGTTCTACAGAGAATTCACCTCACATTCTACCTGAAGGTTGCTCTTATGAATATCCTTCATTTCTGTCCCTGCTGTTCCCTCTCTCTGTTCTCCGGAAGGGAATGATAACCTCTTCTTGCTTTGCTTAACATGCCTTGGATGAGACACTCCAGAGACAAAGAACCCAGACTGGAAAGAGTGTTTGTTAAGCAAACTATTTGTTTCTTAGCTACCTATGACCTGGAAGCCCCCTCCCTGCTTCACCTGTGCTTCAAGTTGTCCCACCTTTTCTGGACTGAACCACTGTTCATCTTACACATGTTGGTTGATGTCTCATGTCTCCCTAGAATGTATAAAACCAAAGTGTGCTCTGATGACCTTGGACAAATGTCATCAGGACCTCCTGAGGCTGCCACAGGCATGCATCCTCAACCTTGGCAAAATAAACTTTCTGAATTAACTGAGACTGAGGCCTGTCTCAGATATGCGGGTTCTCAGATCTTTCCCAGGGAACCACCCATAAAAGCCTCTGCACCCCCAGCCATTTGCTTTGTCCTTGTGTGGAACAAGCAAGATTAGAGGGAAATGACTGACTGACTCACCTGCACAGTGAAACCTTAGAGTAAGCCATGTCTTCACCTCCTAGAATCTACTGCCTCCTTCATAGAATGCAGATGGCAATCAATATCCATTAATTAATTACATTATATAACAGCCACCTATTAAACTGGCATAAACAGAAACATGCACAGAGCAAATGTCAGTAAATGTTTGCCACATATTGGTCTGCACTGTGCAGAAGTCCATGCCGTAAGTTGCCCCATCCTGTAACTTTAGGTTCTTCAAATTACTCATGGCTAATTTGGGAACCCAACCAACCATCCCGCTGAGAGAACATTCATTTGCTTTAACTTTTCCCAATAGGTAGCCTAAATAAAATAGTGAAAAGGAAACACACTAAAAAGCCTACCTTTCAGCCAGAGGCTGCTGTCAACACCACATCACTGCATTCCGCCCCCTGCTCTCTATCTCACACAGCAATCCTGGATAGAGGTATGCAAAGTATTTCCTTCTGGAGAAAATACAGAACTCTGTCTTCATTCACTGGTGTCAACATGGGCCTAAGAGCTCCAGAGGGAGAGGAAGAAAGCACACCCACCAAGTTCTTCAGTATCAAAATAGAGCAATTTATTCATGATGCCAAATATGATCTGTTGATTCTGTCTTGAAACAAATGAGCTACAGCACACAAGGTGATTTTCTTTTCCCAAAGGGTGTAAGGGTGAGGTGGTGGGGGGAATGAAATGGGTTGATGTCATCTGAACAGAATCTGAAAAATGGGGACAGAGAACATGTCCGGCTATATATCTGACACACAATGCAAAACTTCACTGATTGCCAGAATAAACATTTCTGCATTTGACAAGAAATGTAAGATTGGTTTTTGTTAAATGATGGAAAAAAAGGTTAACAAACAGAAAATGAGTAACAAGCGGACCCTTACATTTGACAAAGTGCACTTCACTTGGCTCCATGACCTATTTCTTAAGAAGACAAAAGTCACGTCCTACATTGTCATGAGGGGTCAGAGGGTTTCAGCCTGTAATGTCCTACCCTTTTGGTCCCCCTTGGACAAGGTGTGTCATGTCTGCCTTCAAGGTCAAATTTGGTCTCTATGACTTAGGCATTCCTCACTGTGTTTTAAGAGCTGTAAACAACATTGAACAATAGCATTCCGCTCAGGCCATTCCTTGGTTACAGGGATGGCTCTACTAACATTCCAGCAGCACACAGGGTGAGGAGTGATGTGCAAACACTGGAGGCTATGGAAACAGCTGTCCATGGTGTTGTTCTGATGAGAACTGGGGTAGATGTGGCGGATGCTAGCTGCATTCTCATGCTTGGTCCTGCATGCAGCCACAGGAAGGACCTCTCTGGCCTCAGGCTAGAGAAGCCAGTGATGGAGCCTGGGGTCCAAGGCCTCCCAAACCAGGCTTCTACCTAGCAATTCATCCAGACTAAAGCCAATCCTTGGAAGAGACCCTGGCTACTGACCTTCATGTGAAGATTGTCTAGTGAATCGCTTGCAACACATCCCACCATTACTATTGCACAGTTGTTTCTGGTTTGTCAAGCCTAAGTCATGTCCTGATGACAGGCTGACCTCTGACAGCTGATGCTCTGCAGAGATGGATGTATTTTTATTTGGGAGGCATAAAGACAGTGTCATTTGGTCCTTGACAAACCATACCCTAACCCCAATGAGTCCCCGGGAGGGGAAATCATCACCTCATCTGTGGATACCAGCTCCTTCAAAGATGGGTGTTGTGAAACCACTACATCACTGTGGCCTGCTTTGCTAACTGTTTTGGAAATACAGCCCAAATAAGATACTCACCTTGGAAGCAGATATTTTGGTCTTCTGAGGCTTGAATAATTCACATATCCAAGCAAAGGCCAATCAATGATCTAGAATGATCAACAGACTCTGGCTTTTGTAGGGGTTGTGGTGAATTCCAAGTTCCATAGGAAGCCCTGGCCCTTCCCTGATGTCTGATTTTTGGCTCTGCAGATGGACACCACCCTCACAATAACACCCTGTCTCACTCCTGGAACACACGCAGCAGACTGCAACACTGCCAGTGAAGAAGCAGCCCCCACAGGCCAGGCCAACTTCCTCAGCCCTTCTTCTGCCCACAGGAAAAACAAATGGGAGAAGAGGCCTTTGTCTTTGATACCTTTTCGCCCTTGCTAATTAAAAAAATAAGTCAGTGTTGGGTTATGACAATAAGAGGACAAATGTCACCTGATACAATGAAATGAAGCCCTTCAAGGAACACCATTTTTAATTTTCTTTAAAAAAAAGTACGAAGATTCATTAAAAATATATGTGTGTATATATATATATATTTGTCCTAATCTTGATGAGAGAAAGAAATTATAAAGACGGCAGAAAGTGTTAGTGTCATTCTAAGTCAATATTTCCCTTCCAGGACTAAAATCTTCCTTCCACATTCATTTTTGTCATCGTTAGACCAAGTGACATGCAGGAGCCTCTGCAATTACTAGCCAGGCCAGCTCTTGGAGAAATGACCATCACTCATAACATGGCTGTGGCAAAGATGTAGCCAACAGGCCAAATCCAGCCAAGCTGTCAGTTTCTAGGGCTTCGGCAGTACCTTTTTGTTCTGCCAACACTCCCTTGAGGCTAGAGAGCATGTGGTCCTTCACTGCTTTCCTGACAGCTGCCAAAGTATGCACACACTGAAGGATGCAAGGTTCTTCTTCCAACTGGCATGGCTGGGACCTCCCTCACTGGCTACAGAGCAATCTCACTGCTGACCCCTAGGGGTAACCCTTGTCCACCTGGAGTTTTCTGACCACCTTTCCTGAGACTGAGGGGAAAGCCAGGGAATCCTTCAAGCCCCAACTGTGGCTTCTTCAGTTCTTTTTAAAACATAAATCAAACAAAGCTCTTTCTGTCTGATGGCCATTTTAGGATTTTAAAATCGCTTTAACATGAATTTTTTTTTCCTATAAGTATTCCAGGCTCTTTTCTCTTATAAGGCATTATTTTTCTTCTGTTAAAAAGTCCCCTGTCCTACCTTCTACATAAAGCACTTATTATGCACCAGTGTGTCCTTGACACCTAAGATCTGAAGCAACCATGACAAAGGTACAGAGGGAAGGAGGGAAGGGGGAGAGAGGAAGGGGGAGAGAGAGAGAGCGTGAGAGAGCAAGGGAAGGGTAGGATGGGAGAGGGGAGAAGGGGGAAAGCTGTCCATTGGAGATTTTGTCTTCACGTCCATGTGGCTGCATCTCTTGAGGGTGCACTGAAAAACCAGACCTCATCGAAAGGTGGAAGGGGGGCAGGGAGCAACAGAGGAAAAAGACAGGAAATGCAAAACAGTTTCCATCTCAGATATAAGAAGGCCCCAGATGACAGAATTCCAACTGATAGAAAAACCAGCCAACAAAGAAGATGCTGGAAAATGGAAAGTGTTGGGATTACAAACTCGCACATCTTATTGGTATACAAACTGGTCTTTGCACATCCTTTGTGAGAGCAATGGTGCTGTCCAGATTGTTAAGGAAAACAAACCAGAAAACACCCCAAGGAAGAGGGCTGGTGTTTTTTTTTTTTTTTAATTCCCTGTTTGATCAGAAGCATTTGCTTCTCTTTTTTTGGCACAACTTTTAAAATTTCTTTCTGACCAGCCATCACAGAGCCTCTTCCGTCACCTCGAGCTGCTGACTTGCTGCTTCCTGGGCTAAATGTCCTCGGTGGAAACCATTCTCTCCCCCTTTAATAGGACTGTTCATTTGCTTCTGTTTTTGTTTGCTTTTTAAAACTTCTTGAGGCCAGGCATGGTGGCTCACACCTGTAATCCCACATTTTGGCAGGCCAAGGTGGGTGGATCACCTGAGGTCAGGAGTACGAGACCAGCCTAACCAACATGGTAAAACCCTGTCTCTACTAAAAATACAAAATTAGCTGAGCGTCATGTCCGCATGCCTGTAATCCCAGCTACTTGGGAGGCTGAGGCAGGAGAATCACTTGAACCCAAGAGGCAGAAGATGCACTGAGCCGAGATCACACCACTGCACTCTAGCCTGGGCAACAAGAGCAAAACTCCAACTCAAAAAAAAACAACAAACTTCTTGATAAAGATTATGAAACATATACACTCCTGTGGCCTGGGACAAGTTGGTTTCAGAATATACTCTAACACAAGTCAAGTTCACACATTTTGGAGCTGATAGAATTGTGTTTGAACAGAGCTGCAACCCCATGCATTCAAGGCAGGTCATTAGAATTCTTTTCTTTTTTTCTATATTTTGTGTTTACTTTCACAGATCCAGAACACACACCTGGAAGGAAAGACAAAGTACTTGTCATCTTCAGAAATAACCCAAAGATGCCTTTAGAGTGAGAGGTCAGCAAACTACGGCCCTCATGCCCAGTCTAGGTCTCCACCAATTTTTGTGAGTAAAGTTTCATTGGAACATCGTTATGAAGGATCAGAGAAGCTCTCATAACAGACTGGCATATGGACATTGGACCAATCAAACCAAAGCAAACAGCACATAGCAGAAAGGCCAGGTTAAGAACAATTCTAGGAATTAACACAGTGGGAGAGACAATTGGCAGGGGTCCCAAAACAGACACCTGCAACTGTGGGGCAGATGGCAACACAAGCCCAAATACATGATCTCTGACGATATTTGGGGGCTACACTGATGCCTGGACAGTCAGCCAGACTGCTGTTGCCTCAGAGGTAAAGGCAATCTCAAGTCCAGGGGCAAATAAAAAATCCAGATGCCCCATGGGAGAAGAAGAGTGCCCAGGAGACCTGCTGGATGGCCACCAGAGGCCCAGACTTCTCAGCCTCAGCATGGATGAAAACTGGGACTGCCCTGTTCATGGTAGGAGTTTTAGTAGCATCACTGAGCTCTGCCCACAGGATGCCAGTGGCATCCCCAACTAAGCAGTCATGTACCACATAATGACCATTCCATCAACATACCTCACAGAACACGGTAGTCCCATAAGATTATTATATCATATTTCTGCTGAATGTTTTCTGTTTAGATAGGTCTAGATGCACAAATGCTTATCATTGCATTACAGTTGCCTATAGTATTCAGTACAGTCACCTGCTGTTCAGGTATGTAGCCTGGGAGCAATAGGCTTTACTGTACAACCTAGGTGTGTATAGGTCTTATCATTTAGGATTGAGTCAGTTTACTCCATGATGTTCAGACAAAGATAAAAGCACCTAACGATGCATTTCTCAAAACACACTCCCATCATTACACAACACATGACTACAGTGACAACTTAAAATTCCTCCACATATTGTCTAATGTCCTCAGAGGTGCAGAATCACCTTGGTTGAGAACCACCAATTTAACTGAGAAAATGTTAATTAGAAGGACATTCTGGAAGGGACAAGGAGAAGGCCATTCCCAGATGGGATCCATCCTAAAAGCTTCCCTCAGCACTGGGCTAGACCCTTCAGGACATGAGCAACACACATGCCCCTCACTTAGGCATCAGCTGCCTGACTTCACTTAGGCATCAGCTGCCTGATTTCACTTATCCCCCTCCCCCAACACCCTGTTCCCTGGTAAACCAGAGGTGTTGCTTACAGAGCCATCAGACGCGCTGGCGCCCACTTTATCTCCTCGGGCGTTCCAGCACACCTCGAAGATACCGCCAGTGCCTTGGTAGCTGTGGACGAGACTTCCACTCTGCAAGGCAAGGTAACTAACTATTACTTATAGTGAGAAGGGCACCTGCAACAGATGCAGGTGTGGAATGTGCACTTCTCCTGCCCCTAATATTTGATCATGAACATTTTCAAGCATGGTGAAATTTAAGGGTTTTTAATAAGTGCTCTGGGGGATGCAGAAACATGTCTTTTGGATTTCCCACAACAGGAAGTGAATCTGATTACTACTGCCCACAGAATCCACCATCATATTCAGATATTTGGGTGGATTCTGAGACTGTGCCCAGCGAGGACTGATGGAGGTGGGAGAACTCGACAGGTGTCTGGGAGTCATCTGTCACCTAGGCTGGAGTGCAGTGGCGCAATCTCAGCTAACTGCAACTTCAACCTCCCAGGTTCAAGTGATTCTCCTGCCTCAGCCTCCCAAGTAGCTGCGATTACAAGCATGTGTGACCATGCCCAGCTAATTTTGTATATTTAGTATAAAAGGGGCTTCACCACGTTGGTCAGGCTGGTCTCGAACTCCCAACCTCAGATGATCCACCCACCTCAGCCTCCCAAAGTGTTGCGATTACAGGTGTGAGATACCACACATGGCCAGCTCACGGACTTCCTATAGACCTGTAAGGCCAGGGGTCAGACTGACTTTATGGTCTGAGTTCTTCCTTCTCTAGCTCTTTCCCTGTTTCCATCACAGCTGTTTCTCCCAATAAATCTCTTGCCCATCTAATCCTGTCTTGGTGTCTGAATGAATACAATTGACCTGAATGAATACAATTCACCTACCAGCAAGGGAATTGACAGTAATTCATCATTAAATGTATTAACATGTTGGAAATTGAAATGTAATTTTATGTTTGAAAGAAAATTGCGTAACATATGTGTAACAGAAAACATTCCAGACCTTTGCTTCTGGTTTAAAAGAGCATTAACTTGACATATTCAAGAGGTGAGGAAAATAGAGGGCTTTGAAAGAGTCAAATAAGGCCAGGTATGGTGGCTCATGCCTGTAATCCCCAGCCCTTTGGGAGACTGAGACAGGAAGATTGCTTGAGCTCAAGAGTTCTAGACCTGCCTGGACAACACGGTGAGACCGGTCTGTACAAAAATTAATTTTAAAAGTTTTTATAAAAAAGAAGAAAGGGTCATATAAGCCTTCACTCATGATTCACTAATGGTGACAGGCAGGATAAATCTAAAGACCAAGACCAGGAGGGCTGTCTCAAAACCTGTTCTCAACTGGGCTCTTTAAAGGTAGTGTCTTGAACTAAGACAGGTGCACACCAACAGTATTATAGATAGATATTTTTATACTTACAGAACATTAAAGTGGGCTTTAAGATTTCTTTTAAGAGAAACGCTAAGCATTTCCTTGATTTACAAGAAACAGCTGAAATGATTCAGTGAGTTCTTGATGATAAGCTCCTCCTAACTGATTGTATCATTTTTTTTTGATGATTGACATATTTTCACAAATCCACCCATTACTATTTCTAGCAAGGATTCCATGAACAGAGACTCTTGCACACTAGTCCCGAGATGCATGCTTCCCGGAGGGCTACCTAGGGCTGTGGGGCTGGGCTTGGCATTGGGTTGGCTCTACGCAGGGTCCACCACTTCCCTTCCTTCCCTGAGAGGATGTGGTTCACATGAGGTCCCTGGGAAGCCTGTGATCTCAGTGGACCCCTTGCCAGTGAACATTGCTCATCACCCATGAGTACACAGGGGGAATGAACTTGAGGATGTAAATGCACCTGAATGTCAACCAAGCCAAAAACACCCAAAATGAAAATGCAGATGAATGGGGGAGGGGCCATGTGATCCCTCCTAAGATTAAAGGGACCCCTTGGTTATTTTCAATAGCTCCTAGAGCATCATCACTTCTCTCTCAGAATAAAATGAAGTGTTGTACAGTCCTTTCCAAACTGCCCTATACAATCCTTCATGCAGTGCAGTACTCGTTCCCATCCCTTTTTCTACTCTTTTTAGTGGGATTCTCCTACCCTCAGGTGTGGCCCAAGATACCCACAGCAGCCAGCCACCTTCACTCAAATCCTATGTCCTTTCAGTCCATGGCAAAAGGACAACCCAACATACACACCTTACTTACTCAAACAGAAACTTTCATTTGAAAAATCTAAGTGGCATGACAACAGCAAACACACATTCCTTCCTACTCCCGGATCTTCTCTATGGTGGAGCTGCAGGAGCTGGTGTGCGTGGAGGATGTTGAGTTGGCCTCACCCCTGTTAGCTGCTCCCCCACTCCCACCCTCCAACCTCAATATCTAGAAAGCAGCATTTTGGTGATAAGTGCTAAGAAGAGGAAGAGGAAGGTGGAAGGTATCGTGCCATGAGCTCAGAAAGTGAACAGAAGACAGTGGCTCCTTCAAGGAAGAACATGTGCCAAGGTGAGGGTTTGGAATCAAATGGCCAAGAGCCCTGAGGACAGCAGACACGATGCCCTTCCTTAGGGAGAAGAGCTGCTGGAGGTGTCTGGTGAGGGAAGAGCTCACAACCCACATGGGGTGCAAGATGGACAGCATCTACTGGGTCTGTCCGGGAAGCCTGGGCTTGCTCTACTCCCTCAAGGGCACTGCTTTGAACCAGAGACACTGGAATAGTGGCTGTTCAGGCATCCCTTACTAAAAGGATTCGTATGGGTCAGGAGCTTACCTGAGTATTCCAGATATGAACATACTTGTCAAAGGATCCACTAGCCAAGTACTTTCCATCGGGGCTGAAAGCTACACTGTAGACAGGCTCTTGATGCTTCATGAGTGTGTGGGTGCAGACACCTTGCTCCACATCCCACAGTCGCACTGTAGAATCAAATGAAGCACTAGGAGGATGGGAGAAAGCCAGGAGTTGAAGACCAGGCTGGGCAACATGGTGAGACCCTGTTTTTCTTTACATATATATATTATATATATATAATATACATAAAAAATATATAACATACATATATAAAATATACATAAGATATGTATATAAAATATATAAAAAATATAAGCTATATAAAAAATATAAGATATATATCATATATAAAATATATATGATATATAAAATATATGATATATAAAAAATATAATATATGATATATATAAAATATATGATATATAATATATAAGATATATATAAAATATATAAGATATATATAAGACATATATATAAAATATATAAGATATATATATAAAAGATATATATATATTCTTCAAGCAACAGGAATTTTTGTGTTTTCTGAGACGGAGTTTCACTTTTATTGCCCAGGCTGGAGTGCAGTGGGGTGGTCTTGGCTCACTGCAGCCTCCGTCTCCTGGGTTCAAGAGATTCTCCTGCCTCTGCCTCCCAAGTAGCTGGGATTACAGGTATGCACCACCATACCCAGCTAATTTTTGTATTTTTTAGTAGAGATAGCATTTTGCCATGTTGGCCAGTCTGGTCTCGAACTCCTGACCTGTCATCTGCCCACCTCGGCCCCCAAAAGTGCTGGGATTACAGGTGTGAGCCATGGCACCTGGGCCAAAACCATGGTAACCTCAAAGGTAGGATGGTTTTGGCCCCTTCAAAGTGAGCTACCACTTTGTTTCCTCTGAAGGGCTTCAACACAGGTGCACAGACACACTTGAGCAAAATTTCTTGTTATCGTTGTGTAGGGCGGAGCTGTACCAGTTGTGCTGCCGGCCCTTACCTTGCCAACATGATGCTGGAGTTTGGGTTGCTGGTGGCAGGCCCGGTGGGGCTCCACTTGATGGTGTAGATCTCTTTGCTGTGAGCCTGAAGATCGTGGACGCATGCATCCTGCTTCATACTCCAGATCTAAAGGACACACCGGCCACAACATGAGCAAAAGCCATTCCTGCACCCGGGAATGATGTGGCATCATTCCTCCGGGGTGCATAAGTGAGGCTAATGGCCCACGGCGGGATATGGGGTGTGCAGTGGTGAGAAAGGATGCGGGGAGGCTGGGATTCTCAGTAGGACGCTGACTGAGAAATTGGAGTTCACCGGATGACAGAGGAAGGGAACGTGGTCAGTAACAAATAATCCTCATGCAAGTGTGACTGTGAGACTGACGTCAAGTGCCCAAGGCTGTCTGAGATTAAACAGCCCACCCCTTGCCATGCTGACTCTACCTTCAATGTCATGTCATCCGAGCAGGACGCCAGCAACATTCCAGAAGGATCCCATTTGATGGCATTGACCTCGTTCTGAAACAGAGCGGAGAGTCTCTTGAAAAATATATCAGGACCTGTGAGTAGATGAGGTCGCCTTCCAGCAGGGGGCAGCAGCGCGCCACCGTCGCTGCAGAAGGTCTTAGGCCTCAGCCTGACATCAAAGAGCACAGCCCAACCAGCCGTCTAGTTTCCTCTTTTTCTCACTTTGCCTTTTTCATTTATGTAAAACCACAGCCCTGTACCACACATCACCAGCTACTCTCATCCATACTTTGTTAAGAAGAAAACCTTCCCTGCTAGGAAGGAAAGCAAGTGAAGAATTCATATACCATAAAACACAGCAAATAAAACCAGTTATTTTAAAAGCTGGGCTTTGAAAATTACTTTCGTACGCACTCTTCCTTTTTTTTTCTTTTTCTTTTTTTTTAACTTTTGAGGCAAGCTCTCGCGGTTGCCCAGGTTTGAGTTCAGTGGCCCGATTCTAGCTCACTGCAGCCTTGACCTGCTGAACTCAAGTGATCCTCCTGCCTCAACCTCTAGCTTGGACTAAAGACAGGCCCTACCACACCCAGCTACTTTTTTTTTCTCTTTTGATGGAGATGGGTTGCTGAAGCTGGTCTTGAACTCCTGGGCTCAAGCAATCCCCACCTTGGCCTCCAATGTAGGTAGCTGGGATGAGAGGCAGGCACCACCACACCCAGCTTTTTGTGTGTGTGTCTGTGTGTGTGTGTGTCTGTGTGTGTGTGTGTGTGTGTGTGTGTGTGTGTGTATTTTTTACAGAGATGGGGTTGCCCAAGGTGATCTTGAACTCCCAGGCTCAAACAACCCTCTGGCCTCAGCCTCCCAAAGTGCTGGGATTACAGGCATGTGTTACCATGCCAGGTCTCCTATGCACTTTAATCTAACAGTTCCTTCCCATGTCTACACCCATTACAAGGCATTGCTCTCCTGCCGGTGAGTGGAGGTGGAGGGAGGGATAAACACAAGAAGTGAAGCCTCAGCTATTGTGGAGCTCAAGCAGGATAAGGGCTGACTCAGGTGAAAGACGGGTGACCAAAATGCACATACAGGCAGACACACATGTGCAAGGGAAATGAGAGGCAAATGCTGAGCAGCAGAAGCCACACAACACAGGCAAAATCCTGGCCAGGGGCTCCTCATCCGCTGCAAACAGCCAAGTACCTAAAAGCACAGGGTGAGCGCTCTAACCCACAGGCTCAGGACACCTGGGTACGCTGAGACTAAACCCTGGAGGATAAAGGCAAAAGTACCCAGGGACCAAGGCAGAAAAGGACACACTGGGACAGACACACATAAAAGAATCACTTGTGCTGGGCACGGTGGCTCATGCTTCTAATCCCAGCACTTTGGGAGGCCAAGGTGGGCGGATCACGATCAAGAGATCAAGCAGTCAAGAGATCAAGACCATCCTGGCTAACATGGTGAAACCCCGTCTCTACTAAAAATACAAAAGTTAGCTAGGTGTGGTGGCGGGCGCCTGTAGTCCCAGCTACTAGGGAGGCTGAGGCAAGAGAATCGCTTGAACCTGGGATGGGGAGGTTGCTGTGAGCCGAGATCGTGCCATTGCACTCCAGCCTGGGCAACAGAGCTAAACTCCATCTCAAACAAACAAACAAACAAAAGAGAACCATTTGCAGCAAAGGTTCAGCTGGGGAACAGCCTGCCCAGGAGAAATGGGGCAGGATCTTTTCTGGGGGGGTGACAATAGGGTCCCATATGCCCCAGACAGCCCAATATCTGATGCCTATTGTCCTGGCATTAACTAATTTCACACTGAAAATTAATTTTCTAAATATTTTCAAACTCCTGAGGGCTCCAATTTGGATGGTAAACTGTATGGTCATGTTACTTTCTAAGGACACAGACACTGAGTTTTGAAGGGTGTGAACGGGACAGTGACAAGCCACCTGTGTGCTCTATGTGGTATGGGTGGCCCAGGAAATGGAGAAACAAGCGTGATGGCCAAGGAATAGGCTGCTGTGAAATCCCAGGGAGGGTGGAGGGGGCTGGCTGGAGAGGGGCCTGACAGAGTGTCAGCCTGCAAAGGTGTCTATGAGAATGGATGTGTCTTCCAGGAGCAGGCTGCTGGGATGGAGGGGAGGGCAGACAAGGCCTATTGAAGAGGGGGCTGTGAGCATGCTTATGTGTCTATGAGCATGGATGTCTGTTCCAGAAGGCTGCTGGGAGAATCTGGAAAGGGTGCAGCAGACCGGTTGGAGAGGAGGCTGACAGTGTGAGCAGGCTTAGGTGTCTATGAACATGGACATATGACCCAGGAGCAGCCTGCTGGGAGAGCCCAGGGAGGCAGAAGGGGCCTGCTGAAGAGGGAGATGAGAATGTGCTTAGTGCCTGTGAGCATGAATGTTTGTGCTGGGAGCAGACTACTGGGAGAGACCAGGGAGGGTGGAGGGGGCCACTGAAGAGGGGGCTGAGAGAGTGAGCATTCTTAAGTATGTGTGAGTGTGAATGTGGGTGCTAGGCTAGCAAGAGTGACTCTCACTGCAGCTGTGGAAAGGAAATCCCACAGGCCCAGAATGTGGAGCTGGTCACCTTGGCCTGTCTGCATCCAAACTCACATAAAGGAACACATTTTTTCTTGAGAGTTGATCCTACAGCCTCCAATCCAAGTCCCAGTTCCTGGGTTGCCTCCAGAGCTGGCTTGTAGGTCTACACTCAACCCCAGTGACTTGGAGCTTTGTTTAGGGCCATCAGCCACAGTATGACCCACTTAAAGGGTCAAGTCCCATGCTGGTGGCAAGGTCTGGAGCAGGACAGTTGGGAACCAGAAACAGTGTGTGCAGCTCTCTCAAAAACTTGAGGATAGTCCAGGGTTAGAGGAGAAATAAATTTAGATCAGAAAAAGAGTCAGTTTGGAGCCAGGAGATGTAAACAGGATAACAAATGCCTGTGCTCTAAAAGTGCCTTCCTTTGGGGTGGGGAACCTTGGCCCAGGGGTGGGGTGAGATGGGCACTAGGGGAAAGAGAAAAATGGAATTTACATCAGTTAAGTTAGTGACATGATGGCAAATCTCCAGGAACGCGATCGTCCTCTCCTGCTTTAACAGGGGATCCCCCAGCTCCTAGCAAGGAAAGATATTCTGGATGCTGGTGAGAGAAAGGCAAGACGCCATGGGCCCTCCTGGGATCACTGTTGATGTGCTCTGCATTTTCTGGGAGAGACAGGCACACAGGCCAACAGCCACTGTCAGGGCTGTGGTATTCACATGGGCAATGAGAGCTCAGGAGGTGCCATGAATTATCCCAGGGGTGTGCACAGGACATGTAAATGGGCCTGGAGGATGGAGAAGAGTCTGTATCAGACTGAGGGCTGCTGTGGGAGTCTAAGTCAGGGACTGTTCCAGGAAGGCCTTAGCATGGGTTGAGGTGCTTGGCTGCACATGTCTTTAGGAAGACAGAGGCACAGGGTGTTTTGGACACTAGCCCAGGAGGCTGAGACTAATAAATGTGTTTAATGGTATACCGGCGATTGCAGAAGTAAGGTAAGAGATCATAACAATTGGAGAATTTGAGAGATATCTGATGAAAAGACCAGAAAGAGCCTCAGAGCCCACAGTAAGGAATTTGTTAAGTTGGCTGCTATTCATATTGTTGTTCCTTGGTATACAACAGGACCTTTTTCAGTCTTTGCTTGCTTTTAGGATTTTCTTTGTCATTAAATTTGATGTTTGATAACCATATGCCTAGGTGGGTAGGTGTGGTTCTGTTCATATTTATTCTGCTTGAGATTTCCTGAGCTTCTCAAATTAAATGATGTTTTCCAACAAATTTAGAAAAAATTGGCCATTATTGCCTCAAATGATTTTCCTGTTTCATTCTTTCTTCTTTCCCCATTATGCACACATCTTTAGGCTGCCTGATATTGTCCCACAGGCCCGTAAGCCCCTATTCATTTTTCAGTCTTTTATGTGTTCTTCAAACTGGCAAATTTCTGTGATCTCTAACTTTACTTCTGCAGTCTTCAACCTGCTAGTAAACCCACTGATGAAGATGGATATTTTTCCCCACCCAAATCTCAGGTTGAATTGTAATCCCAATGCTGGAGGTGGGCCCTGGTGGGAGGTGTTTGGATCAAGAGGGCAGATCCCTCATGGCTTGGTGCTGTGTTCATGAGAGTGAGTTCTTACGAGATATGGTGGTTTAAATGTGTGTAATACTCCACAGCCCCTCTCTTTTGCTCCTACTTTGGCCACGTGAGACACCTGCTCACCTTTTACCTTCTGTCATGGTTGTAAGCTTCCTGAGTCCTCCCCAGAAGCAGATGCTTTCTATACAGGTGCAAAACTTTAAGACAATTAAATATCTTATAAATTACCCAGTCACAGGTATTTGTTTATAGCAATACAAGAACAGCCCAATACACCCACCTACTAAGATTTTCAATTGCGACATTATACTTCTCAGTTCTCAAATTTCCTTTTTTAAAAAATTAATTTAAACAGATCTCACTCTGTTGCCTAGGCTGGAGTACAGTGGTGTGATCGCAGTCACTGCAGCCTCAACCTCCTGGGCTGAGACAACAGGTGCACACCACCACACCTAGCTTATTTTTAAAATTTGTTTTGCAGAGACAGGGTTTTGTTGTATTGCCCAGGCTGGACTTGAACTCAAGCAATTATCTGGCCTCGAGCAATTATCTGGCCTCAGCCTCCCAAAGTACTGGGATTATAGGTGTGAGCCACTGTTCCTAGCCTTGATTTTTAATGACGTATTTTTTTCCATTCATTGCAGATGTGCCCCATCTATTCATTTATTGTGAACATCCCTTCCTTTATGTGCCCTATGTTTTTCTCATAGCTACCTTATAGGCTTTGATGCCAAGTCCACCAACTACACCATTTCCAGGTCAAATGTTCTCAACGCACACCCCAAAGTGGTTGAATCCATCCACCTGAATTGGCCACTATAGCTCAAGCAGCCAAGGGCTGCAGAAGAAATGGTCTGCTGCTGCAGTATATTTTAATTCTAGGCATACAAGAATTGGCTCCCACATCACCTTCTCATGAACTCGAGACCAGTGACAAGAGCTCTCACTTACTGTGTGTCCCTGGAAGGTTTTGACTGGGTGGTCACAGCCGAGCCTGCACACATGGATACACATGTCTGTGCTACAGGAGGCAAAGGTCATGTTGTTCTGCCAGTCCACATCAAGGGCGGGGGCTGCAGCAGGGAGGGAGGACATCTGCAGTTATTCACTGTGTGCATAGCTCTATGGATTTACAACAATGAACAGCAGAGTCAAGAAGCCTCTTTAGTTTACTTATTTATTTATTCTAGAGACAGGGCCTGCTCTGTCACCCAGGCTGGAGTGCAGTGGCTTAACGGCTCATGGCAGCCTCAAATTCCTGGGCTCAAGAGGTCCTCCCACCTCAGTGTCCCAACCTCAAGGAATCCTCCCGCCTCAGCCTCCCGAGTAGCTGGGACTACAGGTGTATGCCACCACACTAAGCTAATTTTAAAATTTTCTGTAGAGATGGGGTCTCCCTACATGGTCCAAGCTAGTGTTCAACTCAAGCAATCCTCCGGCCTTGGCCTCTCATGCCTATAAGCCCAGCATTTTGGAAGGCCGAAGTGGGAGGTTCATGAGGTTGAGATCAAGACCATCCTGGCCAACATGGTGAAATCCAGTTTCTACTAAAAAATACAAAAATTAGCCAGGTGTGGTGGCACACGCCTGTAGTCCCAGTTACTTGAGAGATGGAGGCAGGAGAATGGCTTGAACCCAGGAGATGGAGATGCAGTGAGCCAAGATTGGACCACTGCACTCCAGACTGGCCACAGAGCAAGAATCCTGTCTCAAAAAAACACCAAAAAAAAAAAAAAAAAAAAAAAAAAAAAAACAAACAGTCCCGTGTGTGATCACAGTTTCCTTCCTTCCTTCCTTTCAAGACCTTAAAGACCCTCTCCTGCCATGTTGGCAGGGATGACAAGATGTCCTAGAAAAAAGGCTTCATGACATTTCCTGTGCCCCAGGGCCTGCAGAATCTCCTGCTCCCATGGCACAGATAAGAAGGGCAGGTGAGAGAGCTGCCCTGCCTACTCTGCACCTGGCTGCTTCCAGCAGTATCACTGCAATGAGCTAATTTGATTCTACTTCAGACAGAAAGGAGAAAAAAGGAGAGGAAGAATTTCTTGCCCTATTTTCAAGATACCTCAATATATGTAAAAAAAAAGCCTCCTGAAATCCATTAATGCATCCCACTGACTGGGAGATAATTACAGTCAACAAGAAACCCTTTGGGGATGAAATAGGACATATGCCTCAGGGCCTGTGACCAACACTCTCCCTGACTTTGAGCCTTTCTCAGGTCCAGGTGGTTCAGAACAACGTAAAGCTGAACTCCCGTTGTATAATTACAGCTGTGGGTCTTGTTCTCTCCCTTCTGGTTTCTTTCCTAGGATGGAAACTAGAAATCTGGCAACTTCCCAATGCACCAAAATGTCCAGGGCCCTAGTTAAAAGCCAGGCTCTGGTTCTGTCCTCAGAAGGTCTGACTTCACAATGCTGGACCATGTCCTGAGAGGCACTGGAAATATGGGTGACAGCAAGGGCACTGAAGTCCTAGCAACTGGGCCTCATTCCTCATTCTGCCCCATTACTGACATGCAGCTGCAGGTCAATGGCTTCCTGGAGTCTCAGCTGCAGACGCAGATGTTGCAAGTTGTCCCAGACAAGGGGGGAAATGAGCAAGATGAAGCATCTCAGGAGATCAGCAAAGTGCCCAAGACATGGAATGAGCTGGGGGTGTGGAAGTTCCCATAGCAGGTGCAACCCTGCACTCTCATCCTTTTTTGAGTCTGGGGAACTGTGATTTCAACTGCTCACTCCTATCCTCTAGCAGAGAGTGGTGGGGGTGAGAAGCTGTGGCTGTGAGTGGCTATTTCCCTTCCTCTCAGATGCTCACTGGCAGCAGGGATCACTGGCATTCCTAGGGGCCAGCAGGCATGCTGTGCTCAGATCCCTGGCCTCTCTCCACTGCAGGGGCCATGCCAGCAAAGCACTCCCTAGACTCACTCCCACCTCATGACAGAGAACTGATAAGCAAGAAAAAAGGCCATGGGATGCCAAGATGGGAGGACACAGGGGAAGAGGTGCCTTCTCAAACAATCTCCTCTTTTCCCCTGAAGACTCTGAGCAACCCACTCTCTTATTAAGGATCATCATGAGACTTTTCATATGTAGAGGACCTCTGAACCCAGCTGTGTGCACAAAACCCTGATTATCAAAGGGACTAACTTAGGGATGTGAAAAGTACTGTGTTCAATTACATGTAAAATGCAGAGAAAGGCTCTCCCTTCCTAGGGTTCATGCTAATTAAAGAGGGTAATGCCTTAAGGAGCAGGGAGCTCTGGGTTTTGAGGGCTACCCATCAACATCTGACCAGCTCTTCTATCCCTGTGCTTCCCACACAAGCCAGTGGAAATTACTTTTAGCTACTGAGTGGGCTCCATGATGTACCAGGAGAGAAGGTGGGGTTATGGCAATTCTACAAGAATGCCCAACCAAGAACTCTCATTGGTTTTCCTAAATAGTATGGTCCATTCTGTTGTTTGCCAAGTTATATTTCCCAAGCTAGCTGCAAACACTGAATTAGCCAACACTGAAGAATTGCTTCTAGGGAAAATAGAGGGTTAACTTCTGCTAGGCTCTGGCCACAATGTCCTCAACAACTGACCAATACAGAAGCCCATCTTATGTGTCTTTTTTTTTTCCTTTGCAGATGTGGTCTTGCTCTGTCATCCACGCTGGAGTGCAGTGGCACAATCATAGCTCACTAGAGCCTTGAACTCTTGGGTTCACTTGATCTTCCCACCTCAGCCTCCAGAGTAGCTAGGCTGCTAGTGTGAGCCACCATGCCTGGCTCATTTAAAAACAATGGTTTTTGGCAGAGACAGGGTCTTGCTGTGTTGTGCAGGCTGGTCTCAAACTGCTGGCCTCAAGCAATTCTCCCATGCTGATGTCCTAAAGTGCTGAGATTACAGGAGTGAGCCACTGTGTCCAGCTGTGTGCATTTCTTAAAGGCAGTCAATGCTGAACTGAGAAGAATCCAGCTTTCTCTGAATATCGATTGCCCTGGCCCTTCCTCAGTCTCTAAATGAGAGGTGCGACCCTCCATGAGTTTATTGTCCATTAGTGCAGGGACCCCATTCACTTCCCCATCCAGCTTCACCCCCAGGCAGAAGGTGTGTGTAGGAAGATATGGGTGTCAACAGTAGTCTTTTCCACAGCCGAGATCATCTCTTTCATTGCTTCCTCAGGAGCATGTTTCATGACAGTTCTTGACCCATTTTCCTAGTTCTTGTTTACAACATTGCCTGAGGTAAATGGCAAATTCCTGGTCCAGTCTCTGCTTCAGGCATGCAATTAATATACCTGGAAATGTGACAATGTGGTGAGCAGTCCAGAAGATGGTGACCAGCACTTGATGACTCTCCCATCTAAAAGGAAGGCCCCTTGTCCTCAGGCAGTTGGCCCTACTCTGAGTCAGCTCCAGCAGCCAGGATGCTTGGAACCATATGGGTGAATGGCCAGTAAGAGGGCTGAGCTATGCTGGGGGACTCTGCCCTCCCTGCCATGCATAGGCCAGTGTGCTTCAATAGCCCTAATTCTTCTGGGCCCAGTCCAACATTTTCCTTCGGAAATACTAAGAGATTTACAGGAAGCTTCAAAGGTAACACAGACAGGTCCTCTGTCTCCTTCATCCAGGTTCCTATAATAATTACTTTTTGTGTAGCTGTAGACTTGTATAAAGACTGGAAAGTTGACATTGATGCAATTTGCCTATAGAGTGCTCTGTGTCATTTTTTCACATGGGTAGATGTGTACGGCTGCAATTGAGACCCACAGTGTTCCATCCTCACTAAGATCTCCCTCATGCTACTGTATCAGCAGGCCACTGTTCCTCACACCCTTCCCAAACTCCTGCACCACTGCTCAGTCCCTGGTTTCTCTCTCTCTCTCTTTTTTTTTTTTTTTTTTTTTTTTTTTTGAGATGGAGTCTTGCTCTTGTTGCCCATGCTGGAGTGCAGTGGCACGATCTCAGCTCTTGAACCTCTTCTTCCTTGATTGAGGGGATTCTCCTGCCTCAGCCTCCTGAGAAGCTGGGATTGCAGGTGCCCACCACCAGGTCGGCTAATTTTTTGTTTTTAATAGAGACAGGGTTTCACCATGTCAGTCAGGCTGGTCTCAAACTCCTAACTTGAGATGATCCACTTGCCTCAGCCTCCCAAAATGTTGAGATTACAGGCATGAGCCACTGCACCCAGCCTCTATCATTTTATCATAGTGACAATGTTACATAAATGGAAACATGGGGAAAACACAAGCCTGCCACAGCCACAGAAGGCACTCCTCACAGCTCTTCACAGCTGTGTTCCTCCTGGAAGAGTGAGCTTCTTTCTCTTCATCTTGAACTGCCTGACACCAAACAGCAAGCAAGAAATGCCTAGACATATCCTACCTACTGATGGGAATTGGATCTACCTCGTGGCCAGCCAGATTATAGGTAAGAAGAAGCTCATGCAATTCAGAACATGCAGTTTGTGGTCTTGTTGGGCCAGCGGGGAGAAAATCCTTCCATCAGTCTCTGGGGTCACTTTGGGAAGGATTATTTTCTGCTGAAAGACAACACAAATTCCTAAGATAGAAGAATTAGAGAAACTTGGCCATGTGCGGTACCTCACACCTGCAATGCCAGCACTGTGGGTGGCCAAGGCAGGTGGATCACCTGAGGTCAGGAGTTCGAGACCAGCCTGGCCAACATGGCAAAACCCCATCTCTACTAAAAATACAAAAATTAGCTGGGTGTGGTGGCGGGTGCCTCTAATTGCAGCTACTTGGGAGGCTGAGGTGGGAGAATTGCTTGAACCCAGGAGGTGGAAGTTGCACTGAGCCGAGATTGAGCCACTCTACTGCAGCCTGGGTGATGGAGTGAGACTCAGTCTCAAAAAAAAAAAAAAAGAATTAGAGGAACCTCACTGATGTTTACCTTGGGCATATTTTTCTCTGAAAAACAGAAGTCAGATCTTTCTGCATTAGACATCCCCCCTTACTCCCCAGGTCTGCATGTCTGGTATTCTAGGGATGTGAATTTGTTACGGAACCCTTCCTGTCCGCAAAGGTAGATTTTGACATTTAAGCCATGTGATGGAACTCTAGCAGTAATGGCATTCTCACTAGACAGCTGCTTTGATTTGCACAGTCTAGAACACAGAGTAGCAATTGTCTGGCATGGAGATGACATAGAGATCACAAGCTGTAAGTGGGGTTGCCAGGGGGCAGGGGAAAGACTGAATAGGTAGGGGGTTTCCATTTTAGGGTGAAGAACATTCCTGGATGAGGTCATGCATGTGCTGCCTCCATTTGGAGCCATTTGTCTCCAGTATGCTCAGCACCATCTACCTCATCAATGGTGTTCAATTAAAGCAACACCAATAAAGAATTTCACCAGCAGCCCTAGAGGTGTATTTGGTGTAGGTCCAAAGCTGTACAGGATTGGCCACAGAAGAGATTCTCTCCCTCTCCAGGACAGCAGAGCAGAAACAGTGTCCTCACTGGGTCTCCCTTACTCTCTGAGCTGCCTGTATGAGGAAGCTCATTGAGTCCCTGCTACAGTACTGCGTGGAATAACAGATGTGGACGCCTACACATCATGCCTCAACAGGACTTTTGGCTTATGATCTTGTTTCCTGCAGGACCCATGTCCTCTGCTTGCAGTCCTCCCCAGGCACTGAGATGGGCTACGCCATCTTGGACAGTCCTGGAGGTTACCCTCCCATTCAGAACATCATTTAAGCACCCCAACTGTCCAACAAGAAAGACACTCAGATATCCTCCTGGACCATGCTCCAGGGACAGCTGATAAAATAATCAACTTTTGCTGCATACATTGAGGGATTCCCTCAAGATGGATCAGACATTCGTCATTAATGGAAGTGTCACCTACCCCCTTTTGTCCATTTTAAATCAGTCTAAAGTCATCTGGGTAGCTGAGATTACAGGTGTGTGGCACCATGTCCGGCTACCTCATCGTCCTGTCCCAACCCATCCCGTCCCATCCCATCTCATGTTTTGTAGAGACAGGGTCTTGCTATATTGCCCAGGCTGGTCTTGAACTCCTAGACCACGTCTAGGAGTCTCACTTGAGACATGAGACTCAAGTGGGCCTCACGTCTCAGCCTTCAAAAGTGCTTGGATTATAGATGTGAGCCACTGCACCCAGCCTAATTTTGAATTATTTTCAAATTACAAAACACAAACATAAAGACTCACCTGAATGAAAAGGAAACTGCTGTTTGGCTTCTCCTGTGTGAGCATCCCAAATTATTGTTGTCTGTGCTCCGCAAACAAAGGAAAAGTTAGTAATTACTCCCACAAAGTTTACTCTAGTAACATGTATCATACAAGAAAAGACAGTGAGCCTCTCTCCTTATAAACCAGGACTGTCCAATACAGATAGAAAGCAAGCCTCATGGGTTAATTTTAATTCTCTAGGATCCATATTAAAAGTTAAAAAAAAAACTGGTAAAATTCATTAACAATCTTTTATTTCACTCCCATACGCCTAAAATAATACCATCTCAACATGTAATCAGTGTCAAACTCTTACTGCACTATCTGCATTCTTTTTCTTCCATCCTAACTCTTTGAAGCACGCCATGTTTCACACTTAACAATCTGGACAGCCACATTTGATAAGCCCATCAGCCACAGATGCTGGTGTCTGTTTTAAGGTCAGGGCAAGCCTAACCAATACTTGCAAGAATACCAAAATTGGTGGAGATTCTTCCTCATCCCCAAGTGCAGAAAACTGTTGAAAAACCTAGAACAAATCATCTCTAAAGATATTTTGGCACTTTTCCAAGTGCAGGGCTGCATAAAAGGTCATTTCTAAAAATGCCCTTGCCTGTGATTCCAGGAACTGGGGGCACTAGAAATGGGGACAGAGCCACTGGCTTGCACTGGGGCTGGGCATCAATGTACAGGTCTGTCAGGATGGAGAAAAGGTGATTTCCACCTCAAAAAATGAAGTAGATCATGAATTCTTATGGACTTATACTGATGCTGGGAATATTATTTAGAGAAGCAGTTCAATGAATAGCATTAGAATGTTGTCTTCATCAGCTGGAATTTTCAACTTAATTATAAAGTTTACATCTCTCTGTCAGTCAAGATTTTGCTTTAAGACTGAGTCCTATTTTATGTTGACTGTGAGCATTTTTAAAGGAAACTAAGAAGTGTCTTTGAAACTTGCTAATCTTGGGTTTTGGGTCAGCCCTCAACCAATTAGCATTACTTTATTTGTTGGCATATAACTTAATTTAGCCATGTCAAAGCCATCTAACATTGCAGAGAATATATAAACTCATCATACTTGTGCCTGTGTCCTATCTGGGCAGTACTGGATGAGTTAACGAGAGACAGAGAGAGAGAGAGAGAGAGAGAGAGAAAGACCTTATGAATGAATGATTTCTTAACCTAGTTATATCCTAGTGCAGGGGTCTGCAAGCTTTTTCTGTCAAAGGCCAGGTAGTAGGAATTTCAGGCTTTGAGGGCCATCTGGTCTCCCTTATAACTGCTCACCTCTGCTGTTGTAGCATGAAAGCAACCACGGACAAGTGTCAACAAAGGAGTGTGACTGTGTACCAATAAAACTTTACTTAAAGAAACAAATGAGGGGCCAGACTTGACTTGTGTGGGCCACAGTTTGACAAATGCAATTATGACTTCTCTAGGAGTGGGACAATGTTTAGAGGTCAAGACTGTCATTTTATAATAACTTCGAACAGAAAGCTGTTACTTAAGGTTTTCAAGTTATCCCGAAATCATCACAAAATGCAAAGTCTCGTGGAAGCCTGAGCATTGTTCAGTTGTAGAAACACAAATTGATGTAAAAACAAACATCTTTTATTTTCTCTCTCAATTCTACATAATGATTCTTTTCTGAAGCCATGGCTTAGAATTCTTGCTGAGTCTTGGGAATGCACAACTGTTCCAGGAAGGCTGTTTGGGGTCACCATTCCAGCTAGCCCTGCCACTGGACATAGGAGGAAAGTAAAATCCACAGAGGCCAAGATTTCTGGATAACTCAGATTCAGGGCTGTGATAAAGTCTGCATCCCCTTCCTCTTCACCCTGGGTTCCCACCCTACTGATGGCTTTTAGAGGAACCTGGAGTTAATGCCACCATGGCTCCCCGTAGACCTGCCCAGGGGCACAGCAAGTCAATTCTAAACGGCTTCGTAGGCCATCTGGGGAGTATGCCCTTGTGCCCAGGTTGCTAGATTCCTGCTCTGAGAAATCTACTGTCTACTTTGAGAAGCAGCAGTTGATCAAATGAGGATACCTGAAGCCTGAGAAACACACACAGCCTGTGCTACTCAAGTTCCTCAGTGGGTGAAAGTTCAGGCAGTGCAGGCCTCACATCACATGGCTCCTTCCAGCAACTAACAAATGCAATGTGGAGATCTTCCTCTCTCTATCACTGAACCATGTAGCTCAAATAAAGTGAAGTTTTGCACAGAGGTCTGCAGAACAGCAGAATATATTAAGAGATGATATGCTACATCTCTTAATATATGAAAGATCAAAACCACAAAAATAAAGCCTAAACAAATCGTTTTCATTTCTTAAATGGAAGCACAAAGCCTAAGAGATCCAAGAAGCCAAGATTTTGAGATTTAAAAAAATCATTGGCCAGGCAAAGCGGCTCATACCTGTAATCCCAGAACTTTGGGAGACCGAGGCAGAAAAGTCACTTGAGCCTAGGAGTTCAAGACCAGTCTGGCCAATATAGCAAAAGCCTGTCTCTACTGAAAATATAAAAATTTGCTGAGCATGATGGTGGGTGCCTGTAATCCCAGCTACTCAGGAGGCTGAGGCAGGAGGATTACTTGAACCCTGCTGAGGCGGAGGCTGCAGTGAGCTGAGATGGTGCCACTGCACTCCAGTCTGGGCAACAGAGTGACTCTGTTCCCCCACTCCCCACCCCCCTAAAACAGAAAAAGAAAAATAGTAAATAAGCACCTATAGATAAAGGGGCATATTTTAAGCTAATACTCACTTTGTCTACACCAGCACTCAAAACATAATTCCCCTTTTTGTTCCATTTCAGAGCGAAGATGGGGCCTTTATGTTGGCCTAAGGTGCTGGCCAGGTTACCTGTTAGTAAAAACAAACATGTTGATTCTGTTGTCATGGTCTGTTCAATCAAGGGTTATGTATGGCAGCTCCTCTTACCTGACCCATGCAGGAGGGGTGCAGGACTTACCATTTTCTGTCCATATTCTTGCGAAACCATCATATGAACCCATAGCCAATAGTGTTCCATCACTCTGAGGGCCAGAAAGAGATACAAACTCAGAAAAACAGCTTAGGAGTGGGAGCACCAAAGAAGCTCAGAGAGCCTCTCTCAGGATCCCAAGTCCAGAGGGTTCTTCAGGCAATAGTTGGTGCCATGCAATGTTAGCACACCCTGCTCTTAAATCAAATATGCGGCATGAAGACCAAGGAGACAAGGGAGCAATGAAAACACAATGGAACCATTCACCACTTTGTGTTCTCTAATGAGTGACGGAACTAAAAACACCATGATGAAAGTTATCATGACGCTTTGCAGGAAATAAAAAGCAGTGGAACTGTGTGCATTCCATGTGTCAATGCACATGACACTTGTTGCTGAAATCCTAAGGTGAAGAGGCACCTTTCCTAGACTGCACCTCTTGTCTCCCCAGGAGAAATACCTCATAGCTCCCAGCCTATTTCCCCACCATGAGACCACAGGCTCATTTTGCTAAGACATGTTCACGATGCAAAGATATGGCTACCAAACAACCAGCTCACTGTCTGCCTGACGTGGCCTTATTAAGAGCTGTTAGAAGCCAAGACCACCTCTGTGGCTAGCCCTCCAGGTTGGGCCTGAGTACATGGGACCACCTGCCTCCTATGTCTGCACACATTCCATCACTGCAGCCCATGCCTGGCTGGCAGATTTTACCAATTTCAAAGTGCCCAGGGGGTGGAAGATGCTTACGTTCCAGTCCAGTGAGGTGACATCTTTATTACTTGGGACGTCGTGCCCCCCTTCTCGTATACAATGTCTCAACACGAGCTGGGTGGAGCCCCCGTTGCTATTCTCATTCAGGTTCCATATCCTTGCAGTTGAGTCTCCAGATCTACAGAATAAAAACACAGAAGCCTCCGGTATTTGGTTCAAATGGGATGAGAAGCTCACTGCAGCTTGCTCTCTGGCCAGGTGACATTGTAGGCATGTGCTCTTCTGTCTTTATCATACCAGTGGATCCCTGTTTCCCTCCTTGTCATCTTTGCATTTGGTAAATTTAACTGCCTTGTATTGCTCCTCACTCCATGGAGAAAATGACTCGGAACTAAGGCTTCTTCACAATACGAGACACGTATAGAGGTGGCTCAAAGAGCAGCCCATTCCTGGGTCTGCCCACATTGGGATAAGAAGTGGAGTGCACGTTCCTCAAGGCAGAACTCCAGGGAAGGGCAAGCAGCTTGCGTCTCCCTGACCCTGGAGTGCCCCCATCCTGACTTCCTTACCCAGAGGCTAGCAAATCACTGACAGGGTTCCAGGCACAAATGAACACCTCAGACTCGTGGCCCCGAAGGACTGTGGCTTTGTTGGGTGGAATCTCAACATCCCCATCTATTTCCATTGGCTTTGAGTGATTATCTGTCATAGGAAACACAAAGAGACATATGGCTTACCAATACAAGAGGAAGGCATTTAAAGGGCACTTTTGTTTCCAGAAACACCTTGTTTTTACGTACTAAGTAACACTACCTCTAACGAGTCTAACTAAATTGTGGCTTTTGTGCAGTTTAGCAAACATATCAGGTTGCTTTATAATTTCACAGTCTCTAAACCTCACTGAGAAATAAAAACAGAGAATCTGACCTGGTGTGGTAGCTCACACCTATAATCCCAATGCTTTGGGAGGTCAAGGACAGTAAACTGCTTGAGGCCAGGAGTTCAACACCAACCCAGGCAATTTTGCAGGACCCCGTTTCTACAAAAAAATTGCAAGATTACCCAGGCACAGTGCCATATGCCTGTAGCCCCAGCTACTCAGGAGGCTGACATGGGAGGATTGATTGAGCCCAGGAGGGAGAGGCTACAGTGAGGCATAATTATGCCACTGAACCCAGCCTAGGGGACAGAGCAAGGCCCTGTCTCTAAACTGCCTCTCCAAAACAATTATTTACTCTTTGTGAGTGAGGCCAGCAAATTATAGCTCATGGACAAAATCTAGCCACCAGCTGCTTCTGCATAAATAAAGTGTGGCTAGCAGATAGTCATTCCGCAACTGCTGTTCTCATGAAAAGAGGGGATTAGGATACAGACACCCACAGAGGTACAACCACGTGTGGACACAGGGAGAAGACAGCATCCACAAGCCAAGGAGAGAGGCCTAAGAAAGGAACCATCCCTGCCCTCACCTTGATCTCAGACCTCCAGCCTCCAGAATCATGACAGCAAATTCTTAAACTGCCTGGTCTGTGGCCTTTTGTTAAGGCAGCCTGAGATGACTCTCATAGCTGCTTTTGTACTATGACAGACTTCAGCAGCTGTGACAGGCTGCATGACCCTCAAAGCCTGAGACATTTACTGTCTGTTCCTGTATAGAAAGTTTGCTACCCCCAGTTTATGCTCATGAGAAAGCAGCAATATAGCCTGATGATCAAAGAATTAGCAACGGTTAACAGTTTCACGATATGGTGAGGAATTAAGCATGTTTCGTTATGTCCTTCATCAAGGCATTTTGACTGAAAACTTGGGAAAGAGAAGCAATGTGATCTTAGGTTGGTTACCTGCCACTGAGGAAGGAGTATTTTCTACATTTAAAAAATAAAAAAATCTCTTGCCATTCTGCTTGGCTCAAGAACCCTAATAAAAAAAGTTACGTAACAGTGAAACTCTTCAATGTTGGTGACTCTTTCATTCTCTGAAGGTGTCATCTGGCAGGAAGAGAGGAAAAATGTCTTTCCCCATATAACAGAGTTGTTCATGGCGATGGCAAGAGGGCAATTGGTATACTAGATAGCTATGCAGTGGTTGGGGTCCTGGTAACTGAGAGGAGGCACAGCTGTCAGAGGCTGCACTCTTACCAAAATGCAGCCTTCAAAAACTCCTGCCTCAATAGGCCAGGCTGTGGCTCACAAACAGGGTGCAAGGTCTCATTAGGTGGTCATGGTGGCTGTTCTAGAATTTCTGCCAGGGTGGACTAGTTAGGACTGGCCACATGCACAGGGGAGACAAAGCCAGGCACTCAGGGGTAGCGACTAATGCATTGACACAGTCTAGACAGAAGGTTGCAGGGAGAAGCACTAAGCACCCATCCAATGCCTATAGTTGGGAGTTGGTCTCTGGGGGAGGTATAAACCAGGTAAGCAGCCCATCTGGAGCAGTGGTCAGTGGGACGGCTAATGTTCTGGGCAAGGCACATGTATGTCACAGCACAATGGATTCCAAGCATGGATCCCAGGAAAAGGGCCCGATTGTCTCAGCTGTACTTTTTTTTTGTTTTTGATTTTGGGGTTTTTTTGTTTGTTTGTTTGTTTTTTTGAGATGGAGTTTCGATCTTGTTGCCCAGGCTGGAGTGCAATGGCACAATCTCGGCTCATTGCAACCTTCACCTCCTGGGTTCAAGCGATTCTCCTACCTCAGCCTCCCAAGTACCCGGGATTACAGACATGCAACACCACACCCAGCTCATTTTTGTATTTTTAGTAGAGATGGGGTTTCTCCATGTTGGTCAAGCTGGTCTCGAACTCCCGACCTCAGGTGATCTGCCCGCCTCAGCCTCCCAAAGTGCTGAGATTACAGGCATGAGCCACCGCGCCTGGCCTGCTCTAGTTTTAAATAGCTCTTCTGGTGTGAGAGTTTGTTGGTAGAAGGTGCACTAGGTCTGAGCAATTTTTACACTATGACTATTCAACTGCTAAAAAATAAATTTAAAAAATCCAATACCTGTCTTTATAGGACACCAAGCATCTCTGAGGGGCTGCTGATAAGAAGGCTGAGTGTCCACTTTACACTGGTGTGTAAAGTGACCAGGAATGCTGAACTGAATGCTGCCTTTCTTTGATCTTATGCACAGTGGGTTCTATAGAGGCTCATGAATCACACCTCCTCTTCTACAGGAATCAGACAAATATCATCTAATAACCATGTGTACAAAGGTGGCTTAGGATGACAAGTACCAGCTGGAAGTTTCCTGTGTTTTTGATAAAACAAGACATTTCATTAAAATGTACCTTTCTGTGGCATCGTTTCTGCATGTAGGAAGTTCCCACTGGTAAATACCATCATTCCTTCCAAATGTCCCCTGCCTTCAAACACCAAGCCCATGGGCTCAAGTGCTGTTTTCTTATTGGAGCCACTTTCTTTTGAAAATTTTCTTTTTAGAGACAGGGTCTGTGCTGTGTCACCCAGGCTACACTGCAGTGTCTTGCCTTGATGGCTCACTCCAGCCTCAACCTTCCCAGCTCGAGCAATCCTCCTGCTTCAGCCTCCTGAGGAGCTGGGACTACAGACACATGCTGCTACCCCCAGGTAATTTTTAAAACTTTTTGTAGATACGGGGCCTTGCTATGTTGTCTTGAACTTCTAGGCTCAAGCGATTCTCCCACCTGAGCCTTCCAAAGCAGTGTGACTACAGGCATGAGCCACAGCTCCTGTTCCATATCAGAATTCTCAGTCCAGGCAGAACCACCAGGACTTCAAATTGAAGGAGCCTAACCTGGGAGTGCCATAGATTAATGGTTTTGGGCTCCTGGGTAGGTTCATTTATGATGGAGACAAACCTTAAATGCCATGGTCAGGAAAACCAGCCTGGAAAGTGGCTACTTTTCTCGCAAGTAGCAGGAAAAAAAGTTCTTTCTACTTTTAATTTTTTGAGACAGTGTTTTGCTCTGTTGCACAGGCTGGAGTGCAGTGGTGCTATCGCAGTTCTCTGTAGACTCCACCCCCTGAGCTCAAGTGATCCTCCCCACTCAGCCCCCTGAGTACCTCGGACTACAGGCATGTGCCACCCCACCTGGCTGATTTCTACATTTTCTGTAAAGCCGAGGTCTTTCTCTCTTTCCCAGTCTGGTCTTGAACTCCTAGATTCAATCAGTCTTCTTCCTTGGGCCTCCCAAGTGCTGGGATTATAGGCAAGAGCCACCGCATCTGGCCAAAAAAAAAAAAAAACAGTTCTTAGCCGGGCGTGGTGGCTGACGCCGGTAATTCCAGCACTTTGGGAAGCTGAGACAGGCAGATCACCTGAGGTCAGGAGTTTAAAACCAGCCTGACCAAAATGGTGAAACCTTGTCTCTACTAAAAATACAAAATTAGCTGGGTGTGGTGGTGTGTGCCTGTAGTCCCAGCTACTGGGAGGCTGAGGCAGGAGAATTGTTGAATCCTGAGAGGTGGAGCCTGCAGTGAGCAGAGATCACACCACTGCACTCCAGCCTGGGTGACAGAGTAAGTCTCCATCTCAACAACAACAACAACAACAACAACAACAATAACAACAAAAACAGTTCTTGAGGATTAAAATAAAACTGGACTTCAGGTCTGGCCTCAGACTGCTGAGACATAACAGTGGTGGAGAGCACAGGCTGCCTTGCTGCAATACAAGGGCACTCTGCCAATGGAACAGTGGAAACACTGCAGGTAGCCCCAGGCCCAGGAAATAGAGCAGAAGGTCTATCATTCAGGAAGGTGTCCATTGGAGGAGGAGCATCAGTGGTGGGCACACCGACTATTTATAAATGGGAGTTCCTCTGCACAAGCTGTCTTGCCTGCCACCATGTAAGGCATACCTTTGCTCTTCCTTTACCTTCTGCCATGACTGTGAGGACTCCCCAGCCATGTGGAACCACGAGTCCATTAAACCTCTTTCCTTTATAAATTACCCAGTCTTGGTCCTGCCCTTGACACATGGGAACTAGAGATCTGGGTGGGGATGCAGCCAATTCAAGGTGAGATTTGGGTTGGGATGCAGTCAAACAACCATATCCACTGTGAAAACAACTACAGCCATTTTCTCAATTTTGAGAATCTGAGGGTTGTGCCCCATGTCACTGCATAGTCAGTGTGAAGAACCACATGCAGGTCCTAATGAAACAAAAGCCATCTACCTGCAACTGGCCAACTTGGTTGAAGGCATGTAGGTGTCTCTACTCTGTCCACAGCCAGGGTTAACATGGACTCCACATTAGAGTTTCTGTTTTTTTAAAAATTGGTACAGAATAAAACTGAACTTCAGGTCTGGCCTCAGACTTAACAGTGGTGGAGAGGACAGGCTGCCTTGCTGTATTGAAAATTTCTTCCTTCATAGACGCCAACTTCGGAAACTTCATGAATACAAATTACTTTCTGTGATGTAAGACTGTTGTAATTGTCCGTTCTCATACTGCTAATAGAGACATAGCCAAGACTGGATAATTTATAAAGGAAAGAGGTTTAATGGACTCATGGTTCCACATGGCTGGGGAGTCCTCACAGTCATGGCGGAAGGCAAAGGAAGAGCAAAGTTATGCCTTACATGGTGGCAGGCAAAACAGCTTGTGCAGAGGAACTCCCATTTATAAAACCGTAAGATCTCATGAGACTTATTCGCTACTACCAGAATAGTAGTGGGGAAACTACCCCCCATGATTCAATTATCTACACCTGGTCCTGCCCTTGACACAAGGGAACTAGAGATTTGGGTGGGGATGCAGCCAATTCAAGGTGAGATTTGGGTTGGGATGCAGTCAAACAATCATATCCACTGTGAAAACAACTTCAGCCATTTTCTCAATTTTGAGAATCTGAGGGTTGTGCCCCATGTCACTGCATAGTTAATAAATGACCTGTAGGTACAAGCTGGGTATTCTCTTACTCTCCTTTTCCTGCCCCACAATCATGGACTTTATAAATAAAAAGCCAGAATATCTTTTCATTGACCCAAAGCAGACAACCTTTATGTCACACTATTTTAATAGAAGAGACATTAATAGTCTAGGAGAGCTTTCATTAAATGCTAGATCTGATTCTCCAGCCAGAGAGGCACTTTAAGAATTTGTTCACTGGTGCACACATGTATATACACACCCTCCCACCCACTAGTGCACCATTCATGGAACATTTGCATGCTCTGAACTTACATACATGCTGAAGTGGCTTCTCTATGGGTTTATAGAGCAGTAGTATGTCCAAGTGGGGCAGGTTCTCTGGGTAGAAATTCAGACTCACTGACTTACCATGTACTTGCTGGCAATTACCTAACAGGGAATGATGTTCTGGGATTTTGCAAAGACCAAATAAGCTGATGCTCAGTTTTTGGGGCCCAGTGCCCTCGGCAGGAACCATGAACTCAATGATTATACCACAATTTGGCCAAAAACACTCAACATGGAGGGCTGGAGGCTGAGACTAAATTTGTCCATGAATTAAACACTTTTGTTTATGATGGGCCATAACCATGTATTATAGGAGAGTTCTCAGACTGGCAGTGCACACAATTTCCTGAAATTGAAGATGAGAGTAAAGAAGGTCTGGTTGAAGGGTTGTGATGGAAAACTGGAACGGGAGCTCTTCTGGGTAGATTGAAAGCAAACAATAAAGAGCAGCTACTAAGACATTTATATCAGGTAGGTTTTTAAGAAGGCATTCAGACTGACCCAGATTTAAAAGAAAACAATGAACCCAGAGAGGCCCACCAAACTTCCAGAGCCTGCGCACTCACTGATTTCATGTGCTCCATTCTCTTCCCCGTTCACTGTGGCCTCTCGGTTCTTTGGAGGATTTTGCTGGGAAATAGCAGCTGGGGTCATGGTTGCCGCCTTTGCCATTGCTGATGCCTCTGTGGCTGCTGCACTGGCTTGCTGCTGAGTGAGCTTCTCTCCAAATGCCTGCTGCCGCATCTGCACCACATCAGGAATCACAGCAACTATCAGGGACAGGGACTCTATAGGGCGGCTGTCGAACACTGTGCCATCCTGGGGAAGCAAGCCAAGGGACAGCCATCAGCTCACAAGGGTGAGGGCTCTGGGAATGGTCTCTACTCTCTGGGCAGGAGAGGCACGGGGAAGTGGAGCATAAATAGCTGGCTCCCAGCAGCCAGGGGGCCACGGGGGAAGTAGCATAGACCCTGTTAGATATGAGTTCTAAATTTCTTTTCAAAGAATCAATATGTCAGTATGTTCAATTTTTTACCTTCACTTTTAAACTTAACTTCCTCACAAAGCAACCTTTTTCAATTACCTACTCTACCCTGACTCATTCCAATTACCTACTCCACCCTGACTCATTCAGATTACCTGCTCCACCCTGACTCATTCCGATTACCTACTCCATCCTGACTCATTCCGATTACCTACTCCATCCTGACTCATTCCGATTTTCTGCTCTGCCATAACCATTTTTCGTGCCAAACCAATCACCCTGTCACTCTCTTGAAATTAGCCAATCGGAATTAGTTTAGCCTGTGTGGTCTAACCCTAGCCAATTGCGGAACGACACAGCAGGAGGGGTCACGTGCGTCAGGGATAAGAACCCTTCCCCTCCCTTGTCCGAGTGTGCGCTCACCATTGCTCCATCTGTAAGGGGTCACCCTTCTACAGAAGTAACTTGCCTTGCTGAGAATTAAAAAGAATATTTTATATTCGAATGCTATTTCTTTTGCGGCACCAAAACTTTATATATAACAATTTCGGGGCTCGTCCGGGATTACATTTCCCCACTGGGGACTGTCTCTGACTCTCTCTGGTGAGAAGTCATGCCCCACCCCTTGTGGCGGTCTCAGGGGTGAAAAATCAGAACCCACCCTGTGCGAGGAATAACCTGAACGCTCAGCAACACGCGGGAAAAAAAATTAAAAACTTGCCAGCATCCTACCTTAAAGGATCCTCACATACTGTGGCGATTACTCTGTGCACAGACCAGGGAAAGAAAAGCCAGGGGAGCTGGTAAAGTATTTCCTTGGTGGTCGGGACCACGATGAGAAAGCCGCAGGGGGTTCAGTGAAGTACCCCTTGGTCGGGGGCGGCTTAGAGGTTAAAAAGAGGTGAGACATCCCCACTGTGGGGGACTGAACCTCACACAAACTTCCAGTAGTAGAAAAGGCAAGAAATTTCCAGTGGGGAAATTGAGCCTCAGCCCAAAACACAAGAAATTTCCAGTGGGGAAATTAAGCCTCAACCCAAAAGGCAAGAAATTTCCACTAGCGGAAATTGAGCCTCACCCCAAAAGGTGAGAATTTTTCAGTAACGGACATTGAACCTTGAACCTGACCCCAAAACCATCAAGAAGGGAAATACCCCAAGCAAGACAGGGAGCAGGGAGGATAAAGATGGTAACAAAGATATCCCCCCAATACCTTCATAGGTCTCATGCTAAAACACTGGAAGGATAATGAAAGGACTAAACATAGGAAAAAGCAACAAATGATAAAATAGTGCTCTTTTATTTAGACTCAGGGACCCATCCTCAAATCCTCAATTTTCTGGCAAAAGTTTGGGTCAAACGAGGATGTAATGTGTCAGCTTCTAATCTGACACGTTAATGCTAAAAGTCCAGTGTCTCAAGAAGTAGGCTACGCCCTTTGTTGGAGGCAAGGACTTGCCCTCCTTTTTCCCTTAATAACAAGTAGGGAAGAACCTAATCTGGCACCTCAAAATGAAAAATCAGAGGAGCCAGCTCTCATGCCTAAAGATTCCAGCACATGGGATCCCCTAGTCTATGTTCCCCCATTCAGTGTCCCCAGTCTTTCCCCTCAGACAGCCACGGCCACCTCAGATCCCATTCCAAATTCCCCCTCTACTCACATGAGCCCTCCTCCTCATAACCCTGACTCTTAGGAATTACCATTCCACCAGCCTGTTCTCTCCCAACCTAAATACCCCTCTCTAAAATGACTCCAGCATGAGGTAGATGAATGTAAAAAAGATATTCAGAATTTTCCATTTCCCTCTGTACCTAAGAGGTCAGCTTGGACCCTCTTCCCTTTGAAAGAGGTACCACAAGGCAGGGGAGGGGGTGGGGGGGCAGGCATTGGCTTTGTAAATGCCTCCCTAACCAGTTCGTAAGTCCAGAATTTTAAAAAGGGGCTTAAACTGCTACTAGATGACCGTTATGGAGTGGCAGACCAAATTGAACAGTTCTTAGAACCTCATTTATACACTTAGGTCATGTTAATATCCATCTTGGGTGTTCTTCTTTCAGGGGAAGAAAGAATAAGTAGCTCCACTTCCGCTGGTCCCTCCCCTAGGGGAAGGAGAAGGAGAGGGGAGAACAGCGGTATAAGCAGCTGGTAGAGGAAGCGAAACAACAGCAGAGAGAGAGAGAGAGAAAGAGAGAGGAAGAGACAGAGACACAAAGAAGGGGTCAAACAGACAGAAAGAGAGAGACAGGAAGTCAAAGAAAAAGAAAAAGAGAGAGATAGAAGTAGTAAAGAGAAAACAGTGTACCCTATACCTTTAAAAGTCAGGGTGAATTTAAAACCTGTAATTGATCATAATGAAGGTCTTCTCCATGACCCTGTAACATTCCAACACGACCTTGTTGTCAGTATAAACAAGAGCGTAGCCCTAAAGCACTGAGGCCACTGAAAACCTGTAGCCTTCCTAATCAAAAATCCTTAACCCAGTAAACCCAGAATGGCCCAAATGCATTCAATCTGTAGCGGCAAATGCTTTGCTAACAGAAGAAAGTAGAAAAATACTTTTAGAGGAAACCTCATTGTAAGTACACCTCACCAGTTCAGAACTATCCTAAATCAAAAAAAAAAAAAAAAAAAAAAAAAAGCAAAAATGTAGCTTACTAACTCAAAAATCTGAAAGTTTGGGGCTATTCTGTTAGAAAAAGATCATTTAACATTAACCACTGATAATTCTCTTGACCCAGCAGGTTTCCTAACAGGTTATCTAAATCTTAATTAATTACCATAGAAAGGTCCAACCAGACCTAGGTGGAACTCCTTTCAGGTCAGGACAGTAAATGGTTCCTTCGGGGTGACAGAAGGAAAAAGACATAATGGGTATTCAGTAAGTGATAAGGAAACTCTTGTAAAAGCAGAGTCAGGAAAATTGCCTAATAATTGGTCTGCTCAAACATGTTATCTGTTTGCTCTCAGACAAGCCTTAAAGTACTTACAGAACCAGGAAGGAACCATCTATACCAATTCTAAGTTAATTTGGACTAAACAATCTCATTAATAGCAAAGGATAATTGAAATCACAAACTTACACGGTTTTCAACAAAAGTAAAATTTGCTAAAAGTGAACAGTGTAACATGTATTATCCTAACTTCTAATCTTGTGGCCTTAGGCAGTCTAGAACACAGACATGAAGCAAGTTGCTTGGAAAAGAATGGTTATCAACGTTGAGAAAAAAAAAAAAAAGGCAGGGGGAGAATTTATATAAAAAGGAATGTTATATAGTAAATTCTTGTCCTAAAATAAATTAACTAGTTATTTAAAGAAAGGGATGGATGCAACAAGTCAGAAAGCTAAGGCAGGTCAAAGAATTGTCTGTGAAAGTCGTGGAAAAAAAAAAGGTATAAAAGGGAATTTATGCAAGAAATATTGTATAATTTAAAAGTAAATAGGACTCCTAAACGTGGAACTACAGAAAAAACAGTTTATGTGCAAAGTGTATAAGGAAAGTAAAATATACCTTTGGTAAAAGGATTATAAGGAGGCATAAGAATGTGGATTTTTACCTACATTAAAAGGGTAAAAATATATATATTTTGTTTTAACAGTTTAAGCAAGTTTTGAAACGTTAATTGTAAAGGAAATTCTGTGTGTAAATATATTGGATAAAGTTAAAGGGGTATCATTCAGTTTTTTTGTGAACTGGACATTAAAATAAGAGCACAACAGGTTTTTCTTAAAGCATTAACCTGCTCTTTAACAAAAATCATGAAAGGTTAAGAAGAGTCTATGAAAATCTTACCTTATGGTCAGACATTAAAAATTGAATAAATATGCCTACAAGGTTTTATTAAAACTAAGTTTAACACTAATAACACCCTAATATAAAGGCGAAATTTAGCTTATCTGGTATAAAAACCATACAGGAAGCACTGTCAAATATAAAATGGTGTTTGGCTTTCTTTGGTCTAAAAACTAATAAAAATAGGTGCTAAAGGAAATTTCTCAGTAAGAAGGCACCAAGGACTATAAAGCCCACTGCTGACGTCCCCACATTTAAAACAAAAGGTCAATTTCATACTTAGTTTATCTTCCACTTTCCTTTCCCTGAAAACTAAAGTCTTTTAGCACAGGTACCACTCCTAGAATTTCTGGTAAACCAGCACCAGCCTGAGGATCACATTCTCATCAAAGGGTGGAAAGAAGGAAAACCCCAGCCAGCCTGGGAAGGAATCTACTTTGTGCTGCTAACCATGGAGACTCCTGTTCATACAGTGGAAGGGGATGGATTCATCACACCCGAGTCAAGAAAGCGCCACCCCCTCCAGAGTCGTGGGGTGTAGTCCCAGGGGAAAACCCTACCAAACTAAAGCTAAGAAAAATTTAACTCTTTCATCTATTCTATTTCTCTTTCTTCTTTGCTCTATTGCTGACCTAGTTATTAACATAACCTAGTCAATTTCGCCTCAAACTATTGCATTTAATGCTTGCCTTGTTATACCCCTGGGGACTTGCCAAGTCAAAGACAGCTCTGTACTTCAGAAAAGTACCTCTGTCCCTCCTGACTCTCCTCAGACCGAGCATTAGTGTATTGGGACCACTTAATCCAGAGAGATTTCAGTAAGGCCTCAGTGTCAGCCAGGGGTCTTGCTCCCCCATGTAGAGCTTTTATGCCATAGTTGGTCCAATGATCTGTGGACCATTAAAGAGCAAAAATGGACTGCCCCAACCAGTTTTTGTAATTTCCTAAAACCATACATTCATTTTACTAGAGGAACAGCCCTCCCTGCTAACTGTCAGGTAAATCAGTGTAATTCTATACAGGTTATTATCTCAAACCCTCAAAGTTCTTCCCCATTCCTAAGCCCGGTTCCCTTCTTATGGTATGGGGGCTGAGGTTTCAAGGACAAACCCTGTCAGATTCTTTGAAATGCGTTTCTTTGATCCCCCACCACCTGCAACTTCCTCTAAACCTTCTTCCAAAACCTCTCACAATGGAACAATTGTTTCTCCTCCATCTAATGACAAGACCAAGATAGCTATTGTAAAATGTAAAGACTTAAAACAAACTTTGGCAATTAAGACAGGATGCCAAGATGCAAATGTTTGGGTGGAATGGATCAAATATTCTGTCCACACATTAAACAAAAGCAAATGTTATGCTTGTGTGCATGGCAGGCCAGGGGCCCAGATTGTCCCCTTTCCACTAGGATGGTCCTTCAGTCAACCAGGCATGGTCTGTATAGTAGCTCTTTTCCAGGATTCTACAGCCTGGGGTAACACGTCATGCCAAGCTCAGTCTTGCTATATCCCAAAGCCTGGCACCCTGAGGGTCAGCCCGAGAGCCATCCAGCCTCCGTTTCCCAACACTAAGTTCACTTCATGTCTCTCAAACAGGGAGAAAACTTAGCATTCCTTGGAGACCTGAAGGGATGCAGTGAGCTTAAGAATTTTCAAGAGTTTACCAATCAGTCAGCCCTTGTTCATCCCCAAGTGGAGGTATGGTGGTATTGTGGTGGACCTTTTGTGTGGTGGTATTGTGGTGGACCTTTACTGGATACTCTGCTAAGTAACTGGAATGGCACTTGTGCTTTAGTCCAATTGGCTATCCATTTCACCCTGGCATTTCATCAACCAGAGGAAGGAAAAAGAAGACACTATAAAGTGAGAGAAGCCCCTTAAGGGTCTTTTGACTCTCACATCTTTTTAGATACAATTAGAGTCCCACAGGGAATACCAGTCAATTTAAAGCCCGCAATCAAATAGCTGCAGGATTTTTGTCAATATTTTGGTGGGTGACAATTAATAAGCATGTAGATTAGATCAATTATATTTATACAACAAACAGCAGTTTATTAACTACACTAGAGATGCTGTTAAAGGAATAGCTGAGAAATTAGGGGCTGCTTGCCAGATGGCTTGGGAAAATAGGATAGCCTTAGACATGATATTAGCAGAAAGCGGAGGAGTTTGCTTCATGATTAAAACTCAATGTTGCACCTTCATCCCAAACACCACTACCCCTGATGGAAGTATAACAAAGGCATTGCAGTGTGTGACTGCTCTATCCAATCAGTTGGCCAGCAACTCAGGGGTAAATGACCCATTTACAGGATGGTTAGAAAAGTGGTTTGGTAGAAAGGAATGACAGCCTCAATTCTTACTTCCCTCACAGCCGAAATGGGTGTACTTATTCTTGTTGGGTGCTGTGTCATACCATGCATCCATGGGTTGGTGCAGAGGCTCATAGAACCAGCACTTACTAAAACCTCCCTTAACTATCCTCCACCTTATCCAGAGAAGCTTCTTCTTTTGGAAAATTAAGCAAAACAACTAAGCCAAAACATGTTTAAAAAAAAGTTAGAGAAGAAAGAGCTGTAAGAAATACAAGGGGAGGGGTGGTTAGACATGAGTTCTAAATTTCTTTTCAAAGAATCAACATGTCAGTAGGTTCAATTCTTTACCTTCTACTTTTAAACTTAACTTCCTCATAAAGCAATCTTTTTCAATTACCTGCTCCACCCTGACTCGTTTGAATTACCTGCTCCACCCTCATTCTGATTACCTGCTCCACCCTGACTCAATCCAATTACCTGCTCCACCCTGACTCATTCTGATTACCTGCTCCACCCTGACTCATCCTGATTACCTGCTCTGTCATAATCATTTTCTCAGCCAAACCACTCACCCCGTCATTCTCTTTAAACTAGCCAATTGGAATTAGTTTAACCTGTGTGGTCTAACCCTAGCCAATAGAGGAACGACACAGCAGGAGGGGCCACGTGAGTCAGGGATAAAACCCCCTTCCCCTGCCTCGGGTGTGCACTCACCATTGCTCCATCTGTAATTTGGATGTAATTTGGGTGTAAGGGCACACCTTTCTATAGAAATAACTTGTCTTGCTGAGAATTAAAAGAAAATTTTATATTTGAGTGCTATTTCTTTGGAAGCACTGAAACTTTATTCATAACAACCCAGAGCCCAGGAGCGTGGGGTGAATGATTCCATGGTGGGAAAGGGGAAGGGAACATGGCAAACTGTTAAGAACTAGGTGTGACCACTGTTCGGAATGTCAAACCCAGTTGGGGCATTCAGGACAAAAAGGCCATTTATTCTGGACAAACTGTGGTATCCCTGATGCAGTGATTCTCAGTGAGGGGTGACTATGCCTCCTTGGGGGTAATAGGCAATGTCTGGAGATAGTTTTGGTTGTAACAACTGAGGAGGAGGAATGCTCCTGACATCTGGTGGGTGGAGCCTGGGGATGCTACTGAACACCCTACAGTGCCCAGGGCAGCCCCACTACAAAGACTCAACCAGCCCCAAATACTGAGTGCTGGGGTGGAGAAGCCCTGTCCGGGTGCTTCCTGACTGTGCAAAATCTCTGCAAATGTCCACCCATTATACGGGAGGGTAATGCTTCAGAAGCCCACACCATTCAGGCCTGGATTGGAAGTCCATCTGTTCATGAGATTTAATAAAATAGGCACTTGCTGCTACTTCAAATGACTCGTTGGGTTCAGGGTTAGACTAACTAGAGCCTTGACATAATTAACAACATCATTTCATTCTGATTCACGTTTTTTGTTTTTTGTTTTTAACATTCTTTGATTCTTTGATTTCCATCTACCAGAGAAAACTTTCCACACACATTTAAATATACAGGAGGAAGTTCCTTCCTTGTGCAGCATGCCAAATACTAAAATCACATGAAACTGAATATGCCTTGGGGTAGTGTCTGGTGCACATGCAAAGACGTTTTTATACTCCCCGAACTTGAACAACCTCAGAAACAAGGAAGAATTGAAAGGCTCGTGTTTCAGTTGAAGAATAACTAAATGAAACACCATCCCAGAAGATTTCTGATTACAAGACACTATTTGAAATAAGGAAAGCAATACAACCCATGTAAACAACTAGCCGCATCACCTCAGGCAACCTTGGCTCCTGATTCTGGCCATGGAGTAGGCAATGGTGACTGGTCAAGACACTTTCATACCCTGCTCCTCCTTCATATGTGCACACCCAAATAAACAAGCACATCACAAAATGCAGTAACTGTCTAAGACGGTAAAAACACGTACTCTTTTTTAAACTCCAAGAGCGCACTCTCTCTCTTTCTTTAGAGACAGGGTCTTCTTCTATCAACCAAGTTGCTGTGCAGTGGTGTGATCACAGCTCACTACAACCTCAAACTCCTGGCCTGAAGCGATCCTCCCACCTTGGCCTCCTAAAATGTGGGGATTATAAATTTGAGTCACCTCCCCTGGCCTGACTTTAATGACTAGAAACCACTGAGATAAATGAGATGGTGTTTTATTGGTCCTCAGTGTCCTGGCATCTGGAGTGCCAAGGAATGGAAGCTATGAAGGTTTCTCAACAGGGGAAAGGCAGAAGGCAATGAGCAGAGGAAAATGGAGTCACAGCACCCTGAGACCTGAGATCTTGCTGGCCTCAAGCACGTGTCCTCCTAGTGAGGCAGGAAAATAGGGTGTGCATGCAGAGAACATAAGGCTTATTCACACTTCAGCTATGACAGGAAATTTCCTCTCCATAGCGCATATACTGAGTAAATGACTTGTAACTTTACTTCTTCATCTCCATTTACACATGGTACACACCAGTGGAATCCTCTGGGGGTATTTAAACTTTCAAAAATTCTGTAATGGGGCCCTTGAGCCCCTGTGCTTTCAGGGCCTCTCCTAAACTGTGGAGTGTAATTTCATTTTCAATATATCCCTTTATTCTGTTACCTGGGGGGGCGTCCTTGCTCCCAGAGCTCCCAAGATGGTGGCAGGCCGCTTCCAAAATAGCAGTGGGCCACTTCCAAGATGGTGGCAAGCCTCGTGTTCCCTGACCTGGGGTTCTTGGCCTCACAGATTCCAAGGAATGGAATCTTGGGCCATGCAGTGAGTGTTATAGCTCTATTAGAAGCCGTGGGTCACAGAAGAGAACCATGGAACCTAGTGACTAGTGTTCAGCTCGATTAGGATGAACCCAGGCACTTAGCCGTGCAGGAACAATGGCAAGCCTTTAGCCTGATCAGGAGTAGCAATGGGCACCTCACTGAATCAGAAGCACAGCAGACACCCTGCCAGATCTGGAGGGATGGAAGTCAGCGGTAGGTCTGCGACTGTAGCAAACAGCAGTGGTGGACTGCGAGTGAAAGCTCAGCTCAAGCCATAACACGGACCAGAAGAGTGCACTTGCAAGATTTAATAGAGTGAAATAGAGTGGAAAGAGAGCTCTCATACAAAAGGAGGGGACCCAAAGAGCGTAGCCATTGCTGGCTGGAATGCCTGGGTTTATATCCTGACCACTGCCCCTCCCCCTGTGCTCTCAGGTAATAGATGATTGACTATTTCTTTACCTCCTGTTTTAGCCTAATTAGCATTTTAGTGAGCACTCTTTACTATCTGACTGGTCGGGTATGATCTAAGTTGCAAGCCGCTTAAAGGTGAATGCAGTCACCTTCCCAGCTAGGCTGAGGAATTCTTAGTTGGTCTAGGAAATCCAGCTAGTCCTGTCTCTCAAATCCTTCCTTGCTTTGTTTGTGCATCTTGTCCAATTTTTTTCTTCAATATGCCAAGAACTTGGACACACCCATCAATAATATATTTTGGTGAGCCAGCCAGGAGAAACTCCAGGAGAAGGTAGCCCCAAAGTTTGAGATTTATGTTTCTCCTTCTCCTTTCTGCTCCGTACAAGAGAATCTTTCTCCCTCTCTTTTCCCTTCCAACTCCGGACCCTTGGGCAGCAGTGCCTAAACATGGAAGCAACTGCAGGTTTCTGGCTCTGCCAGTGAAACTAATGGGTTTCCATGTGGAGAAGCCTGACTGCCACTGCTGGTTTGCTTAAGAGACCAGGGTCTTTTTTGTTTTTTTTCCCCTTTCCTTTTCAGTCTTTCAGTGGCTGTTTTTTAGTAGCTCCTTGAAGATTGAGGGCGATTGGCTGGGGCCACTCCCTGCTACTGCCTGAAGGCCTAGGAATGAATGGGAAGTTATAACTGCCCTGCCCAGAAGGGAGATGGACTTTTTTAAAAAAATATTTTCTGGATGTGGTCCTGATCCCTACCTTCGGCATGGCTCAGAGAGAACTTGCATATGTTTCTGGTAACTTAAAGCTTCTTTTCTTATGCTAAATTATTTTCTTCCCCTATTAAACTGGCTAAGGGCAAAAGAAACCCACCCAACCTCCAGTTCTTATCATTAAAGTTCATGGAATGGCAAGCATGGGAAAGTGTGCTAAGTATGCTAAAAGGTGGGGATTACACCTAGGTACCAAACAAATGCTCATAGTAGGCTCTGGAGGGAAAGCAGGCACTGGTGCCCACCTAAGGTCAGAGACATCTGACACTCTTAAGATTGGGCCCCACAGGAAGACACTCCAGGGGATCCTGCAGACCTTAACCTGCTCAAAGGGGACACTCTTGGCAGAGGTTCTGAGGTCTAGTCATAAGCTCTTCTTAGAATTTTCTCTCACAGTTGCAATGCTGCTTGTTTAGAAAACTGTTCAGAATCTGAAGTTTGGTGTCAAATGGGAAAACGGGATGGCGTATGTATCCAGGCTTTTGTGCTGCTGTTGTTAGCAGGGGGCTTGGTTAACATGTGATGCCTCCTTTCATATACTTTGGCCCCAGTGCTCTTTGGAATCTGGGAGGTTTGGACTTTAAAAATCAAACTGCCACAGAGACTGCTTTACCAGAAATTTTGATGCACAGCCTTCACTGGATTATCTATGTAAAAAGTAAAGCAGAGGCTCCTCTTCAAAAACTTTCCTCCCCATCTAATTAGGAATTAATAGTAACTTCTCTTAGAAGCAAAATTTATTCAAAGACCTGTGCTAACATTCTTAAATATCTGCTAGTCCTAATAAAGAAATCAATGTACTTTATGTTCTTAGCTCCCAGAATTTAGCCTAAATATTTGCCCTGGCATGCTTATGCTGGTCCAAGCAAGCATTAGGTCATAGCATGTTCCTCTTCCTTATTTAAACGTCTTTTTACCTTTCTCATCATTCCACAAGTTACTTCTTGCTTCCTTTGTTCTCCTCTACCTTTGCCTCTATTAAAAAGTTCTAAGTTGCTAGCCAATAGGGACAAATATAGAATGTGAGGTCCCATTCCAGCCAGTGGAAACCGGACATGGCAGTTAAGGTGGATGCGTCAGGTTATAAATAACCCTGTCTCCTTTGTTCAGTGTACTCTCATGGCAAAACTGCTGGCAAGTCTACCCTTTCTGCAGAAAGTAAAAAAATGGCCTTGCTGAGGAAATTAAATTTATGTTTATGTGCTATTTCTTTATGGCACTGGGGAACAAGCATTGCAAACATCTATTGGGGCAAAGTAACAATGGCAAGCTTCTATTGCTATCTCATGGCCAAGGTTCTAAGGGATTGGATCATTGTTTATGTATGTGTATCCATGTCTAGATGTGTTTATTTGTATGTAGACTTATTGTTATATGTTGTGTCTACCAAACTGACTTATAAAAGAGCACTCATAAATTAAGTAAATAAGTCTAGGCAATTTTTAAGTTCATGTGACTTAACTGTAACTTTACTAAACAAGCTAGTTTTACAATCATTGGTGGAACAAAAAGAGAAATGCCCTCAGAATTGTCAGCATATATTTTGTCCAAATTTTATGTCTGTCTTTGCTACCTGTGACCTGGAAGACTGAAGCCCTCTCCCTGCTTCAAGGTGTCATCCTGCCTTTGTGGACCAAACCCATGTTCATTTTACATATGTTGATTAATGTCTGATGTCTCCCTTGTTAAACTAAAAATTAAGTACAGTGAATAGGATAATTGTTTTAGGTAAACTTTTAATGTAAATTAAAATTTTAAAAGTTATTTTTGATGATCCTTTAATATCCGAGTTATTTCCAATTAAGACAGGGTCGTAAAATAGGGAAACATGTTTCTAAAATTGTGGAATTGTTCTTATCTATAAATGCTTGCAAGTGATAGTTCAGGATTTCTTGCTTTTTAGGATTTCACTAAAGTTTTAGGTTACTAAGGATAAAAACTCTAGGTAACATGTAATTCTGTATAGAAAATGTGCCAGAAAGGGTTATGTTACTAGTGGAAAAAACAATACTTTTGTCTAATTCAGAACTTATCTAAAAGTTAAGTTCAAATTACACATTTGAAAAGGTTAATTATGAAACAATGTAGTAAGTAATCATTTACAAAGGGATAAAAATGTGGAAAAGGTTGGGTATTTTGGGGTTTTTTTGAGATGGAATTTCGCTCTTGTTGCCCAGGCTGGTATGCAATGGTGCAGTCTCGGCTCACTGTAACCTCTGCCTGCCAGGTTCAAGCAATTTTCCTGCCTCAGCCTCTTGAGTAGCTAGGATTACAGGTGCCTGCCACCCTGCCTGGCTAATTTTTTGTATTTTTGGTAGAGACAGGGTTTCACCATGTTGGCCAGGCTAGTCTAGAACTCCTGACTTCAGGTAATCCACCTGCCTCAGCCTCCCCAAGTGTTGGGATTAGAGGCATGAGCCACCACACCTGGCTGGAAAAGGTTTAAATAATAAAATATTATTTAAGACATTCTTAGAGACATTTGGCTAATTAATACTTTCATAATTAAAGCTTTTAGTCTTGATTACTGGTCATGTACCTAAAGCGAATTTCTCAGTTGCACAGGATGCATAATGATATTGGTGAGCTTGAAGATATTAAATTGTGTGTCAAGAATAAAATATTCAATATGCGGGTTTTTTAAAAGCCTAGGTAACACTGTAGCCTCCCAGGTAAATTGAGTAGGAACATTTAGGTTTGGTCTGCTGTTTGTTTTTGCTTCTAGTTTTCATTCACTTGCTGTCTATTCTCCACAGGCTTTGCTTGAGTGTATGTGTATATGTACATTGTGTGTGTGTGTGTGTGTGTGTGTGTGTGTGTGTGTATCCATGATGTCTTTTAGTTCCTATTGGAAAGCTTCTTTTTCGTTCCGCGAATATTTTGTTTCCTATGTATTTCTAGCAAGTCATCATTTGTTCCATTTACCTTGAATTTCCAAGCTACCTTTATTGGGCCTGCAGAAATTAATGGAGCACACCAGCTTTCGATTCTTAAACTAACTTTTTGGATTTTAGGCCTCCTGATACTTTAAGTGTGTTGAGAATACTCTCATCAATAGAATATAAGTTATATTTCTCTCTCTCTCTGCCTAATTTCTTGAAAATTTTTAAACTATTTGGGAATATTCTTTTTTTTTTTTTTTTTTTTTTTTTTTTTTTGAGACAGAGTCTCTTGCATTTTGCCCAGGCTGAGTGTAGTGGTGCAATCTCAACTCACTGCAACCTCTGCCTCCTGGGTTCAAGCGATTCTCCTGCCTCAGCCTCCCAAGTAGCTGGGATTATAGGCATGCGCCATCATGTGCAGCTAATTTTTTATTTTTAGTAGAGATGAAGTTTCACCATGTTGGCCAGGCTGGTCTCGAACTCCAGACCTCAAGTGATCCACCTGCCTCCAGCTCCCAAAGTGCTGGAATTATAGGCGTGAGCCACCACGCTGGCCTATTTGGAATATTCTGGATTCATGGCATTGTATTTGTTTGCATACAGTCAAGCAGGGTCACTAGAGCTGACCAGAAACCTGCCATGCCGGCAAAAGGGTAAGAATTTCTTACCAGTGAGTCTCTGGTCTCTGTGGTAACTGGTTAAATGAAAGGCAAAAGTCACTGTTTATCTTCTCTGGAAGTTTTAATCAATGCAAAAGAGTTTAATTAATTGATTTAATAATAATAAAAAGCTTAAATCAAATATTTCGTCTGAAAAGTAAAAAGTGCAATGCCTTGGGCAAGGACTTCATGTCTAAAACACCAAAAGAAATGGCAACAAAAGCCAAAATAGACAAAAGGGATCTAATTAAACTAAAGGGCTTCTGCATAGCAAAAGAAACTACCATCAGAGTGTACAGGCAACCTACAGAATGGGTTTACAATTTACCCGTATGACAAAGGGCTAACATCCAAAATCTACAAAGAACTTAAACAAATGTACAAGAAAAAATAAAAACAACCCAATCAAGAAGTGGGCAAATGATATGAACAGACACTTTTCAAAAGACATTTACGCAGCCAACAGACACATCAAAAAATGCTCATCATCACTGATCATCAGAGAAATGCAAATCAAAACCACTATGAGATAGCATCTCACACCAGTTAGAATGGCGATCATTAAAAAGTCAGGAAACAACAGGTGCTGGAGAGGATGTGGAGAAACAGGAACACTTTTATACTGTTGGTAGGACTGTAAACTAGTTCAATCATTGTGGAAGACGGTGTGGCAATCTAGAACTAGAAACACCATTTGACCCAGTGATCCCATTACTGGGTATATTCAGAAAGGATTATATATCATGCTAGTATAAAGACACATGCACATGTATGTTTATTGCGGTACTATTTACAATAGCAAAGACCTGGAACCAACCCAAATGTCTATCAATGATAGAATGGATTAAGAAAATGTGGCATATATACACCATGGAATACTATGCAGCCATAAAAAAGGATGAGTTCATGTCCTTTGTAGGGACAGGGATGAAATTGGAAACCATCATTCTGAGCAAACTATCACAAGGACAGAAAACCAAACACCGCATGTTCTCACTCATAGGTGAGAACTGAACAATGAGAACACTTGGACACTGGGTGGGGAACATCACACACCAGGGCCTGTTGTGGGGTGGGGGAGCGGGGAGGGAAAGCATTAAGAGAAATACCTAATGTAAATGACGAGTTAATGGGTGCAGCACACCAGCATGGTACATGTATACATATGCAACAAACCTGCACGTTGTGCACATGTACCCTAGAACTTAAAGTATGATAAAAAAAAAAATGTAATGCCTTTTACTTAGTTCATATGACTTGAGTAATCTTTGGGAAATAAAGACAATTTTAAAAGTTATTGGTAAAATACAATTCTCTTCAAAATGTAAATAAATATATGGTCTAAATTATGTCCAAATATTAGGTTTGCTAAATGCTTTAAGTTTATAAGCTGCTTCTTTGTCTTTTGAGAATTGTTTAACTTGCCTGCTTTCCAGCTAGGTAAGTCCTGGGGACATGTGGAGTTGGCCACACCCCTAGCTATGCTGGAAACAATCAGATCTTATCAACACCTAGCACATAATTAACATAACAGGTTTTATGTTAAAATTAAATTGCTAAGAATCAACATTGTAACATGCAATTAAGACTGCTAGAAACAGTTTTACATGCAAGGTGTGTAAGAACAGTATAATTTTTTTTTAAAATAAAAGGTTATATGAAAGGTTTTCACTTCTTTAAAATTTCCGAGTCATGATTTTGGCAAAATACATAATTTATGGTAATCTGAAATTCAAAAATCTAACTTCAGTTTCAATGTCTTTCCTAATGCCTGGCTTTTTGGATGGATCACAGGGCCCCTGAAAACATCCAGAAAAGAGGTAAACAGGATTATTTGACGTTTAGATACACAGGACTGCAAAAATGATGTTCAGTCTTTTTTAGGTTATATTTTTGTGAATAACACTAATATATGTTCCAAAATTGTACTGCGTTTGTAAAATTTTAATGTCTAACTATGTTTATTATGTTGTTGTTGTAAACCACAGAAATAACCAAATTTCCTTGTATAAAGCTGCTAACCGAAGCAGAACAAAAAAATTAATCAAATATCGGCCGGGGGCAGTGGCTCACACCTGTAATCCCAGCACTTTGGGAAGCCAAGGTGGGTGGATCACAAGCTCAGGAGATCCAGACCATCCTGGCTAACACGGTGAAACCCCGTCTCTACTAATATACAAAAAAATTAGCCTGGCATGGTGGTGGACACCTGTAGTCCCAGCTACTCGGGAGGCTGAGGCAGGAGAATGGCGTGAACCCAGGAGGCCGAGCTTGCAGTGAGCCGAGATCGCACCACTGCACTCCAGCCTGGGCCACAGAGCAAGACTCCATCTCAAAAAAAAAAAAAAAAAAAAAATGAAACAAACAAACAAAAATCAAATATCAGGAAAATACTTTGTTGGATTTTCATGTTAAAGCAGCTGATACTGAAATTTTTTAAATACGCAATTCGAATAAATTCCACATTCTCAGTCACATTACCTATGATAACCCATTAATCAGTGCTATACACCTAATTTGGAAAAACGTGATATTCAAGAGGATACATCTAATGTTAATTAGGCATGGACTCACGGAGAACCAGGAGGATGCCCACCTTGTCCCTCCTGAGTCCTTAAAGCTCTTATTACTAAAAGTTCTGCATGCCATGACTCAGCATGGAAAAGATAAAATAACCCAAATTGAATACATTGGTGTGGTAACTTACAAATTCTTCAGGTACATTTGGTCAGCTGGTGGGCCATGTTATAAAGGAATTTCATTTAATTGTTATTTTCAATGCATGTTCTGGTTGAAAAGAAGTTTTCCCCTGCAGGAGGGCTGATGTTATAACAGCAAATTATTATGCTACGGAGTATTTTCAGCAGGTAAAGAAAGCTTTTTATGATTTGGATCTTCTGAGAACATCAAAGAAAGACTGCTTTTGCCATCCACACTACAATGTACATTGTGCACATGTACCCTAAAACTTAAAGAACACTTTTACACTGTTGTGTTTGGGACCTCGGGCTTTGGGCTTATGGTCTTGCAACTGAGAAGCGTCCCTCCATGCTCTTGGAACTGCACACCTGTTGGAACTCTTAAGGTAAAACTAACCAGGGAAATTTCTCTCAGGAAAGAGATGGCATCCTTGATGTGAACAGCTTTTCCCAAGTTCACAGATTAAGACTTCTACTATCAAGAAACTCTTATCTTTGAATATTTTCTTTTGCTTATGCCTCTATGAACAACTGGAATGGAAAAGGAGTCTCTTATGTGCACTTACAGGACATACATTTATTTTTGAAGGAGTTTGTAGCCAGCCTTATATATGGATGTTTATCTTTGATAGATAAAGGATAAAGGCCTAATGCAGGTAAGAAACTTTAATGGTACATACTTTGCCTTGTAATCAGTCAAAAACAAAACATTGGTTCACTTCTCTTAATGTACCTCATGGCTTAAAGAGAACACTGCCAGGAGGCCTTCAACTCTTCTAGAAGGGAATCATTTGTTAGGTCCTTTTTCAGGGGGTTAAAGTAAAACACCAATGACTAAAAATGTGTTTCCCATAATAGGCTCTATGGCACATTCTATGGTAAAGTCTACAGTTACACAAGAGACTTTAAATCCTCCTGTGAAAGTTATGCTAAATAATAGAATTGGCTGCACAAAGAATTACGTGTGCAGCTCCTGGCACTTGCGGCCTATGGAGAAATACATCAAATGAAGAGTATACAGATTCAGTGGTAGGAGATTGATGAACGGACTGCTTAGAAAATGAATTGACTATTTAGCTCATTCTTTGATCTACTTGATTTTAGGAGGTTTGGCTTATGGGGACCTTATGTAAAGAACATACTCCAACGTCTTGGTATTATACTCCCAATAGTCATAATAATAGTCTCCCTGATGTGCTGTGTTCTCTCAAAGGCTTTAAATGCTTTCCTGTAGCCATCTCTAGAATGTCAAATGGTCTCTCTTCAACTGGAATGACAAGAACTGAAAGAAAGGTGCCACCATGAGGACAGTATAACCTATGAATAATGTGCTGAGACTGGAAATCCAAAATTATGGTAAATAAGAGTGGTGATAGAGCCCCAGGTTTTGGTCACACTTTTACCTAAGTGAGAACCTGATCAAAAAAGGGAATTTTTAAAACAAAATTCTGGGAGATCATTGTTTTGGACTAAGCTTGTGCAATAGGCCCCAACAGACAAAACCGAACCAAAATGCAGTCATTTGTGCTAAGACTTTAAGGAAACACATAGATCCCAGAACACACCACAAGCCAGTTTTTGCTTTCCTCCTGCAAATCTCTATAACAAACATTCCTGACAGCATAAGTATCCACCCCCTGAAGTTCCCATTATATCTTTTAACCAAATGCATTTCCTCTCTCCTGGAGACCATCAAGCTTCAGATGATCATGCAACAACAGTTCCCTCCACTTCCAGGTGAAGACAGCACCCCTGGCCATTAAGGAGCTATCCTGCCTCCACTAGACACAGCAGGGTGAGAGTTCCATGATCCCCAATAGCTCAGAACTACGGCACAAGCCAGCATGAAGCAGTTACAGAAAAAAGACCATTGGTCCCTCTGCCTCACATAAATATTTATAAGGATCACATTTCTTAGGGGGGAATGAGGCAGGGAAATAGGATCTGGAGGCAGGGAACATAAGGTCGATTCGCACTTCAACTATGACAGGAAATATCCTCTCAATAGAGCATATGCCGAGTAAGTGACTTTGTAACTTTACTTCACCCTCTCCATTTACATAGGGTGTACACCAAGGAACCAATGTATCCTCTAGAGAGTATTTAAACTCCCAAAAATTCTGTAATGGGATCCTTGGGCCCGAATGCTTGGGCTTGGGCTCCCCGACTGTGGAGTGTACTTCCATTTTCAATAAATCCCTTTGTTCCATCCTTGATTATTTGTGTGTTTTGTCCAATTCTTTGTTCAAGACACCAAGAACCTGGACACCTTCCACTGGTAACACTAGGATAAGGACACTGGTTGGTGCTGCGCAGGGTAACTTGAAGATCCCAGGAATCCAATATGAAGAAGGGAAAGAGATGGACGGGTTGCCAGGGAAGAAAGAGCATGAGAGAGCACAGACACCAGAGTTTTTACAGCTATGGCTTTGTGCAAAATGGCAGGCAAAAATGTAAGAAACAAATGAGCTAGGTACAGGGGCTCATATCTGTAGTCCCAGCACTTTGGGGGACAGAGGTTGGCGGATCAGCTGAACCCAGCAATTTCAGACCAGTGTGGGCAACATGGCAAAATGCCTTCACCACAAAAAATACAAAAATTAGCTGGGTGTGCTGGCATGCACCTGTAGTCCCAGCTAATTGAGAGGCTGAAGCAGGAGGATCATGTGACCCCAGGAGGCGGAGGCTGTGGTGAGTTATGATTGTGCCACTGCACTCCAGTTTGGGTGACTGAGTGAGACCCTGTCCACCCCACACCCGCCCCCCACAAAAAAAGGAAAGAAGAAAAGAGAACAGGATATATTACTTTGTGATTTTTCTAAAAGAGGTTTTTAAATCATGAAAAGAAAGCAACATAACATGCTGCAAAGGAGAAAGGTTTTTAAGGGTGAGACCGGTTCCCAGAAAGACAGGATAGAGGGAATCCTGGAAAAATCCAACTGCCAGGTAGAAAACAGAGAAGTTAGGCAGAATCATGCATCTGGGTCAGCGTAGGAGAAAAATGGAGCTGGGGACTGAGGAATCAATAACACGGACTGCAGGCATAGTGGCGCATGCCTGTGGCCCCAGCACTATGGAGGCTGAGGTGGGAGGATCATTTGAGCTTTGGAGGTTGAGACTGCAGTGAACTGTGATAGTGCCTCTGCAGTCAAGCCTGGTTGCAGAGGAAGACCCTGCCTCAAAAAACATTAATTTAATTTAAAAATAAAACAGACACAGGTGAAGGTGGCAAGAAAGAGAGTGGATTCCAGAAGTTCCCAGAAGTTGAGAAGATCTTCACTATAGATTCCTGAGACTACAGCAGAATGGGGCAAGACAGGGAAAGGGGTGTTGTTTAAAACCAAAATTTGTATAAAACTGGCACAATAGCTTATTGTGGTACAATCTAAAAAGCGGGATGGGATACCAGCCAAGTGCAAAATTTTAATGTGGGTTTATGATTCCATCCTCCCACCCCATCAGCTCTACAGCGATCCTTGAGGTTCTCTTTAACACAAGAGCTATCACCTCTCTGCCCTGATGTAGCCTCTGGTGATGCCCTCTGTCAGGTTCCCAGGAAACACAGCTTCAACCTACTCCAAGAAATGAAGAAGACAGAGCAAATCATAGTATGTGCAAGGCAAAAGTCCACTCTGAAGCCCAGAGCAGTTGAGGGTTTGCTGCATCATTTTCAGATGTGGCAATGTAATTGTTTCCATCATTCAGCAGCCAGTGATTCCACGTTTAAATAAAATACACAGACCCATGTGGGAGGGGCACTGGAAACTCGTTACTATGTATACACACAACACATCAATAAGGTGTTAACACAAAGTGGGGTGGAAACGAGTGTTCTTCCGTTATTTATTTATTTATTTATTTATTTATTTATTTATTTATTTATTTTAGATATATGGTCTCACAGTGTTGCCCAGGCTGGAGTGCCCTCGGGTGATCACAGCTCACTGCAGCCTTGACCTTGTGGGCTTAGGCAGTATCATTCTCTCGGCTCAGATTCCTGAGTAGCTGGGACAACAGGTATGTACCAGCACACCCAGCTAATCTTTAAATTTTTCTGTAGAAATGGTGTTTCGCCAGGTTGTCCAGTTGGTCTCAGACTCCTGGCTCAAGTGATCCTTCTGCCTCAGCCTCTCAAAGTCCTGGGATTACAGGTATGAGCCACTGCACCCTGCCGCCGAATTAATCCCAAATGCCTGAGGGAAATGCATTTTAGCTTCTAATGTGTTCCAACCTCTTGCACCTTCCCAGGGCTCTGCTGTTTGGGGGCCAGGCCCAGCAGCTACATACCTTGTTGATGCTTATCTCAGCCTCTACATACTGCAGTCCCTTCTGGAGAATGGAGATGAGGGCAGACGGTGGCACTAGTGTCCCATTGATGTTGGACTGGCTGATGTGGCTCTCGATCCCAAACGTGAAAGCCGAGTGAGAAAAACCTGCGGCAAGAGAGGAAAGCTGACGTTGAGTGAGACCCAAATTGAAGGAGGGACGCGCAGCCATTGAGATCTGAAAGTGGCCTGCAGATTTCAAACACATTTAATTTGTGGGCTAAGACAGCACTGTAGGATGCCCAGGGGCCCTTCTGATTTGGGCTCAGTAAGGTGGAAAAGGGCAAGGGGAGAGGGAGAGGTTTCAGATTCAGGAAGACCAAAATTGGTATCTTAGAACAAGGGCCTTTAATGGTAGAACCACTTCAGTATTGTTAAGAATAAAGCAGAGACCAGGGCAGGCATGGCGGTTCACATCTGTAATCCTAGCATTTTAGCACATCGAGGCAGGTGGATCACCTGAGGTGAGGAGTTGGAGACCAGCCTGGCCAATATGGTGAAATCCTGTCTCTACTAAAAATACAAAAATTAGCTGGACGTGGTGGTGCACACCTGTAGTCCCAGCTACTCAGGAGGCCGAGGCAGCAGAATTGCTTGAACCTGGGAAACGGAGGTTGCAGTGAGCCAAAATTGTACCACTGCACTCCAGCCTGGGTGACAGAGTGAGATTTCATCTCAAAAAAAAAAAAAAAAGGAATAAAGCAGAGAACAGACAATAAAGAGTTTGCTCTGCGTGCCCCAGTTGGACATTCCTGTTAAAGAAATTTGACTCCAGGATCCCCCGACTCCATGGTTCACATGACTTTGCAGAAGGTCATGCTGAAGCTTCTCTGTGTCACCCCCTGCAAGCACACAGGGCACCTTTCTTCAGCCCAAGATGAGGGAACAGCAAACACTGAACCCAAGTGCACTGGGGGCAATTGCATTACAACCCAAAGTCCAAAGACAGAAACAAGCCCGTTGTGCACTGATTGGTGTGGCACTGAATCATTTTCTCAGAATACTGGGAATTTTATCTTTTCTAATAGATACTGGCTCTTTTCCTTTTCTCCCCCAGTGCATCATCTCTTTCACTGCCACTGTAGGAAGCTGCTGATCAATGACGCTTGGCAATTTAAAGGTGTTTTCAGATCAGCTTTGAATAAAGGCTCTTGATGAAGCTGTTGGGGGGCGGGGGGTCAGTACTGAATATACAGAAAGCCATGCCTTGCTCTTGTGGATGATACCTGCTTCAAAGAAAGAAGCCAAGGCCACTGAGCATCTGTGGAAGTCTAGGGGCGATGGGGAAGCTGTGACAGCCCTTCATCAAAGAGAGGGAGGTGGCATCCTACTGCCGGCAAGTCTAGGGTGCTGCAGGGAGTTTCCTAATACAGGCAACCCTAGCTGGCAGGGCTGGGTCACTTTGCCTGGTGCAGAGGTGGTCTGGGGGTGCACTGAAATTCCTCACTGTGTTTTTGAAGGACATAAGCCAAGTTTCTTTACAAGAACCTAACCTTCTTACTTGTTTCTCTCTGTATATTCACCTTCCTTTTCATCTACCCATTCCTACCAAATGAAGCAACCCACCCTTGTATTCACCAATGACTCTACTCCCCGCCATGCTATACCATGTTTCACCTGCAAGCTTTTATCATTGAGGTCTTTGGCAAAGTGTGGAATAGAAAAACCCCCAGTCAATGGATGAAGCAGGACCTCACTGCATTCTTGGCTCAAGACTCCATTGCATGAAATCTTCCTTATCTACTCTGGGCCACAGTGATTCCTCTCTCATAGACATCATGACTCTCATGGCTGATGGGGGGCCACTCAAGTGGCTCCTACTCAATGGGTTTAAGCCTCTCTGCACCATTCTATCACTGCCCCTTTCCCCTTGATAAATCAGGTGTCTGAGATCTTTTGAAGATAACTGACAGCCTCCCATTGCTCAGTTTGTAGGGGTGGGCCTGAGATCCAAGCCAGGGTAGCCAGTAAACACTCTTAGCCATCATGAAACAGCATCAAGAAACATCTACTGAATTCAGAAGAATACAGCATTAGGTGCTGATTACGGCTCCTGAAAAACAAACCTCATGGCTGACAAATCAACTGTGGAAGAAAAGTCTCATGCTTCTCGCATATTTTATTCATCCAGTCTCACTCATGCATTCTTGCAACCACACTGGGCCACAGAACTGACACCTGCAGTCACATGCCCTGTGAAACAGAGCCGATTCTGACCACATTACCATCTTCAACCAAACCTGAGTACTCTGTAAACTATCTCAGTCTTTGCAGTAGCTGTTGGGTGTTGGTACTGTTTTTCTTTCACATAGAACGACAAACACTGGAAACATCAGGTCAAGGTTCATGTGATAAGAAGATGAAACAAAATGTGAACCATAGGCTATGTGACTCCGAGATTACACTTTTTACCTTTCACTTCAAGACCCACAGGCAGAGGAACAAAAATTCTTGAATTCCCTGCATGGACACAGACTCCATTGCCATCTGGCTGTCCAGCTAGAGTACTGGCAGCTCTGAACAGCAGTCAGCCTGGGTGCAACTCAGGCAACTAGTAAAGAATGGTGTGCAATGCTCACTCTAACCCAAGGCAGAGTGTGCCCCTGATTTCTGTCTCATCTGGATTTTTAATGTTGAGTACATGGTTTGGCTGCATACCTTTAATTCTCTACATAACTATGCTCTCCAATGCAAGTTTCATTTCTAGACTGTGTGGACAACGGTATTCACATTCAACTAAAGCTTATTGGAACAAGGAGATGAACCAGCAAAGACGGACCAAGGGTGGGTAGTCTGAGACTTCTGCAAAGAGAGCTGAAAGTTGTCTGCTGGAAGGAATTTCTTGTGCAGATACACAATGACAAATGCGCAGCATAAAGTTATACAGGAGTACTGTTACCTTGAACATCTTTCATCAGCTTGGGTCCTCTTTTGGAAAGGGCAGGTTGTCATGACTGGAAATAGGCACTTTCATAAACACCTAGGGGACGTACTGTTATCAGAAGTCCTCTTATCTGCTGAAATCTTTACTAGTTGTATTTCTTGGAATGCATCTCTATATGGGCTCTAAATCAGTGGTTTTTTCAGTCCATTTGCTTTTAAGACTTTCTTATTGATTTTTGGCCTTGTGATCTTGTGAAGGTAAGCAGGCGAGTGGAATGGAGAAAATGTCAGAAGCAGGCAGGATGGCTGGGTTCTGTCCTTGCTCTACCACTGGGTGCCTGGTCCACATTGCCTCATTTGGCTGCATCTGCATTTTCTCCTCTGCAATGTGGAGATAAAAAGTACCTCGAGGTGCTGATGAGGCACACACAAGGGACAGGAGCCATTCCCCAGACAGGGTCAATCAAGAGAGAAGACCGTAGCAAGTAGAAATGTCACTTTCCCAGGTTTCCTTGTTGGTACAATGAGGATGTCAAATGAAATGGCCACTAGGATATTTTCTAGTTCTGATATTCATTTAGGGACAGCATAATGCCTGCCATGTTCTGGATGTTTGTTTTCCTTTCAGATTTGTATGTGCTAGACAAATCTCTAGAGTGATGGTATTAAGAGGTGGGGACTTCAGGCAGTGATTAAGGCATGAGGGCTTCACTCTCATGAATGGGATCAGTGCCCATATAAAAGAGGTTCAGGCAAGCTCCCCTGCACATTCCACCATGTGAAGACACAGAAGGAGCCATCCCTGAGGAACAGGACCTCATCAGAAAGCAAATCTCTGGCACCTTGATCATGGATGCCTCCAGAACTGTGGGCAGTACATTTCTGTTGCATATGAATTACCCAGTCTAAGGTGTTGGTTACAGCCCAAACAAACTGAGACAATGCCCAAGGACTAGGTAATAGAGGAGGCCTGACCACTTCCTCTTAGGCCTGATTCATCAGCATCTTAGGCTATGGTTGCTGAGGCCAAGTGCCAGGGTGCTGTGGAAGGCACTTGGAAGACACAGCACCTCCACAGAAGATGCTTCTCTTCCAGGGCCAGCCCTGCCTGCACTCCTGCCAGCATCTCACCCCTCCAACTTAGGGTCCAGAATTAATGAACACATTAATTTGCAGTCTGCCAGAGTGGTGAGACTTTGGTGCCTTGTGCCTCCTCAGCTTTTCTGCAACTCTGAACACATCTCTTCTGCCCAACAACACACACACAGGAACACAGATGAGAACAACACACACACAGGAACAAAGATGAGAATGTTAGTGACAAACAAAGCACCCACGACTGCTCCAGCGGCAGGTGCAGAAGTAGTTAAGGGGCAGGAGAATAATCAAAGTGCAAGAGAATAAAGAGCTTGGTGGTACCTCAATGAAAGATAGTGTGAGGGTGATGGGTTGGGTTCCTTAAGTGTCACATCTGGGCTAGGCTGGAGATATTTCTGAAGCCAGCAGCCTTGCCACCCACTTGGAAGGCATATTCCTGATGAATCTCTCTTCAGCAAGGTTTCTCAATCACAGCATGGCTGACTTTTAGGCAGGATCATTCTTTGCTGTGTGCACACAGTCCCATACATTGTAGCATGTTGAGCAGCACCCCTGGCCTCTACCCACCACAAGCCAGTAGCATCCACTCCCATTGTGACAATCGAAAATGTTTCCATCAACCCCACCACGGTGGGGAGGTGACACCTAAAAGGCCACTACTCCCAGCTCTACTCTCCTCACATTTCAGCTTGGTTCTAGGTTGTTGCTACTGAAAAGTAAGCCACTCTTTCCATGCGATTGTGCACAAACCTTAGAGTAAAAGAGGACAATCAGACGAGGTAAGATTATTCCTAAGGAGAAAAGAAGAGTATAATCAAAATAAACTGAGAAAGCCTTAAAATAAGAACCACAGAAAGGATGGAAGGATCCTTCACATAAAGCCCTGTCCATTTGGAGTGAAAGGTGCAATAGTCTCACAAGAGAAGAAATGGTCTTTACAAAATTTATCTCATCTAACGAGGCAATAAAAACAGATTTAAAACAAGCCAAGTACATACTTTGTTTCTTGCAATGATGACACTGCTAAACCATACCACTCAGAAATGGCATCACAAACCATTTCAGTTGTACAGTGAACCACTATACCCAGTTAATGTTGGCTTGATTCATCAGCAAAATCTGCTAAATTACTAGTCACTACTTTTTAGAAATACTGCTTATTTGGCAGAGAAAAGCAGACACCTAATTCTCAGGCAGCTGTCGTGCTGGTTTTGCATCTTCAGCTGAAACAAATACTAAGGGCACCAATTTGTGGCATTAAATCTGGAATTTTCATTAAATATTTAACAGGCATATATAATTGGAGTCTTGATAGCTCATGAAAGCCAGTGAGCACTGTATGCTATTCCTAAATTGTCTACATCATGCGTTTGCAAACTGAGGCCCACAGGCCAAGTTTGGCCCAGTGATTGTGTATCTAAATAAAATTTTATTGAGCTACAGCCACACCCATGAGTTGATGGTTTTCTATGGCTGTTTTCACACTACACAGGGGGAACTAAGTAGGTGCAACAGAAACCACTAAGGTGAAGAAAAGTGTGCCGACCTGCTTTTATATACAGTTGACTCTCCATATCCAATCATTCCACATACACCAACGTAACTCACCATACATAAAAACAAAAAATAGAAAAAAATGAGAAACAATACAATAACAATACAAATAAAAAACCAATACAGTATAACAAATGCAGCATTTACATTGTATTAGGTATTATAAGTTATGTAAAGCTAATTTAAACTTCACAGGAGGATGTACCTTTGATATAAGTTTCAGGTGAAGATAAACATAGTTATCTGTTAACTACTATGCCATTTTATATCAGGGACTTGAGTATCTATGGATTTTGTTATTAAAGGGGGTCTGGGAACCCATCCCCCATGGATGCCCAGGGATTACTGTACACAAATAGTAGCAGTAAACAAATGTCATGCCCTCCTAGACGCCCTGCCTCCATCCTCTCCATATCTCTCCTATCTGCCTTTCTTTTCTCTTTGCTTCCACTCTGGTCCTGGGCCCTCTGTCTACAAGCCCTTTGTTCATCTCTTCTCTTCTGATATGCCTGACAATAATCGCAATAACAATGATAGCTGGTGTCTAATGAGTGCATTCTCGGCATCAGGCAATAGCTTGTGAACTTCACATGTGCTGCCTGATGCAACACAAACCCATTGCAGTAACTTTCCTGATCACCATGAGCTGCCTACTGCTCTCCTTTTCCAAAGCAGCTGAGGGTCGGCAGGCCTGGGTGAGCTTCCTCACCTCAGAATGGCCTTCCAAACCTCATGTACCCCATTCTAAAGCCATGCCAACTCTCACCGTGCTCCAAGCATAAGCCTGCATTCCCATTTGACTTCCAGGTCTGGACCAGTAATTCTCAAGTGAGGCTGGTTTTGTCCCCAAAGGGAAGACATTTGGCAACATCTGGATGAGTGGGTGTCTATGTGCTACAGGCATCCGGTAGGTAGAGGCCAAGAATATGGTTAAACATCCTGCCATCCACAAGGCTGTCTATGTGAAAAAATGATCCAACCCCAGATTTCAAAGTGCAAGGGTAAGAAACTCTGCTTTGGAATTCCCTTGTCACCCCCTGCCCACCTTGCTAGTGATTACAGCTGCAGCCAGCATGCCCTCCTTCACAGCAGCCTTCCTCATGCTCTCGATAGATGTGATGGCTCTCTTCTCTCGGCTCCCCTAGTGCTCCTCACCATCCTTGTGTATTATCATGGTATCATGTGCTACATCCCATGTTTCCCATGCAGCTCCTGGCTTCTGAGAAGGCTAATGCCCCTTGAAGGCAGGGAACCCATCTTAACTGACTTTATATCACACAGTGACCCTCCTCACTACAGCAGCTGGTGCTCAAGATGAATGTGCTGAAAATACTCATGATGAATTGCTCAGACAAATTGGTGAGCCAATGTCAATGAAGGGTGATAAGAAACTGAATAAAACTGAGTCCTCAGTATTTTCAGAATAAATGACTCCCACATAACCATCCTTTGAATGCACACACTCCCATCCCTACTCTGGACTCCCGGCAGCCACTGATCTGGTGTCCACCTGTATATTTTCAGCACCTTAAGCATGTCCTATAGATGGAATCATATAGTCTGCAATCTTCTGACATAGCTTGTTCTTTTTTTCCTTTTTTCTTAGTATTATACTCTAAGGTCTGGGGTATGTGTACAGAAAGTGCAGTTTTGTTACATAGGTATACACATGCCATGGTGGTTTGCTGCACCCATCAACCTGTCATATACATTAGGTATTTCTCTTAATGCTATCACTCCCCTATCCCCCCACCCCAACAGGCCCTGGTGTGGGATGTTCCCCTCCCTGTGTCCATGTGTTCTAATTGTTCAACTACCATTTAGGAGTGAGAACATATGGTGTTTTGTTTTCTGTTCTTGTGTGAGTTTGCTGAGAATGATGGTTTCCAGCGTCATCCATGTCCCCACAAAGGACATGAACCCTTTTTTCTGGCTGCATAGTATTCCATGGTGTATATGTTCCTAATTTTCTTTATGCAGTCTATCATTGATGGGCATCTGGGTTGGTTCCAAGTCTTTGCTAATGTAAACAGTGCCGCAATAAACATGCGTGTGCATGTGTCTTTATAGCACAATGATTTATAATCCTTTGGGTATAAACCCAGTAATGGGATGGCTGGGTCAAATGGTATTTCTGGTTCTAGATCCTTGAGGAATCACCACACTATCTTCCACAATGGTTGAACTAATTTACACTCCCACCAACAGTGTAAAAGCATTCCTATTTCTCCACATCTTCTCCAGCATCTGTTGTTTCCTTTTTAATGATCACTATTCTAACTGGTGTGAGATGGTATCTCATTGTGGTTTTGATTTGCATTTCTTTAATGACTAGTGATGATGAGCTTTTTTTCATATGTTTGTTGGCTACATAAATGTCTTGTTTTGAGAAATGTCTGTTTACATCCTTCACCCACTTTTTGATTTTTTTTTCTTGTAAATTTGTTTAAGTTCTTTGTAGATTCTGGATGTTAGCCCTTTGTCAGATGGATAGATGACAAAAATTTTTCCCATTCTATAGGTTGCCTGATCACCCTGATGATAGGTTCTTTTACTATGCAGAAGCTCTTTAAGTTAATTAGATCCTATTTGTCTATCTTGGCTTTTGTTGACATTGCTTTTCATGTTTTAGTCATGAAGTCTTTGCCCATGCCTATAACCTGAATGGTATTGCCCAAGTTTTCTTCTAGGGTTTTTATCATTTTAGGTCTTACGTTTAAGTCTTTAATCCATCTTATATTAATTTTTGTATAATGTGTAAGGAAGGGATCAGTTTCAGCTTTCTGCCTATGGCTAGCCAGTTTTTCCAACACCGTTTATTAAATAGAGAATATTTTTCCCATTGCTTGTTTTTGTCAGGTGTGTCGAAGATCATATGGTTGTACATGTGTGGTGTTATTTCTGAGGCCTCTGTTCTATATATCTGTTTTGATACCAGTACCATTCTGTTTTGGTTACTGTAGCCTTGTAGTATATTTTGAAGTCAGGTAGCGCAATGCCTTCAGTTCTGTTCTTTTTGCTTAGGTTTGTCTTGGCTATATGGGCTCTTTTTTGGTTCTGTATGAGATTTAAAGTAGTTTTTTCCAATTCTGTGAAGAAAGTCAATGGTAGCTTGATGGGGATCACACTGAATTTATAAATTACTTTGGGCATTATAGCCATTTTCATGATATTGATTATTCCTATCCCTGAGCATGGAATGTTTTTCCAGTTGTTTGTGTCCTCTCATTTCCTTGAGCAGTGGTTTGTAGTTCTCCTTGATGAGGTCCTTCACATTCCTTCTAAGTTGGATTCCTAGGTATTTTATTCTCTTTGTAGCCACTGTGAATGGGAGTTCACTCATGATTTGGCTGTTTGTTTGTCTGTTATTGATGTATAGGAATGCTTGTACTTTTTGCACATTGATTTTGTATCCTGAGACTTTGCTGAAGTTGCTTATCAGCCTAAGGAGGTTTTGGGCTGAGACAATGGGGTTTTTTAAATATACAATCATGTCATCTGCAAACAGGGACAATTTGACTTCCTCTCTTCCTAATTGAATACGCTTTATTTCTTTCTCTTGCCTGACTGCCCTGGCCAGAACTTCCAATACTATGTTGAAAAGGAGTGGTGAGAGAGGGCATCCTTCTCTCTTGCAGGTTTTCAAAGGGAATGCTTCCAGTTTTTGCCCATTCAGTATGATATTGGCTGAGGGTTTGTTATAAATAGCTCCTATTATTTTGAGATGTTTCATCAATACCTAGTTTGTTGAGAGTTTTTAGCATGAAGGGTTGTTGAATTTTTGTCAAAGGCCTTTTCTGCATCTATTGAGATAATCATGTGGTTTTTGTCATGGGTTCCGTTTATGTGATGAATTACGTTTACTGATTTGTGTATGTTGAACCAGCCTTGCATCCCAGGGATAAAGCCAACTTGATCGTGGTGGATAAGCTTTTTGATGTACTGCTGGATTTTTTGCCAGTATTTTGTTGAGGATTTTTGCATCAATGTTCATCAGGGATACTGGCCTGAAATTTTCTTGTTTTGTTGTGTCTCTGCCAAGTTTTGGTATCAGGATGATGCTGGTCTCATAAAATGAGTTAGGAAGGATTCTCTCTTTTTCTATTGATTGGAATTGTTTCAGAAAGAATGGTACTAGCTCCTCTTTGTACCTCTGGTAGAATTTGCCTGTGGATCTGTCTCGTCCTGGAGAATTTTTGGTTGGTAGGCTATTAATTATTGCCTCAATTTCAGAGCCTGTTACGATCTATTCAGGGATTCAACCTCTTCTTGGTTTAGTCTTGGGAGGGTGTATATGTCCAGGAATGTATCCATTTCTTCTAAATTTTCCAGCTGATTTGTGTGGAGGTGTTTATAGTATTCTCTGATGGTAGTTTGTATTTCTGTGGGATTGGTAGTGATATCCTCTTTATCATTTTTTTATTGTGTCTATTTGATTCTTGTCTCTTTTCTTCTTTATTAGTCTGGTTAGCTGTCTACCTATTTTGTTGATCTTTTCAAAAAACCACCTCCTGGATTCATTGATTTTTTGAACGGTTTTTTATGTCTCTCTTTCTATCAGTTCTGCTCTGATCTTAGATATTTCTTGTCTTCTGCTAGCTTTTGAATTTGTTTGCTCTTGCTTCTCTAGTTATTTACATTGTGATGTTAGCGTGTCAATTTTAGATCTTCCTTGCTTTCTCTTATGGGCATGTAGTGCTATAAATTTCCCTCTACACACTGCTTTAAATGTGTCCCAGAGATTCTGGTATGTTATGAGACAGCTTTTTCTACTTAGCACATTACTCTGGAGGTTTCTTTAGCTTATCGCACATATTCACAGCTCCTTCCTTTTCACAGCTGAGCAGTGCTCCGTGGCACAGAGACAACACAGCTTGCCTCACCCATATCCACTGAGGGATAATAGCCTTTTTTCCAGAATATTGCTATTATGACTAAAGCTACATTTTCTGCTTAATTTTTTTCATAACCAAATTTTGTCAGATACCAGTGTAGCTAACAAATGACACTGTCTGTGCTAGGGACTTGCCCCAAACACTGAACACAACTATGAAAAAGCCCTTATCATGTAATAATTACTGGGAATTCACACTAATTATAATTCACTCTAAGTTATAATGTAATTCCTGTGGTTCTCTCTTCTGAGACTAATTTTCTAAACTTAACGCATCTACACATGGACCATCTCACTGTGACCTGTCGCCCAAAACTGTGGTAAAAATACACATTTATTTTGTGGAGACAGGGTCTCACTGTTGCCCAGGCTGCAGTATACTGTCATGATCCCCATTCACTGCAGCCTTGAACACCCGGGCTCAAGCAATCCTCCCACCTCAGCCTCCCAAAGTGCTGGATTACAGATGTGAGCCTCCATGCCTAGCTAATTTTTGAAATTTTTTTCGTGGAGATAGGGTGTTGCTATGTTGCCCAAGCTTACTTGAAATCCTGGCCTCCAGTGATCCTCCCACCTTGGACTCCATCTTAACCATTTTTAAGTGCACAGTTTAGAGGCATTAGGTGCATTCATACTGTTGTGCAACCTTCGCCACCAAATGTGTCGAGAATTTTATTCATTTTGCAAAACTGAAACTGTACCCTTAAATACAAACTCCACACCCTCCGTTTCTCCCCATGCTCCAGCAACTACCCTTCCACTGTCTGTGTCTTTGGACTAGACTCCTCAAGGTATCCCTTACAAGTAGAATCCTATGGTATCTGCCATTTGTGACTGGCTAATTTCACTTGGTATAATTTCTTTGAGAGTCATCCATGCTGTAGCCTGTGTCAGAATTTCCTTCCTTTTCAAAGCTCAGTCATGATATTCCACTGTATGGATGCATACATGCTTTTGATGGAATTTCCTCTGTCAATGGATATCTGTGTTGTTTCTGCTGAGGTTTTTTAAAGCACACTGTACTACTCCCCTAAAGTGTGAGGTCAGTCTTGGAAGGAGGGAGCATGTCTTTCCATTCAGCTCACCTTGACACCACCGCCCTCACAACAGCAGCTTACAGATGTGACAGGAGGAGACTGACACAGAACAGACCTTGGTCTCCACTTGGGCAGAAACTCCAGAACCATGAAACGCCAGGCCAACAGGAGGTGACAAGAACCACTCACTCAACTGACAGCCCTCTGTTCAGAAGCCTAGGATACGAGGAGCACTGGAACACACGAACACCTCAGGGAAGTGCTTCCCCTCCACCTTACCTCACTCTAACCAAGACCTGCACCAGTTGTGAAGTTGCTGGGTCATCTGCTACATACTCCTTATGGAGAGCCCAACCTCACTGTGTGTTGAGTGCTCAGTGTAGCCTTTTATCTTTGTGCTTGGGCTTGCTGTGGAAAGAGGAGGCCACTGAGATCTCATTCACTCTTCTTTGTACTCACTCCTCTTACAGTAACTCATCTGAATGACATCATCACCAGAGAGAAGTACTGCAGGTGAAGTATGTCACATAGCCAGGAAATCAATGTATCTATCTAATCTAATCAATCTATCCTATCTAATTTATCTATTAATATCTACTCTTCTGATATATTATTATCTGTCTCTTATCTATGTATCATCATCTTTCAAATATATTAATATCTACTCTATCTAATCCATCTATTTAACCTATTAATATCTACTATCTATTTATTAATAACTACTGTGTCTAATCTATCAATCTATTGGCCTATGTATCTATATCTATCATCTGTCTAATCTATCAATATCTACTCTAAACTATCTACCTAATGTATCTATTAATATTTATGTATCTATCTACCTATCTATTCTATCTATTCTATCTAATCTGTCTAATCTATCTAGCCTGTCTCTATCTATCTATCTATCTATCTGAAAGATAAGTAGATTTAGAAGTTAAATATATAGGTGGGGAAAATGCTTCACTGGATTTTTGATGACTTGTACAGCATGGGTATGTGGGCAAATGCACAGAGATCTTTCCTGGCTGCCATATGGTCCAGCCGGTAGGAACCCTGTTTTCTGAAAGCCAGAATAGACAGGCCTCTGTCCTGTGCAGATTCTGGAGTCTACCCACCAGAGGGCTAACCAGACTGTAGAGTTTTCTGTTTATATGCAGAAAGTTACACCAACTGCACTGCTGAAGGAGGGGAAGGTGTGCAAACCAGGATGCTCTGTCACTCAGCAGACCTGGGCGACATTCACGTCTGCCCATGGAAACTGTGACCCTGACAGATTCATGAAATTAGCCCAGAAGGCTAACTGCAAACCCTCAGAAAAAGAATCAAACTTCATGAGTGTTCTGCAGATATATACACCAGAGCTAATGTCTTTTTACATACTTTCCAATACGCCTTGAGCAACAGGCAGACAAGCTCTGCAACAGAACTCATCTCTGTAAAACCATTCATATTTGTCATGTGTCTTGCCTCCGCCTTAGTTGGAAAAGAATGCACTGGTTTCTGAAACCTACAGTTAACCACATGAACCAGCAATCCCACTCCTAGATATTTACCCAAGAGAAGTGAAAACCTATGTTCACACAAAAGATCTGTATGAAAATGTTTTTTGCAGCTTTATGTTGGAATCCCTAAAACCTAGAAAGCACCCAAATGTCCTTCCACAGGAGGATGGATAAACAAATCACTGAAAAGGCCTTCAATATGAAATGTCACTTAGCTATTAAAGAAAGAATGGCTGGTGCACACAATAGCATGCATGAATCTCAAATACATGAGGTTGAATAAAAGACGTCACACTCTCAGGGCCACACAATGCATGATGCCATCTCTATGCCATTCTTACGAGTGCAAAACTCTATGAACAGAACACAGAGTAGGCTGCAAGGTGCAGGGAAGGAATAGAAGAGGGCTCAGAACAAAGGGACACTAGGCAATTTTGAAATGACAGAACTGTCATGTGTGTTGACTACACTCAAGACAGCTCCTCACATTCCGTTCTTCCTTCCTCTTTAGACAGTATTTTCCCCTTCTTTAAAAAATCATTTTGGTTGGGTGTTGTGGTGCATATCTATGATCCCAGCACATTGAGAGGCCAAGGTAGAAGGATCCTTTGAACACAGGAATTCAAATCCAGCTTGGGGAACATAGTGAGACACTGTCTCTACAAAAAATATAAAAATTAGCCAGGTGAGGTGGCACATGCCTATGGTTCCAGCTACTTGGGAGGATGAGATAGGAGGATCACTTGGTCCCATGAGGTAGAGGCTGCAGTAAGTCACGGTCGCAGCACTGTACTCCAGCCTGGGTGACAGAGGAAGCCCATCTGACAAAACAAACAAACAAAAAATCTTTTCACACATACCTCCCTTCCCCTGAATCTATCACTTGATTATGTTGCAGGCAGTTCTTTCCCAGCTAAATTCAGTTTGAATCTGTGGTTCTGTCCCATGTTCCTCATAATGCCTTGCAAGTCTGTGTGAATTATCTTATGTATGCTAAAAATCTGGGTATGGAAGAACATGTCTTCTTTATAGTTTGGACTTTGGGTGATGAAGTCCCAGAGGAAATACTTATTATGTTTACAGGAACTCATCTGACAAATTTTCTCTCTTTCCATACTAAGTGGAAAATGGACTTCCACTTCCCTGGCTGTGTTCAGAAATATGTGGGGGCAAACAACTCACAACTCCCCCAGCATTTGGGGGAGCTGCTCACTACAGCAGGTGCAGGCTGTGCACATTTCTAGGGGCTCGCTCCCTTGCTTCTCTGCTCCTGGGATGGTAACATGAGCTCACGGGAAAGGCACATGGTCACCATGTGATTCTTAAAAGCTGCCCAGATAGCACAAGTGACCAGGCAATGGATCCCGTAAGACAGAGGCCAATAGAGTCACCCGTCAATGCCAGACTGCTAAACTCATGCAAACACAACAAATTCCTTTTGGCACTAGAACTTGGTAATGCATAAGTCGTCTACTACTTAAAATTTTTGCCTAATTAGTTTCCTTTTTCTGACTGCCATGAGTGCGCTGCTTTGAGATGCCACCTATGGATAACATCCACGGAGTGCTTCTCATGGCAAAGGCCCTGCAGGGCAACAATGAAAATCCACTAATCCACACAGGTTAGGAAATATACATGGTTTGCTAAAAGCCAGATGACCTGACATCTGCCTGTTGTGGGCAGAGGAACAAAACAGATCCATTTTTGAGGCTCCTTCCTGAGTTTGAAGAGCTGTGTGTCTTGGGTCCTTCTTCAACACCCTACTCCCCTGCTATCTGAGCATATCAGTGCTCCACTGAAGATTCCCTTTCTTGCAGCCTAATGCATCCTAACTGACATCATGGATATTGGTAGAGGGGAGGAAGAGAGACACTGGTGGTGAAGGAGATGAACAGTTGGACAGGAATGGCATCTATTCTGCTGGGTCCAGGGCTCAGAAGCAGGACTCAGGCCACAAGCTCGGTGACTCTGGAGAACTTGTCCATCACTGCACCTGGAAGGTGAGGTTGAGGATTCTGAGCAGATCTTCCAGGGAACCCTGCCCAGCTGCACTGCAGGTCAACACCTACTCCCTTCCTCACCACCCCCACCCCCATACCCACTTCCTGCTGCACACAGGTAAGGATGGATGAGCAGGGAAGGAGGAATGCCAGTTGCAGTAAGATTACTGGATATGGGAACCCAGAACTTACTGAAGACTTCTAATGGAGAAAGTCAGACTAGAGGTATTTGAGGAATGAATCATTTTCTGAGGTGCAGAATCTGTTTTTAATGAGTTTGGTGGGGTGCAGGAATGACAGTACAGGTGCTTGAGGAGGGAACATGATCAAGGAAACATTTTCCTTTTTCTTTTTTCTTTTTTGAGATGAAGTGTCGTTCTGTCGCCCAGGCTGGAGTGCGGTGGCATGATCTTTTTGTTTGTTTGTTTGTTTTTTGAGACGGAGTGTCACACTGTCACCCAGGCTGGAGTGCAGTGGTGCGATCTCGGCTCACTGCAAGCTCTGCCTCCCGGGTTCATGCCATTCTCCTGCCTCAGCCTCTCGACTAGCTGGCACTTCAGGAGCGTGCCACCATGCCCGGCTAATTTTCTGCATTTTTAGTAGAGATGGGGTTTCACTGTGTTAGCCAGGATGGTCTTGACTCCTGACCTCCTGCTCTGCCTGCCTCGGCCTTCCAAAGTGCTGGAATTACAGGCGTGAGCCACTGCAATCGGCCTTCCTTTTTCTTTAAGGTAGAAGGGAAACATTGATAGGCTGAGGAGAAGGTGCTCTTTCTTGATTGCGGCTCAATAAATATTGACCTAACCAAAACTTCAGGACTTGAGGTAAACATAGAAAACATCCCAAGAATGAACACTTCTTTGCTCCCTTCTTCCTTTAAATACAACCTTGTGGAGTACTCCAAAAAGTTCCAGTGGCTGGGCGCAGTGGCTTACACCTATAATCCCAGCACCCTAGGAGGCCAAGGTGGGTGGATCATTGAAAACCAGGAGTTCCAGACCAACGTGGGCAACATAGTGAAACCCTGTCTCTACAAAAATTACAAAAATTAGCCGGGCACGTTGGTATGCCTGTAGTCTCAGCTACTTGGGAGGCTGAGGTGGAAGGACGGGCTTCAGCCTAGGAGGTTGAAGCTGCAGTGAGCGCCAGCCTGGGCAACAAACTGAGACCCCATTTCAAAAAAAGAAAGTACCACAATACACACAATAATTGGAAGAAAGTACAACAGTGTCTCTCTTCAATACCAACTCCACCTAAGGTATCTTACTTCAGCAACACTGTAGAATCAGGAAATGAAGCTCACAGATGTTACATAAAGTTGACATTTGCCAAGGTCTACGCGTTATTGTGCTCTAGCTCTCCATCTCAACTGCCTGGTTACAGAAGCTTCATAAACAAGCACTGAATAAGGAAGACGATCTTTCTGGGGAGAGTTGGTGGCTTCTGCCAAGAGGCCAGCAAAGCTCACACTTGGGGACCCTCGGGACCAGCAAGCAGCATGGCTCTGTCTCCGTGCACATGCACTTTTTACACCTGACAGCTCCAGCCTGGAACTTGTTTACATGCCGTGAGTCTCTTTGGCCTTCATCACGTCCTTGTGCAAAGGTGTTGCTAAATGCTAAACTACATGCCATGAGTGAACAGGGAGGCAGGTTTTGGTATGCATGATTTCCATTTGCAGCCACCTCTGGGAAGCTTTGAGCTCTGAGACAGGAGATCACCTGTGCTAGTCTAAGAGCCAAGGTTGAGGTATTAGCACAGGGGTTATTATTTCCCTGATTCCCAGGGGTGAGGCAGTACCTATTTTGTTTTGTATACCAATTGCTTATACTGCGTCTGACAAAAGCCAATCCAAGGTATCTGATATATATGCAGAAAGCGCATGCACTTCCCATGAATAATGGTAGCTGGGAGCACAAGGGACAGAAACCCAGGCTTGATGGGGAGGGCACTTATTTACAACATGTTACGTGCCTCACATACTTGATCACGTTTGCCTGGGCAGGAAAACCAAGGCTCAAATGAACAGGCCTCACTCAGACTTGTTTAACGATCACATCTTGAGCCATTCTGGGTGGCTCCAATGCCTATATTGTACCCTACACAGCAGTGAGAGAACCCATGCCCAAGGGACCACAGACTGGCTTCCTTCAAATTGAATACATACATCTCTGGGAGGGGGTGCCAAGGAACTGGGAGTTCCTTTTCAAATAATCAAGTTCCATACTGTATATTCAATCTGGTATTAAGGGGACAAACCTTAAAAAGACTCCAAAACAAATCCTGGTGTTTGAACTGTGCCCCCACCCCCACAAATTCACAGGTTAAAGTGCTCATCAACAGTGCACCTCAGAATGTGATGCTATTTGGAAACAGGGTCAGTGCAAATGTAACTATAACTGGATTCAGAATCAATTACTAAAATTAGGTTATCCTGGAGTAGAGTAAATTCCTAAACCAATCTGACTGTCTTTACCACAGGGAAATGTGGTCAAATCTGAACACAAGAGACGAGGGTGATGCCCCTACAAGCCAAGGAATCCAAGGACTGCGGCAAGGCCCCAGGAGCCAGGACGGGCACAGGAGACTCGCCCTCAGAAAGAGCTGACCTTCCCACATCTTGATCTTGGACTTCTGTCCTCAGGAACTAGGAGACAACGTATTTCCTTTTAAGCCATCCCAGTTTGCAGTATTGCATTATGGCAGTTCTAGGAAACAAATCCACTGGCTCTGTATATTGGTTAGGAAAACAGCTGTGTGTAGTAAACATGTAGAGATAACAAAGTCCACTAGGGTCATTATCGTTGAGGAAGGTGGGATGACATGGCTCCACAACCTTCTCTTCTCCCTGTTAGCACTGAGAACTTTCTTAGCTGTTCTTCTTCTACAGCCTGGTTTTGAATCAAGGGTTGATCATTCTGCTCGTAAGATGCTCAGGATGAATTTCCTCCCAACAGAAAACCAAGCCTCTTACCTGACTCCTGGAGATACCGATAAACCAGAAAGTTCACCTCGTCACTGGTTATGCTCATCTTAGCCTCACCTCATGGCGATGAGGTATTGATGAAGTTGGAACCACCCTCTGTTTGAAAAAAGAAGACAGTTTTGAAACACTGCCTGTGTGTTTCTCTTTTTTTTGTGTGTGAGGTGATTAAAGAAAATACTATCTATGCTATTATACACATGAAGGTAATTAATATATGATGCGTTATATTTTGTAATTATGTAATTACATAAACATTCCATAATTATACATAAGAAAAAAAAAAGACCAGGTGAAATGTTTTCCAAAAAAACAAGAGTTGACCTATTTCCTAAGGCCAGGGAAGGCTCAATTAGAAACCTAATTAAACTAATGAGCTTCTGCCCAGCAAAAGAAACTATCATCAGAGTGAACAGGCAACCTATAGAATGGGAAAAAAATTTTGCCATATATATGGGAAAAAAATTTTGCCATCTATCCATCTGACAAAGGGCTAATATCCAGACTCTACAAAGAACTTAAACTAATTTACAAGAAAAAACAACCCCATCAAAAAGTGGGTGAAGGATACGAACACAAACTTCTTGAAAGAAGACATTTATGCAGCCAACAACCATATGAAAAAAAGCTCATGATCAATGGTCATTAGAGAAATGTAAATCAAAACTGCAATGAGATACCATCTCACACCAGTTAGAATGGCAATCATTAAAAAGTCAGGAAACAGATGCTGGAGAAGATGTGGAGAAATAGGAATGCTTTTACATTGTTGGTGGGAGTGTAAATTAATTCAACCATTGTGTAAGACAGTGTGGTGATTCCTCAAGGATCTAGAACTAGAAATACCATTTGACCCAGCAATGCCATTACTGGGTATATACCAAAGGATTATAGATCACTCTACTATAAAGACACATGCACATGTATGTTATTGTAGCACCGTTCACAACAGCAAAGCCTTGGAACCAACGCAAATTCCCATCAATGATAGACTGGATAAAGAAAATGTGGCACATATAAACCATGAAATACTATGCAGCCATAAAGAAGGATGAGTTCATGTCCTTTGCAGGGATATGGATGAAGCTGGAAACTATCGTTCTCAGCAAACTAACACAAGAACAGAAAACCAAACACCACATGTTCTCACTTACAAGTGGGAGTTGAACAATGAGAACACATGGACACAGGGCAGGGAACATCACATGCTGGCACTGGGGTTTGGAGAGTGGGGAGGGAGAACATTAGGAAAAACAGCTAATGCATGCTGGGCTTAATACCAAAGTGATGGGTTGATAGGTGCAGCAAACCACCATGGCACATGTTTACCTGTGTAACAAATCTGCACATCCTGCATATGTACCCAAGTACTTAAAATAAAAATAAAAAGACATAAAAGGAAAAAAAAAACAGTGTGTTGCTCTAGGTCAGAGTCAGCAAACTGCAACCCAGTATCAATGTCTATAAATAAAGTTTTCTTGGCACTGAGCCATGTTCATTCATCTCCGTAGGGCCTTCATAATGCAATGGCAGAGTAAAGCAGCTGCAACTGCCTGGCCCACAAATCCTAAGCCCCTTACTATCAGGTCCATCACAGACCACGTTTGCTGAGCCTGCTCTCAGTCCTTCTCGATTTACAACAGATTTTCCCACCTCTACTTCAGAGAACAACTGCCTAGTCCCTTCTGGGTGTGGAATCTTCCTGCCTAAGAACCTCAATGGTGAACGCCCCTAATGTGAACATTCCTCATAATCTTACCAACCAGTTTAAGACTGAGAGTCAATAAAACACAATTACCCAGGTCTGTTATGGATGACTTTGAAAGGAGGACATGTGTTGAAACCACACACATCTCAAGGAAACAATTATAAGCCTTCACTTTCTAAGCCGCAGTGCCCAACACAGGCAGAAAGAGTATGTTAGACAAGTTATTCCCAGCCTTACTGATGAACAATAGCAACAGAGTGCCCTTTTTCAGGATAATCCCAAATTACCACCTGCATCTATAAACTGCATAAGGTATGAAAGGCCACAAAAACACTCAGTCATTTATAAGGCCAAACACAGACACCTCACGCACAGGAGAAATTCAGCACATACTAGATTGAATTAAACTGAAGCTTAGGTTCCCAAAGTACTGAAATTAATACCCAGTCAAAACACTGATGAGAGAAAGGACCCCCTCCCATCATCCCTCTCACATTTAGAATATGGTTCAATGGCATTTCAAAAAATATTGACTGACATAACAGCCACTTTGACCACTTTACATTTTGAGGAACATAACAATAGTTCCTCAGAATGTTCAACAGAGGTACCAAATGACCCAATTCTAAGTAGATACCACAAAGAAATGAAACGTAAGTCCCCACAAAAACTTGTATATGTGTATTCCTGACATCTTTTTCATAGTAGCCCAAAGGGAAATACAACCCCAATTTCCATCAACTGATGCATGGATAAAACATGTTCTATTCATGATCTAGCCACACAATGAGATATTATTCTAATGTAAAAAGGAATGACACATGCCACAATGCACATGAACCTTGAAAACATTATACTGAATGAAAGAGCCAATCAAAAAATTCAAATTCACTAATATATTACAAATTTTGTTTTTATTAACAAACAACACCTTTCAAATATTTAAGTCAAATAACACTCAAATACCTCTACATGTTTAACTTGTTATAACAATATACGTACATCTTGCTTTAAACAAAAGTACCTCAAACAGTAAGCTTCCTATTTTAGTTAAATTTAAGCCTACAGTTTAGTTCTAGTTGGTTCTTTCAAAACAGTAAAGCAAAAATCTCCCTCAAAATTCCATCCTTATGCTTTCAAGTTACCAAATTTCTATAGTTTTAAAAAAAAAAAAACTAAAAATGCCTTAGAGAAAGAAGCAGAAAATTAAGTAGCAACTAAGTAAAATAAAACTATAATCCTATGTACCAAAAGGTAATAGGATAACTTTAAAAGAACTTTTGGGGTGCAGGTCTTAGTTTTAGTTTGGGTATCGGTTTCAACTTTTGACACCTGGCCACATAGAACTGTTTGGTTTGCTAATCAGGAAACCTTAAGCGTCTCACCACATTTACACACAGTAATCTGCATGATTTTCTAATAAGTTTCACGGTTAACTAGCAAATCAACGCAGACAGACACAAATCATATTAAAAAACTAATGGAGCACAAAATGAAGACAAAGGAGTCAAATAAAATCTATACTCGTGTGCCCAATTACAATTAACAAGCCTGCATAATTATAATATTCACAAGAGAGGTTGATTTTAGAAGGTGTTATCCTCGACTGGTAAGACCCAGAAAAGTTTGTTATTGCTCATTCAGGATCCAAAATTCTCAGAAGGCAGTAAAAAGGCGAATTCCTCATTTAGAATTGACTTTGCAGCTCATAAGGATTTAATAATGGTTTCTCTAATGGCTTCAATTTCAGCAAGGACAAAGATGTGCCACTTTCCCCGAAAACATAATTTAAAAGAGAAGGGATTGCGTTTTGGCAAAATGCAGTTTTGCTCCTGAAATATGTTTCAGGTACAAGGACAAGGATCCAATGGCATGCTGGGCTGCTTACCTTTATGGTAACTTCATGTGTGGACCTCTGAACCAGCAGGCTTCTCAGCATCCAGTCATAGAAATGGCAAGCCGTCTGTGGGGACCAGCCTAGGGAGAAAGGGAAAGGTTTAGAACAAAAGACTTAAAAATCCTTAGGGTGTTTTTACCTCTCACCCCTCCCATTCTTTTAGGTTTCTTTTTCATCCTAACTCAAACTTAACACATCTTATTAGTTCTTAACTTCTGTGTTAGTCTAAAGCACAGATTGCAGGGTTTTGTTTGCAAACTAAAAAAAAAGGAGAAATTAAAATGACCAGTCAGGCATTATTATGCCTGTAGAAGTTCTGAAAGAAAAGTCTCAAAATAGATAATATTAGCTCAGCTATTGCTACTGCTATTATATAAATATTTAAATTAATTTTAAATTAAATTAAGTTTAAAGATAAATTAAGGTTCCTTGAACCTTATTCCCTTATTGTTGTTTTTGGAACAGTGCCTTATGCAACTGATACATGAACCTGTGCACACCACTGGGAGAAGATATCACACTGTAGCAAGATGTTTCCCATTGTTGGGGCTAGCTTTCCAGTAACCCCAGAGTGCATGTTGGTGCGCATATAACCATTCTTATATACTGTGCTCATAAAAACACAGAAACAGGTCAGAATCTTTTTCCTTCGGCTCCTCTAAAATAAAGGAAAACAAAGGCACCAACTGACATCTCAACTTCTCATGTACTGTTCTTAGACATTTTTATTTCACAAGGGTTCATTTGCACTGATTTTTCAGTAAGCCAGGTTTATATCTCATAAAGCAATCATCCTCTATATTAAAAATTGTTTTATTTTTTAGTCACTATAAATGCCAACCATTTAATGATATTTACCAGCTTTCTCATAAAATTTATTTGATTGTGAATGAATCCAGCCTCCTAGAGAGTTTTTGTTTTTCTTTTTGTTTTTGTTTTTGTTTTCCTTGAGACAGAGACTCACTCTGTCAACCAGGCTGGAGTGCAGTGACACTTTCTCAGCTTACTGCAACCTCCGCCTCCCAGGTTCAAGTGATTCTCCTGCCTCGCTTCCTGAGTAGCTGGGATTACAGGCAACCGCTGCCATGCCTGGCTAATTTTTGTATTTTTAGTAGAGACAGGGTTTCACCATATTGACCAGGGTCTCAAACTCCTAGGCTCAAGTGATCCACCCACCTCAGCGTCCCAAAGTGCTGGGATTATAGCCATGAGCCACTGCACCTGGCCACCCGCCTAGAGAGTTTAAATTACCCTCTATCAACTACAAATTCAAGAACTAAGAAAATTAAAGGCTCACCATTTTCTCTAAATAGTCTTAAGTGATAATAAAAAGGTACCAGGTTTAGTATACTTGAAGTCTACCAGCGAAGCTATGAGTGGTGTTTGTTATTAGTGAACTCATATGGAACCTCATGAAGTACTTTCAGGAACTGCAAGTAAATTATTCCCACTGGGTCATGTTTACAGTTATGATGTTTAAATAAAGGAGATTTAAAAAAAAGTTCTACAGTCAGGTTCACAGGACCATGAATTGCATTAGAGTACATTGAAAAACAAAAACAAAAACCAACCAAAAGTAATAACCAGGACAATTTGTAAAAAACCAACTACTTAAGTAAAGCAATGAGAGTGAAACTAAATTCATCTCTAACTCTTTGAACAGAAATGAAAGGGCACCAGAGAAGCAGGCACAATGGCAACTTAATTTTGTTTATAAAACAAAGATACTTTCACTTATGAAAAAAAAATCTGCAGTGGAGATGAAACAGGGCAATTCTCCTTAGAGTGAACTGGTAGAGACCAAATTACTATTTTCAGAATTAGGTTGTAAATTACCAGGGGGAAAAACAGCCTCATGACAAAATTGGTAAATAGCATGAAGTATCAAAATATGAGCAGATGTCATAAATTCCAAATTGCTTGTAAATTAAAACATTAAAACCCACAATAGTTCAAGAAGTAATTAATACACAAACAGCTCTTATTACAAGCTGTTCAGAAAAAAGCTTGGAATCCAATTCTTATTCTTTGGTCCAAAACAGATGGTAACCCACATAACAGGGTCCTGAAACTTTAGATTATCTTTTATATGTGTTGTTAAACTCATTAAGTGTAATTATCATCTGGGTGTCATCAACACCAAAAAGGAGAATTATGACTTTATTTAATAACATTCTTCTGGTTATGCAACATGTCAAAAATAATTTGTTTATAGCTAGAAACAATAAATTAAAATGAGAAATCAGACCTTCCAACACCTGTTCATTACTGATTTTCCCATTGTTATTATTATTACAAATTATTAGTACAGAAATTGAAACATTATTAAAAAACAGCCACAGCAAGAAAGTTTACATATGGCCAAATATTTGTTATGAAATGGAAATGATTTTAACAAATGCCGTATGCTCTTTATTTTTACAACTAAATGCTGATTATGTGACAAATACAAAAGAGATTTTAATGTTCCAGTAGTCCTCCCCTCTTGGCATGGTGTGCCGTGCATGTATAGTGACAGTCCCTCCACATTGAATGTGGAGAGGTTTTGAAGGGGCTCTCCAAGCTGATACAACACAGCATGTGCCTGCTTCTCCATAGAAAGTAGGTTAAGAATAGAGTTTGTGGTGCTACGTACATTTCTTCAAAAAACTGAATTAGATAAAATGCAAAGATTTAGAAACTATGATTCCACCAGGCCTGCTCCTCCCCAAAAGACTTCTCTTTTTCTTTCAGTCACACAAGCACACCTCACTAACAGACCCTGGGTGTTCCACTACTGAGTTCTTGCCAATGGTAGGTGAGAAGAGCTGGGAAAGGATGCATACAACTTGTGCTCATGGGGGTTGCTTGAGAGCCTGTCTGACCCTTAGGAAGGCAGGATAGTAACACAAAAGGAACCTTGATCCCCCGATGCTCTTGGGGATTTGACACCTACCCTTCTGGGACTATTGTCTGCCTTTGTACCAATACATGAGGGGTAAATGCATTTTGTTTAAATTACTGTATTTTGATGTTTAGTCTATTCCCCAAGTAGAATACAGAATCTCTGGGTGATGATCTCCATTTTCCAATGCTGTCCTGTGTTTCCTTCCATCACATCATTCATAACACACATAATACCTTTTCTACCCAAACAGGAGGAAGAGTCCTGTCTTCCTCAAGTTCCATTTCTACAATCTAGGCTTGACACATAACACATACTTGATAAAAGTTAGCTTAATGAATGAAGGATGTACTATATATAATCAATGAGAATATTTCACTAGCTGATCACAAATGTTAATACGTAGATTTCAGAAGCCCTCTACCACATTCATTTCTTCATGAGGTTTGCCATACTTTTATTGTGAAAAATCAGAAGAAAATGCAACATTTTCATGTGGATATTAGAATTCAGAAAGTTTCCTCTGGAGTTATTTTACTGTCATCTTTAAAGATGTTCTTGGGGGAAGCACAGAAATTTCAAGATATAGTTTTAAAGAAAAGGACACAGAACAGTCTGCTGCTGTTTTCCTATGTTTTCTAATTCTATACCTTCAAGTGCAAGCAATGTATCAGTCCGCTGGTGTCTGTATTTGTGAGTAGGCAGTCTTTGTATATTTCCTTGAACTGGTGCATCACCAACACTGTCATTTCACTGGTCGTTGTGTCTGGAAATAGACCTAGGCATATGCGAGCCAGCCACATGCAGTTCATTTTCCACCTTTTAATTCTTCACACAATTATTGCTTCATAGAGCTGAAAAGTTACAAAGGTCTAGCCAAATGTTGTCCAAACTCAATAGCACCCTCAGCTACATTTCATCCTATATGCAAATCAGCTGGTTTCTTCCTATTCAACTATAAAGACTACACATCACTTTTCAATCATGCTTTGTGAATTTCTCTGCAGATCTGCAAACCACCATAAGGGATTTTTAAATTGAATACAAGAAATAACGGTCTAAAGCACTGAGAGACTCTTGTTTTTAATACTATGTTTTCAAATTTAGAAAGGGGCATTCCTCGAAAGCAGTCATTTTGAGAAACTATATTCTTTTTGTATCAGGAAAAAATTAGCAACTTTAAAGACTCCCCTTTTGACGCAGCCTTCAGAGCCCATTCATATAAGAAAAACCAGAACAGCACACCATAGGCCCAATATAGACATTCCCTTGGACATTCACCTACATGGTTTTTGTTGTTGTTGTTTTCAGCTGGGGTAAAAATAACTTAATGTAAATTTAACCATTTTATTATTTTTCTTTTAAAAAATTTTATTGTTTTTAAAAAACAGAGATGGGGTCTCACTATATTGCCCAGGTTGGTCTCGAACTCCAGGCTTAGTAGTCAGGAGACCACCTCCCCACCTGGCTAATTTTTTGTATTTTTAGTAGAGACTGGTTTTCACCATGTTAGTCAGAATGGTCTCGATCTCCTGACCTGGTGATCCACCCACCTCGGCTTCCCAAAGTGCTGGGATGACAGGCTGAGTCACCATACCAGGCCCAGGGCTTCACTCTTTTTATAGCTGAATACTATGCCACTGTGTGGCTGGACCGCACTGTGTTTCTCCAGGCAGCAGCTGACAGCCACCTGGCTTGGGTCAACCATGCTACTATGAGCATTCGAGTCCTTGGGGCAACTGGCTAGCAGTGGAATTTCCTGGCATCGTTCTGCTTTATCCTTCTTTACCTGAGTCTCCTCCTCCCCAAGAATGAAAGGTGCACAGAATGGGCAGAGGGAGGCCAAGCTGGAGCAACCAGAACCTGGGAAAAGGAGCAGATGGCCTAGTGCCAGCAGGCAGGGTGGCCAACAAACGGGATGGACACACAAGGAGGAGCCAGGAGCCTGCCTGCCTAAGAGCCATAGCCAGCAGTGACTGCATACCGGAGTACTGCTTGGCAAACACTGACAAACTCACGCTGTGTGCAGGGCTGCATCTGCTCACTACCTGGCTGCCACTGCACACTGAGCATTCCTCTACATTGGTCAAATCCTTACTAAGCATTTGCCCCATGACAACAAAGGATGCACCATTTTCTGCTTGGAGCAAACAGTTACTTTCCCACTCAGAAGCATATGTGTTACACATGCAATCCTAAATAAAAGCATGGGATTGGCATCACATTTCTGTATTTTACTACAGTGTTCTGGAACAGGATTGACAGTGCCCGCTGTTGCCCCCTCCCCACATCCCCCGCCATCTCCCAGGGGATATTAGGCAATGTCTGGAGATATTTTGGGGTTTCACAACTGGAAGTGGAGGTACTACTGGCATCTCTTGATAAAACAGAATCAAATTTGTATGATAAAATCCCTTTGGGTGCTCACGGCGAGGCCAGTACAGTACAACACTGAGGCCCCCCGCCTACAGCCATACCAACTCAGCAGCCACAGGAGGGAGGTGCCAGGACACAGCCCCTCCTGCCCCCATCCCACCTTAGGTGGGCGGACATCTTGCCTGCAGCCTCGAAAGACCCTACACTGGAATCACTCAGCTAACTGAGGCCAGCACCACCAGCTTTCAGAATCTAACAGCTTGTCACAGGCAGGTGGGAAACATACCTAGGCAAGCAGCCTTCTCAGCCAGCACCTCATCAAATGGGGGTAATGATTTGCAGGGTTGTTGTTAGGAAAAATGAGAACCAAATGAACTTGGAAGCCAATCAACTGGAGATTGATTAAGTAGGAGAGTGTTTGCCAAGGCATGCTCTTCAGAGCGACATTTCTCAGGCTGTTCAGTAGTTTAGCATGTGTCATCTGAAAAATGGCTCCACACTTCAAAACCATTGGCAACAGTGGGTTAAATAAAGTTATTCAAAAATAATAATAGGTTGGGCACAGTGGTTGATGCTTGTAATTGCAGCACTTTGGGAGGCTGAGGTGGGAGGATGGCTTGAGGCCAGGAGTTCAGGTTCAGCTGGGGCAATGTAGCAAAACCTCGTCTCTGTTAAATTATGATATTAACTAACACATATATATCACCTGTTACATGCCTGGCTGTCTTCTGAGTGCTGGGAGCTTATTTAATCCACCTAATAAATAATTTTAAATATTTCACATGCTTATTCTTTGCTGCCACATCCCAGGGCATAGCAACCAACATGTGCACATGTGTACAATGAATGCTCAGTCAGTCCTCATGATTTCCTCACAGCTCCGGGTAGTGGGAAGCATGTATTCTGTGAACCCCTCCATCCTGTCTTACTGCTGATTCATTTGTCCAGGTGTCTGAGTGCCCATGCAGATGACGATACTCCATGCTCAACATGCTAGGGTTTGCCAAACTCTTCCAGGTTTCTCTATGAAAGACATCTCCATATGCTGAAATTCTAAAGACACTTTTCTAACTGACTCTGAATACCCTGGTCACTAAACATCCTAATAAGCTGAGATTTTATTGTTAGAAGACTCTGCGTTCTCTAATGTGCATTTTTTAAAGACTCTGCAAGCCTGAAATCTAAAGGTGACAGTACTTGACTAAAATGAATGCAAGTGTGCCAAGACGGTAAAGACTTATAAAAGTACATGGTACTTTTAATATCATAATAGTGTCAAAAAGCAGGGCAGTTCTGCATGAGCCTTACCCATTGGGAATCAAAATCAGGCCAACATCCTCATTTCTCTTTCTCCTCAACAAACTATGAGAAAATGGGTATGGGGAGGTGAAAAGTCACAATGCATTCATTATTTCCTCGTATGTTACCATCTCAACTTTTTTTAAAATTCACTTCTGGAATACTGTTTATCTAGACCAGTAATTTTTTGCCACTGTAGTACTTCTCAGGAGCACATCTGTTTCTTAAGAGTCACCCACCCCTTCCCTTTGACTGTTATAATCATGACAAATAAAACATGTTTTGTATTATTTTTTAATAATCAATAACTATTTTACAAACAAATTCTAAAGGCCTAAACTTTAATGTTCTTTAAAAATAAGCATACCTGCCATAAGTGAACTAGAAAACTATAACCAAGAAAAAACCTAAAAATATTTTTCGCTCAAAAACATTCTGCTTGGTTAAATGATAAAAATTGCTGTCCTCTGTTTTACTAACAAGCATTGCTATAAAGAAACACCTGAGACTGGGTAATTTATTAAAAAAAAAAGAAAAAAAAGAGGATTAATTTGCTGAAGGCTTTGCAGGCTGTAAGGAAGCATAACACCTTCTGCTTCTGGGGAGGACTCACGAAACAACCATGGTGGAAGGTGAAGGGAAACCAGGCACATTCACATGGGAAAAGCAGGAGGGAAAGAGAGAGGAAGAAAAGTGCTACACACTTTTAAACGACCAAATCTCATCAGAACTCACTCACTATACAGTACCACCAGAGATGTTGCTAAACTATGAGAAGTTACTCCCATGATCCAATCACTACCCACCAGGCCCTACCTCCAAAACTGTGGATTACAATTCAACGTGAGATTTGGACAGGGACACAGATTTAAATCATATCATTACACACCTGGCCCCTCACTTTTCACATTTTAACATACAATTATGCCTTCCCAATAGTCTTCCAAAGTCAACTCATTACAGCATTAACTCAAAGTGTCATCTGAGACAAGGCAAGTTCCTTCTGCCTATAAGCCTGTAAAATCAAAACCAAATTAGTTACTTCCTAGATAAAATGGGAATATAGGCATTAGGTTATATTCTATCCTGTTCTAAAAGAGAGAAATTGGCCAAAAGAAAGGGGCTACAGGCCCCATGCAAGTCCAAAACCCAGCAAGGCAATCATTAGATTTTAAGGAGATTCTCCAAGAATCTCCTTTGACTCCCTGTCTCACATCCTGGGTGCAGTGGCACAAGAAGTGGGCTACCAAGGCCATGGGGAGCTCCACCCCTGTCTCTGCAAGGTATAGACCCTGCAGTTGCTCTCACCATCTGGTGTTGAATGCCTACCATACTGGGGTCTGGAGGATGGTGGACCTCTTCTCATAGCTTGTTGGGAATAAGAACTTGGAGTCGCAAAGAAAACAAGCACTTAGACAAAGAACGTCTCAGCAAGGAAAATTTACTTCTGCACAAGGGTGCAACTCATGTATGGAGCAATGGCAAAAGCATACAGACCAAAGGAAAGCAGGGGTTTTATTATCTCTAATGCAGCTTGTGCTTCTGTGTCTTTCCCCTATTGGCTAGGGTTGGACCACACAGTCTAAACTAGTCCCAACTGGCTAAATATTTAAACATTCTTAGATAAGGTAAGGGAGGTGAGAAGAGAGAGAAGGAAGGTCAATTACGGAGGGACTAGGAAGGTAACCTATTCTCTACTAAGGAAAGGCATGCAGGCTGGGGTTGTAGCAAGTTCAGGCATGGCTAGGCATATTCAGACAAATTGGGGCACAGGAAAGGCAAGGGGTTATTTGGAATTATAGGATAGAGAATGGGGAAGCTGGATAAGCTGTTTGAAGAGGGAACATAACTGTATCTAACACAGCTCCACTAGGCAGTGCTCCAGTGAGGACTCCATATCAGGGCGCCAATCCCACCTTTGCCCTTTGCAATGCCCTAGCAAACGTTCTCCATGATGGTTCTGGTCCTGCATCAGGCTTCTGTCTGGACATCCAGGCTTTTTCTGTATATCTTCTGAATCTAGGCAGAGGCTACCAAGCTTCAACTCTTGTACTCTATGCACCTGCAGGCTTAACACCATGTAGAAGACACAGGCTTACAGCCTGCAGCCTCTGAAGCAGTGTCTTAAGCTGTACCGGGGCCATCTGAGCGAAGGGTGCAGCTAGAGTCAGAGACAGAGCAGCTGGAATGCAGGAAGCAGCGTACTGAGGTTGTGTAGGACAGCAAGGCCTTGGGCCTGGTCCAGGGAATCATTTTTCCCTCCTAGGATTCGGTACGTAATAGGAGGGGCTGTCATGAAGCTATCTGAAATGCTTTCAGGAGCTCCATGTTGAGTGCTCTTTTCATTTTAGACCAAGCAATTCACAATTCACACTAATTTGTATTGGAGTCGGTAGTAACCTACTTCTGCACAATGAGAATAAACAGAAATTAGACAACTGAAACACAACTAGTGTAGAAGCCTTATGAACAATTTGCATATACACAATGTACCCATCACCAATCATTGCAAGCTCTTCATTTTATTAATCTTTAATACTTTTAATTGGTCTGAAATTTATGCAGTTACTTGGACTGTACCTATTAATAGAATTTTCCCCATTGCCTTGGTTATCAGCCCTTGCTGTCCTTTTATTCAAATTTCTGCAGCATGTTTGAATTCCTCCCCAGAAAATAGGCTTTTCTTTTTTATCACGTCATAGCTGCAAATTTTCCAAACTTTTACATGCTCTTTCCCTTTTAAATATAAGTTCCAGTTTCAAGTAGATTATTTTTGCTCACGCATATGAGCATAGCCTTTTAGAAGCAGGCCACATCTTGCATGCTTTGCTGCTTACAAATGTTTTCCACCAGATACTCTAAATCATCACTCTTAAGTTCAAAGTTCCACAGATCCCTAGGGCAGAAGCACAATGCCACATCCCAACCTCCTTGCTGATGCATAACAAAAGTGACCTTTACTCCAGGTCCCAGTAAGTTCCTCATCTCCATCTGAGACCTCCTCAGCCTTACCCTCACTATCTATGTCATCATATTTAACTCCAACTGGAAACCACTGGCAATCCGTAATCAGGTAGGTGTGTTTATGTAAACAGATGTGTGTGTGTTCTAAGAAAACTATCTGCAAAAACAACCTGCAGGCCAGCTGGCCTATGTGCAGTAGTTTGCTGATCCCTGCCTTGGAGCTAACTCATATTCAGCTGCGCACTCGTAATGCATTACTAAATTAGAATAGATAACCTACTGATATCATCAATGTGACTTCAGACAACTAACATACAGAGGTGCTTTATCCCAGAAGCAGCACACATGTGTACTTGGTTACTTAGAATGGCCACACTGAAAGAGCCGCAAGTGCATGAGGGCAACATCAGGCTGGCTTTTGGTTCCTGGGATGCTTCCATAGCTGCTGCCAGCTGTCGTTGGGACAGTCATGCAACATCACTTTTTGTTAAGGTGGTGCTTTCAGAATACAAGTGCAAAAGCCCTCATAAAAACAACCAACTGTTCAGTATGTAAAATTAGGCAGAGTAATCTTGTTGGTTTAAAAATGACGTCTGTAATTTTTTAGGTTGCTATTAAAGTTAGAGAAGTAATGCAGTTTCACTGGGGAAATTTTAGGTGGTTCTCAATTGGGGTCATGTTGCCCCCCAGGGGGACAGTGGGCAATGTCTGGAGACACTTTTGGTGGTCATTATATGGTATGGATGTTGCTGGCATCCAGGAAGGAATGCCCAGAGATGGTGCTGGACCTCCCCTGGTGAACAGGACGGTCCCACCACAGAGAGTTCTCCAGCCCTACATGTCTACAGTGCCACAGTTAAGAAAACTTGATGTAAAAGTAAAACATTAAAAGTCTTCTAACTCTTTGCAAGTCCTCTTAGTCTTAATGCACAGGCAGCCTCTGTTCCAAGCTTCTTCCACAAGTTCTGTACAGTGTATTCTTAGTTTTAACACAAACATAACATCCTAACTATAATATTTTAATTGGGTCATGAGAACTACATAGTGACTGTTTTCTTTTTTTCTTTTTTTTTTTGAGACACAGTGTTACCCTGTTACCCAGGCTGGAGTGTGAAGTGGCGCAATCTCTGCTCACTGCAACCGTCTGGGCTCAAGTGAATCTCCTGCCCCAGCCTCCTGAGTAGCTGGGATTACAGGCACCCACCATCACTCCAGGCTAATTTTTGTGTTATTAGCAGAGGCGGGGTTTCACCATGTTGGCCAGACTGGTCTTGAATTCCTGACCTCAACTGATTCACCTGCCTCAGCTCCCAAAGGGCTGGGATTATAAGCATGAGCCACCATGCCCAGCCATATCAACTGTTTCCATGCTATAATTCTTGAACAGCAAGGATGGTTATGCCTCATCTGTACTCAATAATTTTTTCACATTCTCATTTGTCAAGAAAGTGTTTATTACGTCCATTAAATAAATTAACCATCACATCAGTCCCATTTGTTTTCATTTTGTAGACAAAAGGCTGCTTTCTTAAGAGTGTAAGTGAACAATGTAGACTGGTTTCACAGCTAACAAGTGGTAGAATGTGAACTCCAAGTTCTGGCTTCATTTTGAGTGCTTTCATCATTTTAGACCAAAGCAATTCACAGTTTAAACTAATTTAGATTGAAGCAGGACAACAAGAATAAAAAGAAATTGGGAAATTGAAACACAATTATTGGGGAAGTCTTGGAAACATGGACATAATTTGCATATACACAATGCAATGACAAATATGGACATAATGGACATTTGAACATAATTTGCATATACACAATGTACCCATCACATATCACTCTAAGCCCTTCATTTTGTTAATCTTTAGCTCTTTTAGATGGTCTGAAATTTATGGAGTCTCTTGGACTATACCTTCAAACCCCCATGTTCCATTAATTTTAGGATTTTCTTTCTGTTGTTGGTTTTTTTTTTTTTTTTTGAGACTGGAGTTTTGCTCTTGTTGCCCAGGCTGGAGTGCAATGGCACAAACTCAGATCACCGCAACCTCCACTTTCCAGGTTCCAGCCATTCTCCTGCCTCAGCCTCCCAAGTAGCTAGGATTACAGGCATGCACCACCATGCCTAATTTTATATTTTCAGTAGAAACAGGGTTTCTGCATGTTGGTCAGGTTGGCCTCAAACTCCTGACCTCAGGCGATCCGCCCACCTCAGCCTCCCAAAGTGCTGGGATTACAGAAATGAGCTACCGTGCCCAGCCAATTTTAGGATTTTCTAAGATACTTCCTTTCCTATAGTAAGCCTATGGTGTTTACAAAATTGTAGCTGGAACAAGAGTGAGTTATCACAGCGTTCTGCTTTTCACTCATGTATGCATGTTTCCCATTATGTAAAATTTAGACTCATACATTCTCAGATCAACACTTAGTATCTTATTTATAGGTAAGAAGACCAAGTTTCATGGAGACCAAGTAGGTCAGTCATTTCTCTCACCAAGAAAGCAACAGAGTACATGGTTGGAGGAGTAAATGAATTTCACTTTTTACCTATAGAATTCAGTTAATTTTCCTCTCACGTAATTCCCAGATACCCTAATACCTGTTAAAATCTGTTCTGTATTGGTGGCTCCTGACTTTGATATGTAAAAGCTTCCCTAGTTGCATTACAACTGCTGGAAACTTGCAAAACCACTAGCAACTATTCTTAATATAAATGACTGTAAATCATAGTTAAACACATACAGTGCTTTTTAAATTGTGGAACCTTACATCAGGCCTAATTTTGTGTAACCACAACTGCTGATTAGGAATATTTTTCAATTCATAAAATAAGCATGTCCATGCTTGTAAGAATTCTGATTCCTCAGTGGCCTTTCTTGTTATGCAACACAGATAATTAGAATAGATTTCAGGTGTGGGTGACACGTGATCCCCTAAAAACCAGGGCTTGGGAAGAAAGGCAGTTTGGCTCTCTCTGATACAATGGCTAAACAGTGAGGTTTTCTTTTATCTGGCTTTTATTTGCCTGAATAGCAACGACGCTGTTTTATGCTCATGGGCCATGGGCACAAAAAGGCAGTTTAGAGCATGAAATCACTGGGAAAGCAAACACTTCAGACATTTCCTTGAAGCAAAACCAAGAAATCTATTGTTTCATTAAAAACCACTTCCACCATGATGAAACACTTGGATGTAAACTCTGTGAGATGGGCAGGTATTATTGACCTCGCTAAACTAACAGAACAGGCCATGGAAGGACAGTGCACTGCATGAGGTGACAGCCAGTGCAGGGCCTCACATTAACTCTGTCAAACAGACTTCTCTGTCTACTAATCAGAAAGGACTACCAAATCTCGAAACAGAAAAAGAGCTCACCATTAAAAAAATTTCCAATAGTCAAATATTTGTGCTGACTGGCGATCAGAATTTCCCAACTACTAAGGGCTCTGGCTCTGATTGTCCCCTTTGACTTCAGAGTCTGGGCGTGGAATGCTGAGGTCACAAAAAACATACGGAATCAATTCTTACCAGATCAGGAATATGTATGTCCAAGTATGTCATGGTACAAAGACAAACATGCAGAATGTGTGTCATGCTTCATGTTACATGAGTTTAATCTTCACTAACACCCTGATCTCCACTGCATCACCGTCCCTAGATATCTCAAAGACAAGCTGACCTCTGGATACAATGGCAAGGGAGGTTGGAATCCAAGAATGATCCCAGGTGGTCTGACCCTAAGTTCCATCAGCTTCCTGTTATACCACATGACCTATCTTAAAATAAAAAATAAGAACAAAAAGCCCAACTCCTTCTTCTACTAGTTTGCATTTTCCTTTCTTACCTATATCTTGTTTGCACATCTCAACCACACTCTACTCATACCCAGTGTGAGTCATCTTTCTCTCCTCTAGATTCCAGCATGGCCTTGTTTTCCAGAAATTACACTCTAACAATCCAAGCAAACTCTGAGAAGCAGCATGATCTTGGAGTGAGGCTGTCCTTGGCTAAATCCCAGAATTTCTTGCTGACAATTATGGGTCCCCTAGTCAATAACTCAACCTCTCTGTGCCACTAAGCGAGCACAGTGCTGTACAATTACACTGCATGAATTCACATATTCAAATATAGGTAAAGCCATAAATGTAGACTTGTAAAAAACAATATAATCACACAGTGGGAATAACTGCACACACTGCTCACTGGAATACTGGTGTGTTTCCTTTGCTCTATTAATATTCTCAGACCTTAAACACAAACATAGGCCAGGCGCAGTGACTCACGCATATAATTCCAGCACGCTGGGACACTGAGGCAGATGGATCACTTAAGCCCAGGAGCTCAAGACCAGCCTGGACAACACAGGGAAACCCCATCTCTACAAAAAATACCAAAAATTAGTCAGGCATGGTGGTGTGGCCCTGTGGTCCCAGCTACTTGGGAGACTGAGGCAGGAAGGTCACTTGAATCTGGAAGGGAGATTGCAGTGAGCCAACATTACACCACTGCACTCCAGCCAGGGCAACAGAGTGAGACCCTCTCTGAAAACACACACACACATACGGACACAAACACACAGAAATACACTTTTGGTGTATTTTTTATCACAATTAAACAAATGCAAATTTTAAAACCACAATGAACGTGCAAACATTTTAATCAGTGGCTCCCAAAAGGATGAATTTAAGCTATTTATTTAAAAGGAACCTAAAATAGTCATATAAGTAAATGTATAAAATGAGTGAAACTGTCATTTCAAATGGAACATAATATTTATCTGTAGCCTTCTTAAATGGAAACAGATTACTTGGTTCTCAAAAGTAATTTTTAAAATGAGTTAGTGTGTTTGAGAAAGAAAAAATAAAAAGGTCAGATGAAAAAAAGAATTCAGATTAGACTGAGCTCTAGCAGATGTTAAAATTCTTAAAGTTTCTTTTGTTTATAAAGAGAACATTAAAATGTTAGCAGCTTTCATATTTAAGTAGCACTGTTCTTGTCATATTTAATTATATGCATCCCTTTTTTAACAACATCTTCATGTCATATTTCCCAAATCCCACCTTTCTCTTTTCTAGTGTTCCCACTTTACCAGTCTAATAGGAAACAAGCTGCTTCTTCATGCAAATACAATTAAAACACAATTTCAAAAGAGCATTTTTTCATGTTTTTTTTTGGCTGCATAAATGTCTTCTTTTGAGAAGTGTCTGTTCATATCCTTTGCCCACTTTTTGATGGGGTTGTTTGTTTTTTTCTTGTAAATTGGTTTGAGTTCATTGTAGATTCTGGATATTAGCCCTTTGTCAGATGAGTAGGTTGTGAGAATTTTCTCCCATTTTGTAGGTTGCCTGTTCACTCTAATGGTAGTTTCTTTTGCTGTGCAGAAGCTCTTTAGTTTAATTAGATCCCATTTGTCAATTTTGGCTTTTGTTGCCATTGCTTTTGGTGTTTCAGACATGAAGTCCTTGCCCATGCTTATGTCCTGAATGGATAGCCTCAGTTTTCTTCCAGGGTTTTTATGGTTTCAGGTCTAACATGTAAATCCTTAATCCATCTTGAATTAATTTTTGTATAAGGTGTAAGGAAGGGATCCAGTTTCAGCTTTCCATATATGGCCAGCCAGTTTTCCCAGCACCATTTATTAAATAGGGAATCCTTTCCCCATCGCTTGTTTTTGTCAGGTTTGTCAAAGATCAGATGGTTGTAGATAAGACAATACACAATTCCCAATTTCCTACAAAAACAGTCTTAAAGTTGGCTTCCTAGTTTAAACTTAGCCTGATTTGTAATGTGCCTGTTCAAATTTATCACAGGTCCTAAGATCACTCTCATGAATTCAATAAAATAATAAGTTAAATGTAAATTATATTGGTATGTGCAATAGCATTAGGTAAGTATATTAAGAAGTTCTGGGCTGATATTTCTGCCAACAAATTAAATACCGAACAAAGTGTTGCCCTTAAATGATATGTCGAAGGAGATATTTTTTAAATGCAAGAAGCTAATGGAGGAGACAGATGCTATGTGAATTTAACTTTTAACAAGTCACACCCAGGCTTCAGTGCAGAGAACAGCTCTTTGAAAAAAATAAAATAACATAAAAAATAAATTGAAAATACCCTACACTTAACAAGTGTAAGATCTACACGATTTTATGGAAATATCACAAATTAAAAATAGAAGACTATGCCTCCTAATTGGGTACAAACCTTGTCCAAAAACAGTGTCTGAAAAAAGTAACTAGATTTTGATGATTTTCCTCAGTTTGGTTCTTCTATTATACAGATATTTACCTCTTAGTCAATGAGAATAGGCAGTTCCTTAATAGGCACGATAGGAAGCTACGTTTTGGAATGCAAACAGAGAAGAAAATGTACCTGAAATGGGCAAGATGAAAGACTTGGTTGGAGTTTTTACACTCTCCATGTCCTACTGAAGAAACTCCTCCTGGGGGCTTAAGCAATGGATTGGTGCTTACATGCAAAAAAGTGACAGAAGTAATGTGTAGGACTGTGTGATTAATTAGATGGACAGCTTGATGCATGTACTCAGAGCCATAAGTAAGCTTGTCGGACTTTATTTTTTTTTTGAGACATGATCTCATTCCATTACCCAGGATGAAATGTAGTGGTACTATCTCAGCTCACTGTAGCATTAAACTCTCAAGCTCAACCAATCCTCCCACCTCAGCCTCTTGAGTAGCTGGAACTACAGGCATACACAATCACACCTGGCTAATTTTTTTAAGTGAGTATAGATAGGGTTTCACCATGTTGCCCAGGCTGGTCTTCAACTCCTGAGCTAAAACAATCCTCCCACCTCGACTTCTGAAAGGGCTAGGATTACAGCCATGAAGCCACCATGCCAGCCTCACAGATTTGTTCTTGAAGGGTCACAGCAAATCCTGATACATGGCCATACAACTTCTGTACTATAGAGAACAGGTAACGGGTGTAGCTGTGTTCCAATGAAATCTCAGCTACGTACAGTGAAATCTGAGTTTCACTTAATTTTCATGGATCATGACGTACTATCCCTCAGTTTTTTTCAGCCATCCAAAAATATTAAAAGTATCCTTAGCATACCAACTGTGCATAAGTAGCAAGGGCTAAATCCGGCATGCAGGCTGCAGCAGGTTAACCTTTGCATCAGATCACAGGAGTCACGGTTGGACCCTACTTTTATCACATCTCACAAAGAATTAAACCTTCAGAAAAACAAAATGGCAGGCCATCAAAAAAGTGAAGAGAATTACCATCTGATCCAGCAAGTCCACTTCTAGGTTACACCCAAAGGAACTGGAGACAAGAGACTCAAACAGACACTTCAATGTACACAGCTCCATTATTCACAATAGCCAAAAAGTGGAAGCAACCCATATGTCTGACAAATTACTCAATCTTTAAAAAGAATGAAATTCTGACAAATGCTACAGTGCATGTGAACCTAAAGGACACTATGCTAACTGAAATAAGCCCAACACAAAAGGACAATTTATGTATGATTACACTTATGTGAAGTCACCATAGTAGTCAGAACTACAGACAGAAAGTAAAATGGTGGTTTCTGGAAGCCATGGAGAGATCAAAATGGTTATGACCGTGAAAATGGGCATCAACCAGTTTGTTTTCAAACTGACAAGCCAAAAATATATAGCATCCGCTTTCTTTTTTTTTTCCTCATAAGCTGGATTCAAACTCTTAACTAAAATAAAAAATGTACAGGACTCAGTTCTTTTCAGATTCAAAAGTGTCATTTTGATGTATTTCCCAGTACAGTCAAGGCATTTCTTACAAACAGTTTCAGAATCGTGATAGTTTCTAGAACCTCTGAATGTTCATCAAATTTAGAAATTCTCAAGCCAGCTTCCATCCCTAAAACAACTGAACTATGCGGCAGCAGAAGGGCACATTTCAGTTCATCAAATCTGTATTAATCCATGTGGTTGGGAAATGAGCTGGGTATTCTTATGTCAAGGTTAACCACAAAACGCATTTTTAAAATTAATACATTATGCTATTATGTAATGTTCAAGACTATGCTGTGGTTGTTAGCAAAAACTTCAAAAGTCCAAGAAAAACAACAGATAATCAGGTCTAATTTAGCTATATGTGTCATTTCTCTCTGCCTCAGATGAAAACTACAGTCAGAAAAAAAGGAGGAGGGATGGAATTTAAGAACACGTCTTAGTCTAAGCCCCATCTCCCTTATTTTAAAAAAGGGGGAGTCAGTGAGAATATGATGGTGATATTAATGCATATTCTCTGCAGAAGTCTCTGGATGGCAAGTTCCCTATATCCTTATCTCCTAAGAGCTTCTGAGTGCCTATGAAAAACACAAGGAGGTATTAAATGACTCTGGAAATAGTTTGGAGACCTTGTTCTAAAAGGCTTCTTCCAGACATTTGAGTGCCCCTGGCTGACTGCACCACTATCTGTCTCCCCAGTGAACACATCCAGTCCCCAGCACTATATCCCAGATGTCTCCAGCCCCTGCCCTCTAGAGCTCCTTACTCATCCCTGCATGGCCTGCATGACTTGGCCACTTGGAGGTCCAAGCAGCATCTTAAATGTGGCATGCCTACAGTGGAGATCTCCACCCTCCCATCCACAGCATCTCGTTCCTTTTCTAGCCCGTGGTCTCCATAAGTCACATCTCCACAGTCACATGCCACACCTTCACTCCCCTAGCCAGGACATATGTCCAATGATATTTGGTGCTGAAGGATGTCCTGAATCTGTCTTCTTCCCTTCTTGGCTCCACTGAGCTATGCTAATGGAAGGTGAAGTTATCTCCCTGCCTGGGACAAAATTGGAGTGATCACAGTCCATCCCGCATCTGGCATCCAGCCACTGATTAGTGTGGTAGGAAGCTGCTGGGTGGCTTCTAGTCCACACTCTCTGTCTTAGTATTATTGAAGTAGGAAATTAAGAAAACAACAGAATAGTAGCATAAGTAGTAATAGTAAAGATTATAGTAATCGTAACCAAAATAATAATAACAGCTCATAGACTGAATTGCTGTATTAATCAAGGCTAAAAAGAATTTAAGTAGCTCCCGAGAAGTTAAAGTTAAAGGAGAATATTAACTGCCTGTCCCAAGAAACATTAACCATATCTACTCTCCTCATATTTCACAGGCTCTGTAAACTCCTGTTTCTTTCTTCCCTGCAAAGATGCAAAGTCACAAGGCAGATAAGCATAAGCTGCAAACGAAGATATCCCAGAGATGTAAGATATGTTGCAAAAGTGTCACAGCAGCCTTTCTTCTCACTTCTGTAAGCCTGCTTCCTGCTTCACACAGTGCCTGCCTCAAGATACTTAAAGGGAACTCATTTTCTTTGTTCTGGGCTCAGACTTTCAGGACACATGTCCACAAAGCTAGTGTACACCTCAAATAAACACTTTCCTGCACTCCACTCGGTCTCTCTGGTTCCTTAATTTCCCACATTACGGCCTACAAGGCACTGCAGGGTCTGCTCACCACATCCACCTCTCACCTCAGCTCCCTGTTGGTCACTTACTCCACCATGCTGGCCTGGCTTCTGTCTTTTCCCTCAGGCGCCTGGGTACCTGGTCTTTGCATGTGCTGGCCTCTTCACCTGAAACTCTCTTCTCCTGGCTCTTCCAGCCACATCCTACAGACCTCAGTTCATCTGTCTCTTCCTCATAGAGGCCTTCTTACATCTAATGTGGAATCTCCTCCAACCCATGTTACACTGTTCATCTCTATCACAGGATGTGTTACTGTCATCAAAGTATTTTGTTTCTTTGTTTCTCTGTTTGGTACCAGTGTCCCAAATACCAGGCAAGCTCCATGAGGGCATGGGCCTCTGCAGCCATGACACTTAGCTTGGAGTGTGCATGACTTAGGAAAGAAACTTAAAAAACAGTTTGGTAAGTATGAGTTCCTGGATAAATATACTAACTTAAGAAAGTTCAGAGCCGGTAGTGGATGCCATAACTCCCTGGAACACTGCATTTTCCTTCTTGAGGACTCATACGATATTTCTGGTCTTGTTGAGTTTTTATAATGAGCGTGAACACTAACCATAAAGTGGATGGAGAAGTAGAAGCCACATGGTACCATATCCCTGCCAACATACATGGGTAGAGTAGATGGGCTTGCAGCGAGAGCTATTGTCCCCATTTTGTCTACATTTAAGGGATGAGTAGCATCATAATGTAGACTTTACAACTGAGTTATTCTGACACACATGCTATTACTAGACTTCACACATTACTGGAAGGTCTAACGATAAAAAGATATATCTTTTATTTTTCCCCTTGATCAATGTGAAACAAATTAAAAACCTCCAGTCATTCTAGTTGAATACTACACTTATCTAGGAAACAAAAAGTGGTTTTCTGTGTTTGAAGTTTTTTTTTGTTTTTTTTTTGAGACGGAGTCTCGCTGTGTTGCCCAGGCAGGAGTACAGTAATGCAATCTCAGCTCACTGCAAGCTCCGCCTCCCGGGTTCACGCCATTCTCCTGCCTCAGCCTCCTGAGTAGCTGGGACTACAGGCGCCTGCCACCATGCCCAGCTAATTTTTTGTATTTTTAGTAGAGATGGGGTTTCACCGTATTACTCAGTATGGTCTCAATCTCCTGACCTCGTGATCTACCCGCCTCGGCATCCCAAAGTGCTAGGATTGCAGGTGTGAGCCACCGTGCCTGGCCTGAAGTTATTTTTAACAGACTCAGTTATTGCAAGTTCTGTGAGATACCTGATCAAGGTCCAGGTGAATGTCTGTGGGCCTCAGAAGTCCCAGGCGATTGACAAGTGGCTCACATAGCTAGCCAATGGCCTCACACCTCGGTGCCCTCTCTATCTCTCAATTTGGGGGCTACTGACACGCTGGGCTGCATGGGGGGTTACAAGCTCACAGGGTTCCCCACAGAGGATCCAGGCAAGGACCCTGCCTGGCTGAGGTTCCCTCACTTATAAAATGGGGATGACCATGCCAACACCTGGGCCACCCTCCCTAACAGACTGTCCTGAAGGACATAGGCAATGGTGCTACTGATGGGCTTTGTGGGCAACAGCACAGCGCCACTCAAATCCCAGAGTGCTGCTAATTAAGACCAGGTGACCCCAAACAAAATGCCTGAGCCAGAGACTGCGTGTGACGGCTCATGTCTGTAATCTAAGCAGTTTGGGAGGCTGAGGTGGGCGCGACACTTGAGGTCAGGAGTTTGAGACCAGCCTGGCCAACATGGTGAAACCCCATCTCTACTGAAAATACAAAAATTAGCCAGGTGTGGTAGTGGGCATCTGTAATCCCAGCTACTCAGGAGGCGGAGGCAGGAGACTCACTTGAACCTGGACGGCAGAGGCCGCAGTAAGCTGAGATCGTGCCACTGCACTCCAGCCTGGGTGACAGAGTGAGACTCAGCCTCATAAATAAATAGCCTGAACCAGGTTTAGTCTTAGTTGCTGCTATTATTATTGTTATAATCAATCCTGTTTTAGACATGACTTCCTGACCCTTAAATTTTCAGCTGTCACTTTAAGATTTAATTAAGTCCTGCCCCTTACAAGAATTGGGGAATCAGCACTGGGGAATCTATGCCTACAGATGCTTGGGCAAACAGCATTGGGTGACTGCATGCATCTAATCAATGATGACAGATCGAATTCGACTGTCCTTGTTTTAGCAAGTGGAATATTAGTGGCCACATTAGGTTCTGCTTGGACTAATTAAAAACCACCCATAAGACAGGTCGGCTTTAAGAAGCCATTATTTTATAGGATGCAAATGATGCTGCACAAAGATAGAGTGCTTTCCTTGTATGTTTATCTTGGTGAGAGAGTATTAGTTCTGTTTGCCCACAACTGAAACTGGCAATGTGTGGGCACACACATGCCCCATGATACTGAGTTCAGAGTGAAAGTCATCTATGTGGAACCACCTTCTGAAAGAAACTTAGCAAGAAGAATGGCTACTTCTCTATTCACAGTTTCTGTACACAGTGCACATTGTAGCATGAAGAAGACTCCTATTCTGTAGGAGAAAATACTGAGAAAAAAAATGGAATCTTGAGCCCTGAAAGGAACCCAGTGTTAAAGAAATATGGCCATTTCTCCAAGGATTTTCTCAGTCGATTGAATTGGCCAGGAAAATGATTCATGAAGGGAGGCAGGGAGAAAAGACGATGGCAGTAAGGAAGAAAAGGAAGGGAGGAGAGAAGACGGGGGAGAGGAGAGGAGGGGAAGGGAGGGGAGGGGAGGGGGTAAGAAAGGAAGGAAAGAAGGGAAGGAGGGAGGAAGAGAAGAAGGGAAGGAAAGGCTTGAATAAGTAGATGCTATTTGTGAGTGATGAGGAAAGAAAAACACAGAGTCAGAGAGAGAAGAAAAGGAAAAAAAAAAAAAAAAAACAAATGAAAGCCATCCTCTTTCATATTCTACTTCTATTTTCAACTATTTCCTGCCTTGGGAAATTTTGGTTGCCCATCTCAGGTAGGCTTGGAAAGCAGGGAAGGTGAGAACTCTCCAGGGAAAAATTAAAGCCGGAAGTGGGGCTGCCATCTAAGCCTCAGGTCTCAGAGCCACGGTCATGTCACTGTGAAGACAAAAACATGCTGGTACCACCAAGCTGCATGCCAAAGCAAAGCTCTGCCTTGTTTCCAGGTAACAGAAGTGCCTAGGTGACGTGGTGCCAAAACCAACACTGCCTCATCCCACCTTCAGCTCTCCACTAGAGGAAGCCACCTCCTCACTGGACATCTGCCGTGTCTAGAACATGTAAGGGCTACAAGCGAATCTCAAAGATTCCCTCCCAACTCTAAAATCTTAGGAACCTGCAATATGTCCACTAAGGCAGGCTGAGTGTCCAGAACTTGCTCTCAGGAGGCTCATTTGTTCAAATCTCATGGGCCTCAAATCACTGTTGAGAAAATTGTTTGCCCTTAGTACTGTGCTCTGTCCTCATGGCCTTGTCTTCTGGGACCAGTGCCTTGGACCCATAGGTATTCAATAAACATCTGCCCAATGAACAAATGGATGAATGATCTTAGTGCTGTGAGAGCCAAGACCAACAAAGGGACTGACATCATGAGTAAAAGGGAAAATGTAAACTTTGTGAACGTGTTTGGAGAAAAATATTCTCATTAACTTTTTAAGTTAATTGTGCACAAAGGACTGTAAAGAAGGTTATTCAATTGTTTCGTTCTTTTGAAAGGGAAATGCCAACATTTCCTACATGTCTTGAGGCAGAAGGAGCACAGAGATGCAGCAGTGGTTGTGAAATTACCTAGAAGATTAATACTAATTTATGGTGTAGGTGGGAACTGAGGAGGTTCGACCATTAGGGGCTCAGTAACTGTATGGATTTGATTGGAGGCAAAACTATTTTTCTGTGCAAGAATACAATTAAGAGTAAAAAATAGGTATGTGATTCATTCATTCATTCATTTTTTTTTTTTTAATTTTTGGGATAGTCTTGCTCTGTCATCCAGGCTGGAATGCACCGATGTGATCATGACTCACTGAAGCCTCAAGTGATCCTCCCAACTCAGCCTCCTTAGTTCCAGGAATTACAGCAATACACTATCACGCCTGGCTAATTTCTATTTTTTTGTAGAGACAGAGTCTCAATATATTGCCCAGGTTAGAGAAATAATACTTTCTAATGAACTGACTGCTAAGTTGTTAAAGGAGAGTCTCCATTTGTGGGCTCTGATGGCTCCAAAGAGAGGGCATGAATGTGGCTAAATCAACAACTACTTTTCCTAGCATTTTCTGATGGATGACTACGGACTCAACAGGAGCTATTCTCTAACCAAGGTCCCAATTTATGCATGCAAAAGATAAACAGGAACGCGATAGGCAGCTTCTCAAATGGCACACATGAGCTCCGGCTTTTGGCATTTACATTCCAGTACCGGCCTGTGCCATATTTATCAGGTTGGTCCCTGAGACGAACGGAATTGCTGCACATGATGCTGCATCACTTCTGCTGCTGTGACACCCTTACTGAGCTTAGAATTGATCCTCTAGCCCCACACGAGGTCTCAGAGGCTGCAGCACAGGCTGCAACCTTGTGACAGACCCTGAGCCAGAACCACTTGGCTAAGCTGTACCTGGATTCCTGATTCTCAGAACATGTGTGAGATCATCAGTGTTTGTAGTTTTCACCTGCTGAGTTTGGGGTTATTTGTTACACAGCAATCAATAGATAACTGATACAGGGGCTGAAACTGGAGTACACTGGTAGAAATGAGAACACATGTCACAGAAACTAACCCAATGCATTTGCTCCCCATCCAAGCCAATAATTGTTTGAGTTGTCTGCCTTCATGCAAGCATGCTAACAAAAGCCCTATTGAACAGACTGCCACCATAAGGTAGTCTTTAGTTAAATTTTAGTCTAGTGGGTTAATAATTTACCTTCCAGATTCATGCAGCCATAGAAACCAGACTGATTTTTTTTCTAAATCTCCAGAGAATAATTTGTTCTGCTCACCTAAGCATTTACATGTCTAAATGGAATAAATGACATTTTTTCTTAGAAGAAAAGCCCCTGCCTAAAGTTCTTGACTTACAATGAGGTAAATCCTAACCTTCTCCGATTTATTTTAGCAAATTCCTTTTTTTTTTGGTGATCGCGTCTTGCTCTGTCACCCAGGCTGGAGTGCAGTGGCAAAATCTTGACTCGTTGCAAGGTTCAAGCCTCCCAGGTTCAAGCAATCCTCCTGCCTCAGCCTCCCAAGTAGCTGCGATTACAGGCACCTGCCACCACAACCAGCTAATTACTGTATTTTTAGTAGAAATATGCTTTCACCATGTTGGCCAGGCTGGTCTCAAACTCCTGGCCTCAAGTGATCCACCTGCCCTGGCCTCCCAAAGTGTTGGGATTCTACGTGTGAGCCACCACACCTGGTCTGAAATTCTTGACATAAAAAATGTAAGCAGCTGTTCTATCATATTGTATGAGCACAGAAGAGTAGCTTTACCTGAAAGAAAGACATCCTTTGTGGCTTTAAACTACTGGTATTTACCTTATCTAACAGAATTTAAATTTTTTTCCTCCAAAGTGAAATTCCAGTTTCTGTGTAGTTTGTTTATGAGTGTGACATCGTACCCAGGATGGATGGAACTGACAGATACTCTAAAAGCAGCTGAATCTTCTGTGTGGGTTCCAATGAGAATGTGAAATCATATCCCTACCTTCACAACTGCCACTGGAAGCTGATCCTGCAGGGCCCTGAGTCAGGTCACCTGTTTATCATGTGATGCCACCACCACCAAGAGAGAAAATTCCAGGGTCAAGCCTTCACCTAACACTGAGAATTTTCTTTTTTAAAAGTTTCTGAGATGGAGTTTCCCTCTTGTTGCCCAGGCTGGAGTGCAGTGGTGTGATCTCAGCTCACTGCAACCTCCGCCTCCTGGGTTCAAGTGATTCTCCTGCCTCAGCTTCCCAAGTAGCTGAGACTACAGGCACACACCACAATGCCCAGCTAATTTTGTATTTTTAGTAGAGACGGGGTTTCTCCATGTTGGTCAGGCTGGTTTCGAACTCCTGACCTCAGGTGATACACCTGTCTCGGCCTCCCAAAGCGCTGGGATTACAGGCGTGAGCCACCATGCCCGGCAAGAACTTTCAAATACAGAACTCTTCTTAGCAGACATTTGCTTGGTTTAACATTTCCCTGAAAAAAGCCACAGGTCTTGAAAGATGTTTCACTTGGCACCCAAGACTCTCCCAGGAGAGCATTTCTTTCTAAGAAAACCACACAAGACTCAGTGGAAAAAACCTTTGATTCCAGACACAGAAAATGCAAGGGCAAAACGTCTTCTCTTCCTGACCCTCTGGCCAGAACAGGGCCAGGTTCAGAAGCTCTGCTGGTGGCTGTGACCTCTCAGTTAATGTTTGATGGCTGAATCAGAGAGGATTCCAGGGACACAGGCCAGCAGCGCTCAGCCAACATTCCAAGTGGAACAGCGGCCATGTACACAGCATTCCCCTGTCCCATCACATGGAAAAACAGCCCACGCACACCAAGTGGTTGGTCAATAGCAGGGTCCCAGACCCAAAGCTACCCTGAGCTGCAAACTCAGACATCTACACATCAAAGACATCTCCCTACACCTGTGAACCAGCAAACATGAGAAGTTACCTCTTTAGGGAGAAACAGTTTATGACAATCCACATCAAGTCCTGCTTCATTTCTTCAAAAACTGCCCTTCTGTTAAGAGAACAGCTGGCATTCCCCTGGCAAAAAAAAAAAAAAAAAAAAAGGTGAAATAAAAAGTCTACCCTGAATTAGCCAGGAGTGGTAGCACACGGCTGTAACCCCAACTACTTGGGAGGCTGAGGCAGGAGAATCACTTGAACCTGGGAGGCAGAGGTTGCAGTGAACTGAGATTGCACTACTGCACTCCAGCCTGGGCAACAAGAGCGAAACACCGTCTCAAAATTAAAAAAAATAAATTTTAAGTCTACCCAGTTAATTTCTACTTCTGCATCTGGCTTTTGACCTTGCTGCTAAACAGGCTTCTGTTTATCAGGACCCATGATTCTATATTGCCCTTTCACACAACACTACCCTCAGAGTACTGCCTTGTTACATATTCATTTTACTCAGCACAAAGAATTCCTTCAGCCACCCTGCCAAAGTGTCTAATGGCCAGTGGGCCTGGGTCATGTATGGTCACGTAACCAGCTTGAAGTACACCAGGGGAATTGGCAGAAGGGTGGTATGGGATGGGGTGGGACATAACTACTGTAATGGGGTGACCTGGGTCCACAAAAATGACATGCTGGAGTCCTAATCTGCAGCACCTCAGAACCTCATTTGCAAAAAGGATCACTGGAGATGCAGTAAGTTAAAGTAAGAGGAGGACACACTGCAGCAGGGTAGGACCATAATCTACCATGACTGGTATCCTTGCAAGAAGACAGAGACACTCAGGGAGGTCACATGCCCACCGAGGCCAGAGATGGCCCACAAGCCAAGGACCACCAGCAACACCAGGAGCTGCAAGAGCATGCAGGAAGGATTTTCCTTGGATCTTCCTCGGCCCTGCATTGATTCTTCATTTCTGGTCTCCAAAACTGGGAGACCATACATGTATTAGGCCATCCAGTTGGTGGCAACGTTGCTATAGCAGCCCAACACAGTAAGCTTGAACCCTACTCTTCCAAGGAAACTGCAGGTAGGAAAAGATCCCTCTGCTGAGCTCTGGCTCTGGGTGTCAACCTCTGCAGTCCCCTCCAGATGGTTACCAGGCTCAGCCCGGGTCCAGCATGTCCCCACTGTCTCCCTCCATGTGCTGTGAGAGTGTACAAGATCCAAACTCATGGACTTGATATTTTAGTGATGAAAAACTATTGTCCACAAATTCACACATATAAAAAAGCACATTTGTATATGCAACAGTTATCTATACACATGAGCATACATGCATTTACAGATCTTTTAAAAGAGTACAATTGTTATTGTGTATGAAATCACTAGGTAATTATTCTAAAACAAATAATTCTAAAAAAAGGTGGTGAGTGGGTTTCACATCAATAAAACAGATCCTGGAACAACAGTTTAGCCGGGACCCGAGGAGCCTGTGGCACCAAACCACAGAACGCATGTGAAAACATTACTATAATGAGCTCTTTCTCCATTCGCATTAATGACTCCTCCTGAATAATTAATTAAAAATTGTGTCGTGGCTTATTTTAAAGGAGAAAGATATACTTCAGGGAAGCCTGAATCCGAGAGCCAGCCATTCACCTGCTTTGAGGCTCACCTTCCAGATGTCTGAAAAGTAAACAAATCTTCCTTTACTTGGAGACTTCTCCAATATATCATTCAATGATTTATGCACTGGGGCTTCTCATTCACAGTGACTGCTCCCAGGTGGATGAAGACAAGCATTTCAATATTTAATCAAGAACTCAGTTTGATTTTTTAGGAATTCTACATTCTATCGCTATTATAAAATATAAGATACTTAAAATCATTGAGACTTTCCTTACATTTCCAAAAGGGAGAAAACTCAGTCCATCATCATTTATTAAGACAGCATATATAGCATAAGAAGTAAAATTTAATGTATTTGTATATGGTCAAAAGATAGAGAAATTTTAGACAATGCTAACCAATACTCATCATCCATTTAGTGTGAGAAAATCACCTGTTCACTTTACCTAATTAAGCAATGGCCATTTAAATACGTACATTAACATTCAACTTCAAGCTACTCCAAGCAGAAGAACCCTGCAGCCAGGACCAGCCACTGTTGTTGATCTGATTTTCATGTTTCCTAATTCATAACCTCCCATGACAAAGCCTTCTGAGCCTCCATCTCAGAATCAAGAAGGGCTTCTCTGGAAGTCATGATCTTCAGCAAACTAACACAAGAACAGAAAAACAAACACTGCATGTTCTCACTCATAAGTAGGAGCTGAAGAATGAGAACACACAGACACAGGGAGGGTAACATCACACATTGGGGGCTGGTGTAGGGGTGTGGGGGGAGGGAGAGCATCAGGACAAATAGCTATTGCATGCTGGGCTTAATACCTAGGTGATGGGTTGATAGATGCAGCAAATGACCATGGCACACATTTACCTATGTAAAAAGCCTGAATGTCCTGCACATCTTGGGACTTAAAATAAAATTAAGTTAAATTTTTTTTTTTTAAAAAAGAAGGGCTTCTAAGGGATGCAAGGTGTGGGTGAAAATTATTCAGCATAGTCAAGAAACCAGACAACTGGTGGCAACCTAAGCTGAAATGCAGATATTCCCTATCTACAAAAAGAAAGAAAGAAAGAAAGAAAGAAAGAAAGAAAGAAAGAAAGAAAGAAAGAAAGAAAGAAAGAAAGAAAAGGAACTTGGAGGACACAGCCAGGATTTCTACCTAGTCATCATTCATTTTACGTTTCATAACCTTGATGTCACATAACTGAAGTTTAATGGTAACGTGAGCCATTGTAGACAGTTCTATATATGACAGCTGTACACAGTATAGAGTATCACTGTGCTCCTAATCTCCTCTCAAAAAGACAGCAATTGGATGAAATAATGAGAAAAGGAAGAAAAAATCATGTTGCAATTATGCCTTTGAGTTTTCATAAACAGAAATTGTCAATATTTCTATCTAAAATAAAGACACGGTCCCAGGCCAAGTTGCAATTCCAAGGAACTCATTTACTGGGATTCCTTCCTGCCCATCTGCGGGCCAGAGGGATGGAAAAGAGCGAAGAGCAGAATAAAAGAGTCAGGGGATGTCCCAGAAATGTAAAATGAGAGGCGCTAACTCCAGGCTAGTCACCACTACCAAGGAAATCCATCTGCTTTTGTGTGCCTCTGTTTCTCTCTCCTTTTCACTGCAATGACCGTGCCCTGCTGAGAGAGACCCTCCTCCACCAAGTGCACCCTGGCAGCTTTTCCTAATCTGGCAGCAATGTTTATGGGGAGAAAGCAGAACCTTTCAATTGATGGTGTTACGGGTTCAAGAGTGCTCCTCCCAAGGGGTATACTGAAATCCTAATACCTGGCTCCTGAGAGTGAATCCTTATTGGGAAATAGGGTCTTTGCAGATGTAAACTGGTTAAGATAGGTCTGATCTAAGATAGGCTTAGGTCAGAGCTCTAAGCCAATATGACTGGTGTCCTTATACAAAGGGAAATTTGGACACAGAGGTGCACACAGGAAGAAGGCCATGTGGAAATGAAGGCAGAGATATGCATCATGCAGCTACAAGCCAAGGGACACCAAAGCCTGCCAGCAACCACCAGAAGCTAGGAGACAGGCACGGAACAGATCTTGCCTCATAGCCCTCAGGAGGGCTGCTTCCTAATACTTTGATTTTGGACTTCTCTTTTAGCCTTAGAGGAACTTTGTTATGGCAGCCAGAGCAAACTTACGCACATGGCTTGGGCTTCCTCTTTCTTCACTGACCAGAAACAGCATGAGCTATTTATCAAACCCATCCAGATCTGACCAGACTTGGACATCGTCCAGTGCCACTTGGGCAGAGAGAGGTGATGCCCAGTGTGGCATACACCTGGACCAGGCAGAAGTACAGGCTCTGCATGGACTAGGCAGACATATGGGCTCTGGCATCTTAAGAAGACATTCCCCAAGGTTTCAGAGGTCAGATTTTTTTCTTTTCTGGGTAACGAGAAAACTAGCTGAAGCACAATATTCTTTCCCTTCTCCATTTCTGTAAGTTGAGGCATTGCCATGCTGGCTGCATTTCATGGACCGAAATATATGTAAAAGACTAGTAACACTGGGTGAGTTTCATAGGCCCACCAAAACAAAGTACCACAAGTGGGGTGGCTTAACCAACACTTACTCTCTCACAGTTCTGGAATACAGAATTCAGAGATCAACGCACTGGTAGGGTTAGTTCCTTCTAAAGGTGGTGAGGGAGAATCAGTTCTGTCTCCTTGGCTTGGAGGTGGCTGTTCACATGGCCTTTTCCCTGTATGAGCGTGTCCAAATTTTCTCCTTTTCTAAGGATGCCACTCACCCTCCCTTTAAGTTGGTTAAGATCCCACCTCCAAATAAGCTCACAGTCCAAGATCCAAAAGGTTGGGATGTATTTAAATACATCTCCGTTGAAGTGGACCCAACTCAGCCCATTAACAAACAAGGACAGTGACTAATGCATGAAACCCAATCAGGGGCCATCCTTAACAATACTGGAGCCAGGGTTATGGGCTGTCTCATCCCTGCTTTCTTGGGCACACATGTCAGTAGAACATCAGAGCTCACATCTAAGAAGAATATCCTTGCACCACCAGGAGTGAGCCATGCTGATGGTTGTCTGGCAGCACTGTTCCTAAAGGACAAACTTGGCTCAAAGACTTCTGGGTATAAATATTTCCCATAAATTTGGAGTATTTCATGCATTATTTCTTTTCAAAAGCACTCTGTCAGTGTCTGTAGCTTTTGGCATTTAGAATCCAGTCTGGCCACTGAGCAGCTGGAAATGCATGTGGGCCAAAGGACTGTGAAGAAGTGGGCTTTCATTGCCATTCCCAATTAATGCCACCAGGAGGAAAAGTGCTCACAGCATTTTAGGAAGGAGATGAAAGGCAAAGATTTCTGCAAAGATTTCTGCATGGTCAAAAGGAACTTCAGTGGCAGAGGTGGTGTAGACTTGAGTCTTCTGAAACAGACCACTATACCCACTTTCTAAAATAAAGCAGGCCGGGCGCGGTGTCTCACGCCTGTAATCCCAGCACTTTGGGAGGCTGAGGCAGGTAGATAACGAGGTCAGGAGATCAAGACCATCCTGTCTAACACAGTGAAATCCCGTTTCTACTAAAATACAAAAAATTAGCCAGGCGTGGTGGTGGGCACCTGTAGTCCCAGCTACTCGGGAGGCTGAGGCAGGAGAATGGTGTGAGCCCGGGAGGCGGAGCTTGCAGTGAGCTGAGATCGCGCCACTGCACTCCAGCCTGGGTGACCGCGCAAAACTCCATCTCAAAAAAAAAAAAAAAAAAAAAAAAAGAAATGGCCAGTTCAGTTCCATGATGCCACCCCTGCATCTGTCACAGGTGACCCATTTGTACTGAGCAAGAGTAACATTTATCTTAATGCAGGCGTCTGGTTCTACTCAGTGCTGTTGACAGAGCTCTACTGCCACTTTCTGTCTCCCCACATGCTCCTTTCTCTAGGCTCACGCCTGGCAAAGTTGGTGACACTGACAATGTGTGCTTCTCAATACCAGTGCCACCTTTAAATGGCAGCATTCTGTGTGGGGGGTTACTGTTGGCATTTTAAGATTCTGGGTTGGAAAAATCACTTAAGCCCAATAGCTCAAGGCTGCAGTGAGCAATGATTGCACCACTGCACTCCAGTTTGGGCAACAGAGTAAGACCCTGTCTCCAAGAAGGAAAAAAAATTAAAACTTTCACCTCAGCACTTAACAAGGATGATTTACAAAAGAGGAACAGGAACTTTGTAAATGCTTTCTAATTATCATGGGGTAAAAAAGCAAGCATAAAAGTGATGACAGCACTTCTGTACAGCACGGTCATCCCCACTTCCTCATCAATCTCCCATTAGTGGAACCCATAGCAATGCTGGTAGAAAGGGCATGCATGGTCTAGGGTCAGCTTTCCCTAAATTCAATTTTGGAGAAAGTGCAGAGGCAAAGAGTTTTCTGTTTCTCTCTTAACAATAAAGTTATTAGACCAAAGCATGAAAGATTGCTGCTGTGTGATTCATGACAAGCATCAACTTCATATTTTTACCCTTAATACAAATTAGAGTCGCAGAGGGAAGAAGAGAACACTGCCTGAGAAGCTACACGGAGTCAGACCTGACCTACTGTCCTGCCCTTGGCACTGCCAGGCTGCACGACTGCTCAAGTGCCATCTCTTCACTTATAAAAAGCTGGGTCTGCACTGTCCACATCATATGTTAGGACTGTACCAGCCTTGGGAATAGAAAGCAGGGCTCCTCCACCACGGTGTATCTGGCGCTGGATGATTTCTTTTTATGAGGCTGTCCTGTGCACTGTGAAATGTTGAGCCCCACCTCTACTCATTAGATGCCAGTAATACCCACTGTCACCACAAAAATATGCCTCCAGACACTGTGAGATGTCCCTTGTGGGATGGGAAGGATACAAAGTCACCCACTTTGAGAAGCGCTATTCTAAAGGAATTCGGTATCAGTGTTTTCAGGCATCTAAAATCAAACCCAGGTAAGGCTGGCTCTTACAGAAGCTCACTATGCCTCCTACGAGAACTGCGGAACTCCCCACCCTCATCCATCAAGCCAGACTGTTTATCGGTCTGCTCTGTCCAAGAAGAGTAGCCGCTGGTCACATTTTTGATTTTTTTTTGAAATGGAGTCACCCAGGCTGGAGTGCACTGGCACGATCTCGGCTCACTGCAAGTTCTGCCTCCTGGGTTCATGCCATTCTCCGACCTCAGCCTCCCGAGTAGCTGGGACTACAGGCATCTACCACCATGCCTGGCTAATTTTTTTGTATTTTTAGTAGAGATGGGGTTTCACTGTGTTAGCCATGACGTCGTGATCTCCCTGCCTCAGCCTCCCAAAGTGCTGGGATTACAGGCCACATCTTAAACACATGCAAATTAAGTAACATTCACAATTCTGTTTCTCAGTCACAATGGCCACACTTTTCAAGTGCCCAAGAGCCGAATGTGGGGCCATATTCACAGGGCAGTCCTCTTGAAGGTGCCACTCTTGGTCACCCAAGACATTCCATACACCATGCATGTTTCTCTGAGACATCAGGAAAAGACTAACTGATGGGCAGATTCAAATGAACACTGGGCACATTTAAAAATCAAGGCCTCATAAAATAAGGATAGGTCTTTTTTTTGGTATTTATTTATTTATTTATTTATTTATTTATTTATGTTTTTGAGGCAGGGTCTTGCTCTGTCACCCAGGCTGGAGTGCAGTGGTGCAATCACGACTCACTGAAGGCTCGACTTCCTGGGCTCAACAGATTCTCCCACCTCAGCCTCCCAAGTAGCTGGGATTACAGGCGCGCACCTCCACGCCCAGCTAATTTTTAAATTTTTATGTAGAAACAGGGCCTTACCATGTTGCCCAGGCTGGTCTCAAACTCCTTAGCTCAAATGATTCTCTTACCTCAGCCTCCCAAAGTTCTGGGATTACAGGTGCTAGTCACCAAACCCTGGAGTCTTTTCTGTTTTTTATGTAGTGTTTTTCAAAGATCAAAGAACTAGATTTTCTAAAAACTGACCATCCCATGTTATACAAGCTTATAATTTTAAGAACTGTAATTTTTTTAACAGAAAGTCAAGAAAGGTGTTTATCCCAAGTTTACATGTAATTAATGAAAAAAGTATGAGCCCAAAAAACATGCAAATTGGCTTTAAATTATGGGAAAGTCCACATGGTTGACATGAATTCCAATTATTCATCCAAGCAAGGTATCTGTCACTGTCTTAATGACATGCATCAGCACATTACTCAGGTCAATCCCTCCTGATGGGTGTGGTTCTGAGTTTGTGCTCCCCAGTTGCCCAGGTCCATGCATAAACCTGTTCCTAGAGATTACACTGCCTGCAACAGTCCTGGCATCTACCCAACACATGCACTGCTTGGGAGAAAGCCTACCACTAGCCACCTCCACCCCAACACACACACAGGGCTGCAAGAACAATAAATGAGGGCTTCGAGCAGCATCTGATCTGCACCAAAACCTCTCCCCAGGTGTTTACAGCCTCAAACTGGAAACAACCCAAACACCCTTCCATGAGAAAATGGAGAAATCGACCTGGGTACGTCCATGCCATGAAAAGCCACTCAGAAAGAAAAAGGATCGAGCTATCGATCTGCATAACTGGGATGGATCTCACACATCAGGATGAGTGGATGAAGGCAGTCTGAAGACCATATGCTGTATGATTCCATTTACCTAACACGCTTGAAATGACAATATTGGCTGGGTACGGTGGCTCACACCTGTCCTCTTAGAAGTTTGGGAGGCTGAAGCAGGCAGATCACCTGAGGTCAGGAGTTCAAGACCAGCCTGACCAGCCTGGCCAACATGGCAAGACCCTGTTTGTACTAAAAATACAGAAATTAACAGGTGTGGTGGTGGGCGCCTCTAATCCCAGCTACTAGGGAGGCTGAGGCAGGAAAATTCTAGAGCCCAGGAGGCAGAGGTTGCAGTGAGCTGATATCATGCCACTGAACTCCAGCCTGGGCAACAGAGGAAGAACTCCATCTCAAAGAGAAAAAAAAAAAAAAAGAAATGACAAAATTACAGAGGTAGACAATACAGTGGCTGCGAACAGTTAGAGGAGTGGCATAAGGAAGTTTCCCTGTAGTTACGGAATAGTTCTGCACCTGGATTATGGTGGCGGGTGTATGAATCTATACGTGTTGTCAATTCCACATAACTTAGACAAATGGTCCCCGACTTACAATGACCTGACTTAGCATTTTTCAACTTTAAGATGGTGCAAAAGTCACACTCATTCAGCAAAAACCATACCTCAAGTACCCATGCAACCATACTGGTTCTGACTTTCAGTACAGTAGTATTCAATGTATTTTATGAGATAACACTATAAAGTGGGCTTTGTGTTGGATGATTTCGCCCAACTGTGGGCAAATGTAAGTGTTCAGAACGAGTTTAAGGTAGGGTATGATGTTTGGTAGGTGAGGTGTATTGAATGCATTTTTGACTTTAGTACTTTCAAATTATGATGGGTTTATCAGGACATATTCAAAAGACGTTCATTCCAGAAATAGAAGATTTTTCACTGAAAGTGGTCTGAAAGGATGCTCTTAATTCAAAGAGCTCCAGGTGTCATTGTAAAGTGGGTAAAAAAAAAAAACCCACCGAGATGTCAACTTCTAGGACCCATCCTATGGACGTCAGGATTCTCTCTACTCAGACTGGCGGCCACACAGACACTAGACTGAAGAAAGATGCCTCCGCAGAGGCCTGCTCACAAGCCATGCTACATCAGATGCTGCCAAAACAACCTGGTTCTGCTCTGTTTGGTTTTGTTTCAGAGACAGGGTTTGGCTTTGATGCCCAGGCTAGAGTACAATGGTGTGATCAGAGCTCACTTCACCCTTGAACGAGCAAACTTAAGCAATCCTCCCCACTCAGCCTCCCAAGTAGCTGGGACTACAGGCAGACCCCACCATACCTGGCTCATTTTTAAATTTTTGGTAGAGATGAGGTGGGGAGTCTCACTATGTTGAGCTGGTCTTGAACTCCTGGCCTCAAGTGATGCTCCCACCTCAGCCTCCCAAAGTGTTGGGATTAGAGGCATGAGCTACAGCACCTGGCTGGAGTTTGCTTTAAATGGGGGGTTGGGGTGGAGCTCTCTGAAGAGGGAGTTCTTGGATGGGGTGAGAGAGACCAGGCTGCAGACGAAACAAGTGCAAATATCCTGTGGTAAGAATGAACTGGGCCCAAGGGTGGAAGACCAGTGGGCATGACGACAGAAGCAGGGGGTGGCAGATCCCAAGCACAGAAGATTTTGCAGCCCGTGGAAAGGAGTTAGGTCCTACACACACCCCGCACCCTATAACCTCTTCCTCACCCATCATCAGGCTTAACTTAAAAAGGAAATCTGACCATTTTTCTGCTTAAAACTCCCACAAGAGCTTCCTGTCACATCTAGAACAAAACCCAGTGAAGCTTTGCTCAGAAGAGAAATGATGCTGGCTGGCTAGCAGTGGAGATGAGAGGAACAGGAATCTACAGGATCCTAAGGTGTTTGATGAAACTGAGGGACCCATGAAGGGGGCACCAAGGAGAACTCCTAGGTTTGGGGATAGAAAAAGACAACTCACAGCGTGTTGCCACCCCTGGGATGCAGGAAGGCTGAAGAGACTCCTGTGTGGCTACTGACTTTGAAATGTCCATTCCGTCTCCAAGTGGGGTGTCATCTAGGTAAATATACAAATCTGGTTCACAGATACGGAGGCAAGTCTGTGGGTGTTCGTATAAGCACCATCTGAAAGTTATGGGCCCGTGCATGAGCATACAATGCAGGCTTCTCAGCATCGACACTCCTGACATTGCACCACATAGTCCTCTGTGGTGGCCCGTCCTGTGCACTGGAGGAGGTAAGAAGTATCCCAGGGCTTCACCCACCGAATGTCAGTAGCACCTCCCTCTCCAGCTATCACAGCCAGAAATGTCCCCCAGGCATTTCCAAATGTCCCTGAGATGGCACAATCACTGTTGAGAACCACTGGTCAAAACTGTAAGCCAAGGATAAAACCCTGAGAGGAGGAGGAGCAGCCAGCCAGAGAGAGAAGTGCCCACAAGAAAGGAGGAAATTCAGGCTGGCGCCCTGTCCTGCTGCTGGCTGCTGGTGACAAATGTCACAAAATGCTCAAAATGGACAGCATGCTGACCACCAGAGCATGCTGAGATAGAGCAAACTCACGCCCTGGACAAGCATGGAGCCAACCAGAGAGACCTCCAGGGACAGCAATGCATGCAAACCCTACAGTGATGTCAGCTTACAATGAGGAAGCAGAAGTGGAGAGGCATTCTTTTATAATTTTTTTAAGAGACGGAGTCTCACTATGTTGCTGAGCCTGTTCTCAAATTCTTGGGCCCAACGGATCCTTCTGCCTAGACCTCCCAAAGTGCTGGTAAAAGAGGCAAGAGCCACTGGGCCCAGCACAGAGAAGTCATTCTGAAACCACACAGGTGTGTCCACTGCACAGTCTCTCTGTTGGCAGGCCTCAGGTAACAAACCAGACTGAACCCCACAACAGCAGCAAAATATGTGGGTCCTTTGTGAATTTTCTTTGAAGAAAGTCCTGTTTTCATATTTGTGTAACATTGTCCCAGTGGAGGAAACCTACAGGGGGTAGCTGGCACTTGGGTTGGCCTGAGAACTTAGGAGAGGAGGAATAGAAAGAGGTTCGAGTGGTACCAAAGGCAATGGATGGGGTAAGATAGAGGTGCTGAGGTTTCTAAAAATGTGGGGTGATGCTCTCAGTGCTCAGGAAAAAGGATGTGGCCTGGAAGGAGACAGAAGGTGGTCAGAACAGAGTGCCCCATCCAGCCAACAGAAGAAGGGGCCACCTGGGCAAGACGGCCCTGCAGACTGCAGATGGCACTGTCTATACTGAACAACCGACTTGGGTGGGACACCAGCATCCCCTAAGCTGGGGCAGACATTAACCCTCATAGGCTGAACCATCTGGGGTGAGGAGGGTTGATCCCAGGGGAGGGGACAGGACAGTCAGAACATAGGGACCCGTGAAGAAGCAGCTCCGCACCCAACCAGTACAGGCCAATTTCACTCTTCTGGCCACTGCTTTAAGAACAGCCGCAGGGGCAGTGCACGCTGGCTCCACAAGTGCCCTAGTAACAAGAGTTACAAGACCGGGAAGCCAGGGTCTTCCCTGTCAGACATGCTAATGCACCAGCCTACACCCCCCACCCAGTTCTGGGCCATAAGGTAGTGAGGTACAGGGGCAGCTCATAGAAAGATCATGGAAACTACATTTCCTGCCTCTCTTTGCCATTTTCTCTAAGCTTATTAAGGGCATACACCCCTTGCAGAGGATGCTGAGAACTTGTAACGGTGTGAAAATCCTAACAAACTCCCATGATGCATCAGATGCCCTAGCCCTTCCCCATTTTATCTTGCTCCTCCAGCATTACTGGACACACGTGTGATATTTTAAAAGGAAAGCACAAAACAGAAGAACAGAGTTCCAGGCCCCATTGTGCTTCCACTTATTTGTAAGAAACCCTCCCTGGACTAGTTTCCTCGGCTGTGAAATGAAGGTTTTACACTATTTATGAGGTTTCATCCACATCAAAAAGTCTGGGATACCATTTTCCTGTTGATTTCCTGTGTAAATTCTAGAGGAAAACACATAACAAAGAACTTACAAAACAACTCTGGAGGGAAAACGATTTGTCCTGCAGCCAACCGAGCACTGGAATACATATAAAAGGTGCAATATTTTTGCCATAATGATTAATATTTTCAACTCTAGAGAAGTTGTACCATAAAAGCAACATGAGACACCTAAAATACGTTTTTGGAAGCCACGAATCATGACAGAGAAGCTGTGGGTTCCTCCTGATCCCTTTTCCTTTCTTAGTAAACCCTGAGTTAGTCGGGCATAAAGCCAGACTCTGACTAATATATGTACCAGTATAAGCATCAATGGTACTATAGTGCCAGAGGATTCTGAACCACTTCATTTGCTCCAGGGTTCAAGTTCTATAAAAAGAAGCTACTGTTTCCTGTATTACCAATATCAAACAGCATGTTTATTATATATTGATGTGTATTTAGTAATGCACTTTAAAATCCTTGAAATCAGTGGTTCTAAAAGAGAGGAGATTTTGACCCCCAAGAGACACAGGGCAATGTCTAGAAACATTTTTAGTTGTCAGGATTCAGGGAGGAATGCCACCGGCATCTAGGTTAGCATCTGCCAAAATTTCTACAATTCTACAATTCTACAGAGGGTATACCATATACCAGCGGTGCCCAACCTTTTTGGCACCAGGGACTGGTTTTGTGGAAGACAATTTTTTCCACCAACAGGGGGTGGTGGGCAGGGGGAGGTTTCAGGATGAAAGTGTTCCACCTCAGATCATCAGGCATTAGTTACATTCTCATAAGGAGCATGACACTTAGATCCCTCACACATACAGTTTGCAATAGGGTTCACACTCCTATAAGAATCTAATGCTGCTGCTGCTCTGACAGGAGGCAGAGTTAAAGTGGTAATCGCTCACTAGCTCACTGGCCCACATGCAGCTCACCTCCTGTTGTGCAGCCTGGTTCCTAACAGGCCATAGGCCAGTACCTGCTCTATACTTTTATTTTTCAAAGGGTTGGCAATCCCTGCTCTACACTTTTATTTTTCAAAGCACTTTATTCTTCACAAAGTAATACACATATAAAGTTTTAAAAAGTAAGTGCAGGTGAAGCAAAAAGACTCCTTTTATTAATTACAAGTCTTTCAGCATCATCTATCCCCATTTTCACTTCCCAAAGCAACCACTTTCAAATCTTAGAACTATTTTTGGTGATGGTGGTGTTCCCTGTATATAGACTTCCATGGTTTGTTTGTTTGTTTGTTTGGAGACAGGGTCTCACCGTCACGCAGGCTGGAAAGCAGTGGCACTGTAATAGCTCACCGCATCCTTGACTTCCTGGACTCAACCAGTCCCCCCTCTCGGCTTCCTGTGTAGTTGGGACCACAGGGGCATGCCATCATACTAGGCTAATTAAAAAAATTTTTTTTAGAGACATGGTCTCACTGTGTTGTCAAGGCTAGTCTCAAACTCCTCAGCTCAAGCAATCTTCCCCCTCTGGCCTCCCAAAATGTTGACACTACAGGCATGAGCCACCACACCCAGCCAAACTTCTATGTTTCTAAATAATTTGCTGATGATACTCCAATTAAGAAATCGATTTTCGATACCACTTACTGATTTTCATACATACAGTAAGGACTTTTGTTTTTCTATATTCCCACGGCCAATTCTGTACTGACCTTCCCATTTTCAATGGTAAGTTTTCAATATTCTCATATAACCTGGTTTTGGCTATATCATATATTACACATGTATTTTCACAATATTATAAATGGGCACTACTGAGCAGTAATCATTTCTTTCTTATATACTTTTTGCATTCTCCTGGAGTTGTCAGTTGCCTTTGTTTTTATTCCAGTCTTTTGTGTACCATTTGATAATTCTTTCAACACTCTCTAACAGTCTCAATTACACTTTTCACAGGACCAAAACTCTCAGATAATTGGTCAGTGTTTCCTTTCTCCACCAACACCCTCCCCATCCCTCCCACCCCTAACCAATAAACTCACACCAGACTTTCCTTTGGAAATTTCTTGTTTCCTGCTCTAGTCTGTAGTCTGTACTGCAAGAGCCACTGCCCTGAAAACACCCAACGTTTGAGAATTCCTTCTTCCTTTATCTGCAGGATCCTAAACCTCCCTCATACTGGGTTAACTCCCTCACTTTGGTGGAATATATTCTTTATTAGTTTTCTAAGAATTTCCATGTGAAAGTTAATTTTTACTGATATCCTCAATGTGGACAAACACCTTTATTCTACCCTTAATTAACAATTAATGATGAATAACTAATTATTATTATTAATTGATGTGAATAACTTCAAAATTTGAAGGAAATCATTAATTAACAATTAGGACAGGAACAACTTCAAAATTCTCAGAGTAATATTATTTTCAAAGAAGTCCATGTTAGGTCTTTTTTCTGACTTCTAGTGTTAATGTTAAGCAATCTGATGTAATTTTGATTCCAATATCCTTCATTTGCTTTTTTTGAAAAATTCAGGAAAGTGACAGATCTTAATATTCTAAGATGTTATGATGATGAGCTTTGATGCGGTATAATATTTTGATGTGGTTAATTTGTATGCATTGTTTTGTAGTTCCTGGTGTGAAATTTCTTTCTTCTTCAGATTTAAAATATTTTTCCCTCTCTTCCCTGGAATTCCAACTAGGCAAATGTCTGAATTGTTCCTCTGGTCAAGTAAAACTTTCTGCACTATATCTTCCTTTTCTAATAAGGTACGCACTGGACACAAGTGGCTACTGAACATTCAAAATGTGACTAATGTGACTGACAAACTGAATTTTAAATTTTACTTAATTTTAGTTAAGCTTAAACAGTCACATGCCGCTAGTGGCTGCCATATTAGAACAGCACAAATACAACGACTATGACAAAAATGCTTTAAAAACAGAAAAATCAGGTCTGCCTTCAGCACCAACTCTCAGGTGACATTCCACTTAGTTTCAGAGGAAAAAATTTAGTATAATTTCCATATCCCACCATTACTATTTTCATAATAATTCTATGATTTTATTCCTTATGGTTCCTTGCAGGAGCTCAAGGACCTTGTAGAATGGTTATCACATAAGCAGGAACATCCCTTTGTGCATAAACATGGGTCTTATGCCCCCGAACTATGAACAATGCTCATTTCCACTTTGGGGAGCTACTGAGGTACTTAGGAAAAGAGTAATATATAGGCTAATAGAATCAAGCACCAAACACCTAAAATGAACAGCAAGGCCCCTGACAGCAACTTCCTTGTATGGCAAGCCAACTACTCCATGTGTCTTTCCACATGCTGTGGTAAGAACCAGTTCTTCTGTATACTGGATGCTCTAGAGGAAGCTAGGAGGCCAGCCAGGGCATTCTCCTTGAATGCTTTTATTCATTCCATAAATACCGCAGATAAAACAAATCCTTTTCCAGGCATTCTAGTGCCAAGAACCTAGATAGAAAGTAGAATAAAACCAAACTGCAAATCTTCTGTATACCCATTTCAAACCACATGAGCCTATCGTTCTATCCACATGACTGGGAATCACTTTTCAATACAGCTTTCATATGGTTTGGCTCTGTTGTCCCCACCCAAATCTAATGTCAAACTCCAATTTCCTATGTTGGAGGTGGGACTTGGTGGGAGGTGACTGAATCATGGAGGCAGTTTCTAATGGTTTAAAATCATCCCTGTAGTGCTATCTTGTGACAGAGTTCTCATGAGACCTCATTGTTTAAAAGTGTGTAGTGGCCAGGCATGGTGGCTCATGCCTGTAATCCCAGCACTTTCAGAAGCAAATAACTTGAGGTCAAGAATTTGAGACCAGCCTGGCTAACATGGTGAAACTCCCTCTCTACTAAAAATACAAAAATTAGGTGGGTGTGGTGGCGGATGCCTGTAGTCCCAACTGCTCACGAGGCTGAAGCAGGAGAATCGCCTAAGCCTGGGAGGTGGACGTTTCAGTGAGCCGAGACTGTGCCACTGCACTCCAGCCTGGTGACAGAGCAAGACTCTGTCTCAAAAAACAAAGTGTGTAGCATCTCTCTATTTCTTTCTCTCTCTCTGTATCTTTCTTTCTCTCCCCACCCCCATCTAGAATACAGCAAGCATACAATAGGTTTGTATTTAAAACAAATACACAACAAAATCAAAAGCCAAAGAAAATCACTTTTTTTCTATGACAAAGAGAAACAGACATAGTAACACTGTATGTAAAGGGAAACAAATATTCAGGAAAAATCATTCATTTTTCTATGTAAAGATTAACGGAGAAATGTCTTAGTCTACTCTTTAGATAAGTCATTTCATATCCAGTAGTTCCTATAGAACATGGAATCTTTTTATGCTTGTAGCATTTACAAATTCAGGGTTAAACATACGAGCTATTCAAATAAGGAGAACAGCAGACACTAAAGACGCACAAACTTGACTTCCTCTTGTGAGGCTTATGTCTTATGAGGCTTAATAAAAAATACTGCACTTTTCACTGGGCACGGTGGCTCACACCTGTAATCCCAGCACTCTGGAGGCCAAGGTGGGTGGATCACTAGGTGAGAGGTCCAAGACCAGCCTGGCCAACATGGTGAAACCCCATCTCTACTAAAAATACAAAAATTAGCTGGGCGTGGTGGCGGTTGCCTGTAATCCCAGCTCCTCAGGAGGCTGAGGCAGGAGAATCACTTGAACCTGGGAGGCAGAGGATGCAGTGAGACGATATCATGCCACTACACTCCAGCCTGGACAACAGAGTGACACTCTGTCTCAAAAATAATAATAATGATAATAATAATAATAATAGTGCACTGTTGTACAACTAACTGGCAAAATCACTACTTCTAAATAAAATACCGACAAAGTTTTAACAAGCTATCAGTTGCATAGTATGTTTCTAAGCATTTGCTATTATTTAAATTACAGTGATAAAATAAATTTTGTGTCATAAAACTAATCTTTAGAGGGAGAAACTAATCTTTAGAGACAAAAAAAATCACATGTAAAGATAATACATTTTAAGTAGGATAAAATGATCTTTCAAATTCATCAAATTGTCAATCAAGAGCAATTCAAATCTCTCCCCACAGATCCAACTCCAATCTTTAGAAAGATAATCCTCACATAATACAAATCTATTTTTTGTTCACGGATAACATACTGCATCATGAGGTAGAAAAGAATCCTAATTAATCTCTCCCTTGTGTCTCAAAGCGCTGTCTACATTTTGCATGAGGACGAAGCATGATTCTAAATGTAATTGTCAGGCACTTTATTTATTCACTGTAGTTATGATAAAAGTTTCTGAACACCATATGGTCCTGCTATTCACACTTCAGTTTCCACCATTTGCAAAACACATCTGACTCCCTCTTCACCTGGAAAGGTCAATTGTATTAGCTTCAATATCATATAACAAAACAGCCAGCAAATCCCTTTGGCAAAGCCATTAAACACAAGCAGACAAATTTATTCACTTACCTTAGCACCTTACAACCTAGGACATCAATGCCTATAAAGAGGAAAAAAAATGATTAGCCAATTCAGGAACTGGGTGCTAATGCACACACATATACAACATGTACGTGCATGCACACACAGGCACATGTACATGTCTATTCAAAAACCAAACTTGCTCCAACTGCCACCCTCCATATTCAGACCATCAGGAAGAGCTGCTATGGGCAGCTGCACACGTATCAACCACACAATGTTCCACTTTCACTCCAGAGAACATGTTTCTGTGCTCATTCTAGCAGAAGAAATTAGCACTCACAGAAAACCCGGATGTCACTCTTCCGGCCACAGTGCTCCTGTCTCCGTTGCAGTATAAGTCTCCTGGACTTCTTCTCTGTAGCCTATTTGGGTGGTGGTGAACAGTTCCCCAGTTCTCTCCTTCTGCATTACTCTGTACCACCAAACAACCCCAACACTCATATAAATACTGGAGCTTCACTCTACTCATAAAGACACTCTGGAACTCCTACAAGGCAGAGACCCGAAGTAGCCAGCTTTCTGATTCTCACCCCTCTGGAAATGATTGTCTTCATAATGACTTCTAAGCCCCAACCTTTACCAAGAGTGGAAATGTTTTAAAAAGGTGATAGGTGGGGGGTGTCAAATGTCCTAATGATGAGTCATCGGGAATTCTGTTCTAGCCTACACCGAGTGGGTCAGCCCTGGCCCCAAGCATTTAGGCCTGTGTTCCCAACTGTGGATAATTGTGCCCCCTCCAAGAGACATTTGACAATGTCTGGAGATGTTCAAGATTGTCATAACTTGGGGTGGATGATGTTTCTGACATCCTACATTGCCCACATTGGTAAGAATGACATAGTTCTCTGGGACTTGTGTATTTCACTTTGGGTGGTGGGAGGAATTAGGAGGACCTGATTGTGCAGGTGTCATCTGTCAACAACAGGAGGTGGGATGAACATACATAAGAGGTTTTCCACCCCCAAAGAACCCCAGCAAATCAGCTTCACAAATAGCCCTGCAATCTGTCTACACCTGCTTAATGAACACTGTGTAATCTGTCTAGACCCACCCCTCATCTTTGGTCTAGGCTAGTAGCAACGTCCCTTAAATGGTTTCCCATTCCCCAGCCTGGCACCCTGTGAGAAAACCCATGTGTCCATCTCTTAACAACTCTCTGCTACAATGGCCCACCTCACCCTCTGTGACACCTTACCAGTTGTCCACGCAGAGGTAAGTCTTCCAGGTACGAACCTCTGATTCCAGAATGAAAGTAAGAAGCAACACAGGGAGCTTGGCCTCAGAGCCTTTTCTGGTTGTGACATGAACAGATCCTGTCACTCTATCTGAGATGCAGCTGGCCTGACAACAAACAGCATGCATTCTGGGCCAGAAGGACTGCGGGGGAATCACCACCCACCCCATGCCAGCGATAGTATTCTTGGGCCAGATGTCTTCAGTACCTCCTGTTCTCACCTGTACAGAGAGGATAACTGAACTCTCCCAACAAAGTTAGCAGATGCCATCATTCACACATGGAAAGAGCACAGAATCCCCCTGGCATGCAGAGAACACTATACCAACATCGCCTAGAATTGTCTTTGTCATGAAACTCCACAGGTGACAGAACTAGTTTGCAATCTTGTCAGTTACTAGGTGTGGGATCCCAGACAAGAACCCATGAGTCTCATAAAAATGGGATGAAGGATATCTAGGTTAGGCAGACGATGGAAGGAATAGAGATATTACATGTAAAACACAGAGCCTACCATCTGGCTCATCAAAGCAATAAACTGGAGGGCATTTTTGTCAGCTATGATTAACAGAGAACAACTGGGACTGCTGCACTGATGATAGAAGAGGTTGCAAATATTTCCTTTGTATAATTTGAGAAATAACTAAGCACTCTTTCTGCAGCAATGTGTTATACATGTTTCATGGGACACAAAAAAAACTTTTACTTCCAATACCTCATTTTCATTTCCTGCTTTTCAACAAACATTATGAAGGATATTCAGCTGGGTGTGGTGGCTCACCTATAATCCCAGCACTTTGGGATGTTGAGGAGGGCGGATCACTTGAAGTCAGGAGCTGGAGACCATCCTGACCAACACAATGAAATGCTATTGTCTCTACTAAAAATATAAAAGTTAGCCATGCATGGTGGCACACACCTGTAATCCCAGCTACTCGGGAGGCTAACACAGGAGAATGGCTTGAACCCAGGAGGCAGCAGTGGCAGTGAGCCAAGATCACCCCAATGCACTCCAGCTTGGGCAACAGACTGAGACCCTGTGTCACACACACAAACACACACACTCACACACACACACACACACACACACACGAAGTATATTCAAGGCTATGAGGGGTTTAGAGGAAACTGTTCCTCAGCAGTAACGGAGATATAAAAGAATTTCCACTACAAGCCTAATAATTTTTTTTATTCCAGTAAAATTCGATAATGCAGGAGCTCCATTAATCATTATGAATCTTTTCTAAACTCATATTAAGGAACTTTATCATTCAGTTCTGAATGTTAAATTCGGCTGCTTTTAAGACTATGTATCATAGTAAATTTAATAGAGTATTCATCATAATAAATTTAGAAATATACTTTGTCCTGATATACTTCAACAGGAAGCAGCTAGATTAGCATAAGATGTCGTTAAAATACCGGAATTCAAAAGTTACTGCAAACCAACAACCTCCATGAAGCCACAGCACTCTCCTCTACTGAAACACTTTTATCTCCCCGCTAAGGAAAAGAAGAGAAAAAAGTTGGCATGGCTTCCAAAAGCACATATAAAATAGCAAAAATAAAGTAATTCGGTGAGGAAACTGTGGCCAAGAGAAGATCATGCTAAGACAAAGGAGATAAAGCTGATAAGGGGAAGGTGGTACCCAAAGTTTGCAATCAGACAGAACCTGCAATCACTTGGAAGGTAACTGTAAAACTGATTCAAATTTCCTAGACCTCAAAGAAGGAACTATAGTTAGATTCTGGATTCACAGTATCTAAACAATAAAGAAGATACAAGTATCCGAAACACAGCTCCTAGACTTCTGACACGTGCAAAATTTCTCTCAGAAAGAGGAAGTTGTACACTGCATACAATGCTATCCTCAGTAAACACACAAGACAGTTCCTTGGGATACTTCTTCAAATAACCCCCAGTGTGTGATAATTGTACAACACCAAAGTCTAGCTACGTAAACCAAATTTATAAGTCAGTAAACAATACAGAAGTGTACAGACCTCGCTGCAGCCTGGTTTACTCCAGGGACATATCTTAGAAGCTCTCAGAGTCCCAGCTGGGCTGCTGGTCTCTTGTGGGTTGCAGAAACACCACTGCAATATATTGTAAACACCTGGTCATACCAATAAATGTATCACTTCTAAAGTATTATTTTTAATGGTTGGCTAGTAATCATACGGCTAGATCCTGCTGTACTACCCAATCTTTCACCACTATGTTCACCCCCTTGAAACTGCAAGTAACATGGCAAAATACAATTAAAACCAATTTTTAAGTGTCAAAAAGTTTCACAGATCACCTAGATAAAGAAAGCAAGCTGCACTTTTATTATGTAAAATTATGTAATCTTTCAGGAAAAAATACCAAATGACAAAAATACAGAATGACTGTAAATTCAGCAACACCTTTAAAATAATATATGTTTCTATTAATCACACTCGTGTCTACAGAGACATCCGCAAAATGCTTGAGACAATTGACTTCAGTGTATCAACAATGCCCAGTGGGCCTGTGGACAAATTTCCAGATTTCTGGAGAAATAATTACAAAACATCTAGCTTTAAAATTGTTTCACAGATTTGACTGGGAATCCCAGGAAAAACTTAATAAGCTAATGAAGGCCGGGCACAATGGCTCACACCTGCAATCCCAGCACTTTAGGAGGCTGAGGCAGGCAGATCACCTGAGGTCAAGAGTTCAAGACCAGCCTGACCAACATAAAGAAATCCCATCTCAATCCCTTAACAATTTGGCTCAAACTTCCCTTGCGGCACTGACAGTAACATGCTTTGTCCTCCACTGTTGTGCTATCTCACTTCCCACTAATGATGCTTCAAACTTCAGCCTGGGCTGAAATCAAATTTAGTCTTCAAGTCAGGGCCTTGGAAGTGTAGAATAAACAGCAATGTCTTGGTTGGCAGGGGGCTGTGATGCACACTGTAGGATGTTTAGCAGCATCCTGGGTCTCTACAGATCCTGTGATAGCAAGGCCTGTATTTCTGCTGCTCTTGACTTGAGCAAACACCTAATAATTAATAGGAGTTTGGAATACTGTTAAAAAATTCACAACAGCATTTACACACGCTTCTTAGGATGTTAGGTGGAAGTATCTGTTGGAGTAATTTGCCCCAATTCCTTGTAAAACTCCCCCTGCTAGGCCCTACCAGAATGTTAAGTGGGGGCAGAGGAGGAGAGGGCAGGTAAACTTGCAATTGTTTTTACCTTCTTAAGAACAGCAGATTATCCTTATAAACATAACGAGTTTAAGCCTCAGCAACATCTGCAGAGAATGTTCTGTGTTCAGCTACTGTCACAAAGGCTGGTGGACTCTCCATATGTGGATGATAATCCTTTACCCCTGTTTCTTGGCTGTGTTAAGAAGCGAGGATATATCACTGTCAATTTTGATACTGGAACTTTTGGGTTTGGTCAGAATTTTCTATCACCTGTCCTGACACTTGGCACAAAGAAGATTTTAGACAAGCTCAATCAAATAGTTTATTTAAAAACAAGCATCAACAGAGAGTCCCATACACAGCTTGGACAATGTCCCTTACACCCCTGACCCATTGAATGAGAGCCACTCAGGGGCAGGAGCAGTCACTTGCACAACCACAAAATGAGGGGTCACACTCTGACAGCTCTGCCTCCTCTTTCTCATGGCCTCCTGTGTGAGGGCTGAGATGCCCTACTCAGTATGTGAGCCAGCAAGAGGAATGAGGGGACGGAATGGGGGAAGATGATGAGGAGGGGCAGAGGGAAGAGCCGAGTCTCTGTGAATAAGGAAAATACCCCTCTGATTTCAAAGTCACCCTGCTGCCTTGAAAAGTAACAATCACACAGGGCTTGGATATAGCTAAGCTCATGACAGCCACCGCACAGAGATTCCTGGCTGGCTAATTTCCCCTTCCTTCCCCTCAACAACAACAGACTTACCCATAACACACTCACATGCACATCCAGAAGAGCCACAGAATCAAATCCAGGGAGGAACTGAGGGTGACCAGCAGGCATGGGTGGCCAGAATCCCAACACAGGGATTTGTGTCCAAGGCCCCCATTTTCTATGCCTCCACAGCAATGGGGAAGCCACCTCATGCATTGCAAGCTGCACTCTCCTTGTTGGTCCACAGAGATGGTAATGCCCATCCTGCCTCCCTCACAGGGAAGAGTCCAGGGCAGGCAAGATGAAGGTGTTTTGAAAACACACAGAGCACACACAAATGTTCAGTATGGTGACACGTGGCAGGAGACAGACCACAAGGGCTGGCAGTCACTCCCCCTGCGAGGCTGATTCTTCCCTCTCTGCAGCACCCAGGGATCGAAGACTGAGCTGTCATGTGATTCACACCATGCTGTGAATCCAGCTGCTATCCACTCTTGCTCCAGTTCTTCCAAAGTGGGAGGAAGGGCCATGGCAGAGTTTTCACAAGCTCAGATCATGATGAAAATGTCCAAAGAAAGACACACTGCCCACAGTCTTCATCATGGCCCTGCCTCCTTCAACTCTAACACCCCATTCTGAAAGAAAATACTGTGGAAGTAGAGCTACTAAAATGCTATGTTTACATCTATCTATATGCTCCAGGAGCATCCCAAGACAGTTATGTTGCTGCCAGCTGTAACGGTGTCAGAATAGCTTCCAGGAGCAATTCATTCAGAAATAAATCATCCAGTGTCAGGACAGGGTGAGTGGTGCCAGACAAGTACAGCATGATAGGGATTGCCTGAGGGTAGGAGAAGCACAGCTGGAAAGGATCAAAGCAGGATCAAAGCCAGAAGCCAGTCCATTCAGAATTTTTATCACTTACCAAGTCACTTATCAATTTTGATCATCTATCAAATAAAATTACAGGCAAGTTTCCAAAATTTAACCAGCCAAAATTCATACTACCAGTAATAAATTTTAACCCAAAAAGTTCACTGTACCACCAGAGCCACAACCATCCACGGCAATGACAAAACTGGTCCCCACACTGCAAGAAACCCAAAACTATCTTTCTCCTTCCTAACTTGAAAATGCTATTGCAAAACCACTGTCATCTGCAATCTAAGAGAGCACCATCTAAGAATATACGGCTTTTGCGGGGCTCAGTGGCTCACACCTGTAATTCCAGTGCTTTTGGAAGCCAAGGCAGATGGGTCACCTGAGGTCAGGAGTGCCAGATGAACCTGGCCAACATGGCGAAACCGCATCTCTACTAAAAATACAAAAATTAGCCCGGTGTGGTGGCACACACTTGTAATCCCAGCTACTTGGGAGGCTGAGGCAGCAGGATCGCTTGAACATGGGACGCAGAAGTTGCAGCGGACTGAGATTGTGCCATTACACTGCAGGCTGAGTGACAGAGCAAGTCTCTCCTCTCTCTCTCCCCCGCTCTGTCTCTCTCTCTCTCTCTCTCTGTTCCCCTCCCTCCCTCCCCCTCTCATACTAATGGCTTCAGGCTGATCAATTTCAAACCATTCTTATGTGAAAAGGGTGAATTATTAGAAAATGCCTTGAGAATATGATATAGGACCAAAAATCCTCATTCCCCACCCCTAGTTTTACCAATCCTCATACCAACACTATCTATGGCTGGTTTCTTAAGTGTCACTGATCCTTGTATGCCCACTAATTCCATTTAAAATACTCACTCTATACATTCTTTTCAGAATCAAGAAGAAAGGTAGTCCTACATACTCAACAATGATGTTTATACCTAGACAAGTAAAATATAAAGGACACTGTCTTTTAATATTAATTTTGACAAGAAATGTGAGCCAGCTTCCATCATTTGGATATGAAAGAGTGCATCATTATTTTCACAAAACCAGAAAGATTTCTCTGATAGAATTCATCATCACGTCTTTATGAGTTTGTGCTGACTGTCACATAAAGGGGGCTGTGAGACATATGGACCTGAAGACTATTACACACACACCTGAAGACTTTAATGATGAGGTTTGCAGAGGAGACCTCAGGCTAGTGTGCCCAAGAGGTGGAATTCAGACTTCTTTCCAGTTAAGTTAAAATTCTGGAGGCAAAAACGTTTATTCCTCTGCACACTTGAAAGCCTGGCTGCAAGCCACACACACGTTACACATCCAATCCCTTCCCTCTATAAACTGAACCACATCTGTGCATAACTTCATTGCCTTATAGGGGACTGGAAGATTCCTCCCTGTCTGTCAAATAATGACAAACATAACATCACTCACACATGCATACCAGGCAAAGCATTCTTGACAATGAGGGTTTCCTAGCTCCTTTTTAGGGGAAAAGTTGGGTAAGAATTCAAGTGGGATGTTTTTTGGAAGCCTGCGTCTGCAGTGCAGTGAAAAGATAGAAGTCTTCTACACAGTGAAAAGACAGAAGTCCATGTCCCTTGCTTCTTAAAAATAATAATAAAAGTACTTAGGCCAGGCACAGTAGCTCACTCCTGTAATCCCAGCACTTTGGGACGCCAAGACAGGTACATCACCTGAGGTCACACATTTGATACCAGCCTGGCCAACATAGTGGAACCCCGTCTCTACTAAAAACACAAAAATTAGCCAGGCCTGGTGGCAGGCACCTGTAGTACCAGCTACTCAGGAGGCTGAGGCAGGAGAATTGCTTGAACATAGGAGGTAGAGGTTGCAGTGAGCTGACATGACACCACTGCACTGCAGCCTGGGTGAAAGAGCAAGACTTCATTTAAATAAATAAAGTAAATAAATAAATAAGTGTACTTAATGTTGACCAGATGCTCACCAAGCCATGTTCTAAGCGCTTTCACATGTATCAGCTTTTAAAGTGATTCCACCTATACAAGCTCCCTAAAGTTGTGAAAATCAAAAAAGCAGAGACTGGAATAGTGGTTGCTGGGAGCTGGAGGCAGGGGAAACAGGGAGGGGTGAAGAGGGGAGATCCATTTTGGATATGTTTTTTACTAGAATTTTTTAAATGCTATAAGAATATCGTATTAAGGGAGGTACCAACATCCCCAGCAAACACTGACGGCCAGGAATTAAACCAATGGGACTAATGGCAGTTACCCACAATCCTGAGTCCATTTTAGTGAAAAAGGAGAAAAGGGAAATACTGAACACTGTATTTTTTTTAATTAGGGTATTAAGAACTGTTGAATTATACACCTAAAATAGGTGTTTGTTATGTGAATCACATTTCTATAACCCTTTTTTTTTTAAAATCCACAGTAGTCAAGAATGGGTGCATCTTATTATATGTAAGCCACACTGAAATAGGATGAGCACGAAAACAAATGTTGGTAAACAGAAAGCACATAAAGAACTCTATAAAAATAGTAGGTGGCCACTAAGTAACAACTGTATGTCAGTAAGTAAAAAATAGTCACTTAAATGATGAAAGAAACTAAGATGACAGGAGCCTCACAACCCAGTTTTTCTGAGGACCTTATTTATACTTATTAGGATGCCTGTACAGATCTTGCTGTTGATGTGAAATAGACATTGTAGACCCAGTGAAAGTGAGAGAAATGGTCACCCACCATTTTTCATTTCCACATCTCTCTGGCTAGTCTTTAGTGGGATCAGACAGCAAAGCAGAAAGACAATATCATAGAACACTGACCCAGTCCACAGGCTGCTGGGCAACCCTTCTCCTCACCTGCCTCCTGCCCTTGCTCCGACATGGTTCTGGGTTCCTCCCTCAGAGCTCAGCACTGCCCAGGCACTGGGCCCAACAAGCCAGTGCTTTACTGTCACTGCCTCTACCCACTCCTGAGCTCCTGGAGCAAGGTCTCTCCAGGGTGCCAGCATCCCTGGCTCTGTAGAGTCTTCACGGTACAAAAGTGAACCCAATTTAACCACAGCCCAGAGAAGTCCACAGTTGCTTCCTTTTTCGAAGCAGCTTGGAGCAGGACACCCAGAAGAGGCAGTATCCTGGTCTTCAGCTCTCATAACTCAATCATGCTGGCCTGCTAAGCTAGCATCCCTCACCTCCACATTTATGCTGATGCATAAATACCTACCATCACTATGCCTTTCTTTACTTGGGTTCTGTCTGCAATATGGTCTGTGTTTGCCTTAGAAACTGTCCTGCCTTCACTTCTCCCCAAAGAACATCTGGGCATGTCTCAGGAGCATTTGAAAACTGTATTTAAGTATCTCTTTCACAGATGGTTTTCATTCAGAGGGAAACCAAAACTTCCCCAAAGATGAATATTTTCCTAAGTTACCACCCTAACATCAGAACACTTCCTTGAACTGCAGCATTATGTTTATGGAATTTTGTGTAGACACAGGTAAGAACGAGAATAAATGTTCTGAAAAAGTGAGGAGGGGGAGAAAGAAATAGAAGGTATGATAATGAAATTAGAAAATAGAGAAAACCAGGCCAAAGGGTGCAGAAAGCCAGCATTCACTCACGTCTTCAACACACAGTTAGTTGCACACAGTTGTGCTGAAAGTTCATGCTTTTTTATAAGCTGAATTATGAACCATTCACACCTGATGCTGCTTTCGACTCCCTTCCTCTTTTTACCTATTATCCTCAGTTTTTGTTTCTAACAGCTTTACTAACATATAATTCACACACCATGAAATTCAACCTTTTGAATGTACAATCCAGTGGTTTTTAAAATATTCACAGAGTTGTGCAACCTCTAATTCCAGAACACCTTCATCACTTCCAAAAGAAACCCTGTGCTGGCTAGCAGTCACCCCAAGCTCTCTGTCCCCAGCCCTAGCAAGCAGGAATCCACTTTCTGCCTCTACAGGTTTGCTTGTTCTGGACAGTCAGCATGTTACCTGCCCACTCCCAACTCATATGGTGAAGTCCTAACCCTGAGGACCCCAGAACATGACTGTTTATTTGGAGTTAGGGCCTTGAAAGAGGTGATTAAAGTAAACCAGGGTCATTAGGTTGGTCCCTTATCCAAAGGGACTGGTGCCCTCATAAGAACAGGAGATGAGGGCACAGACAGAAGAATGACCTTGTTAGGACCCAGAGAGAAAACAGTGTCTACAAGCCCAGAAGAGAGGCCTCGGGAGGAACCATCCCTGCCGGCCCCGTGACCTGGGACTTCAAGCCTCTATGACTATGGGAGAATGACCAGCTGCAATTTAAGCCACCAGGCCCGTGGTGCTCTGTTACAGCAGCCGAGGACACTAAGGCAAGTGCACAGGTTCCATGCCAGGCTTGTGGGAGGCATGGGAATGCTGAGCAAAAAGATTCCCTTTCCAATTGCTGGAGAGAGAGCAGAAGGAGTGAGGCTCATGGGCTTGCCCCCTAAACCCTGAACTCCAGCCTGGGCAACAAAAATGAAACTCTGTCTCAAAAGAAAAAAAAAGTCACACCATAGGCTAGGCATCATGGTTCACAGCTGTTATCCCAACACTTTGGGAGGCCAAGGTGGGCGGATAACTTGAGCTCAGGAGTTCAAGACCAGCCTGGCCAACATGGTGAAACCCCATCTCTAGTAAAAATACAAAAATTAGCAGGATATGGTGGCGCACGCCTCTGATCCTAGCTACTCAGAAGGCTGAGGCAAGAGAATCACTTGAACCCAGGAGGCAGAGGTTGCAGTGAGCCAAGATCATTGCACTCCAGCCTAGGCAACAAGAGCGAAAGTCTGTCTCAAAAAAAAAAAAGTCACACCACAATGAGTATAACAGAGAAGAAACCCCTATAGTAATTTTCTTCAATCTGTAGGGTAAATGTGTCTTTTGTCCTTCTCCCTCAATAGTCCCTCTCCTACACTTAAACTCTCGTGATGCTGGTCTGTGCTGCAGCTGTAGTAACTCCTCACATCCTGGCCACTCTCAGTCCACTGCACATTTTGGTGCATTTGTGGCTGCTTTCCAGTATCTGCCTCCCCTCAACTCTATCAACTCCAGGAGGGAAGAAAGCAACTGTCCCTAGTGCAAGTACCTTCAAGCATGGGCCTGCGCAGAGGCCACCACCCTGTGCTTATGGAATAAATAACCAATGCCTTCAAATAACCAATTCATTCATTGAGCAAAAAGGGAACCCCACAGAAACAAAACAAAAATCTCCTTCCAGAACATGCCTAGCAATAAATCTATCATCCTTGAAAAGGGATAGGATCCACAGCTATACTATCCTGAACACCCCGATCTCATCTAAACAAGGCACACAATTTTTATATGCACCTATGCACATTAAAAAAGAGAGAGAGAGAGAGAGAGAGAAGACTGCTCTGAGAAATACATAGCTCTCAACATCTGAGTGCTGAAAAACTACACAACCAGTAAGATCTAGACCTGGGGTAGGCAAGCTACGCCCAGAGGCCAGCTCAGAGAGTCAGATTTCACTGAGTCAACTGGGTATTACAAAGAGGTTGTGCACTCTGTATGTCATCTCTCTCTCACTTACATACACACGTGCAAACACTGTATTTCTCACACAGACCCCTTCATCTTGAACTATAGGTGCAGCTACACACCTTAGTCTTATTTTTAACACAGGAAGCAACAGGACTAGAAACAAAAATTACATGGGAATATTCCCATACACAAGAATACTAGATGCCTCAGCATTCAACCCTTTCAGGCAAAAAGAGGAAAACTAAATCTAAGGCATCTAACACTTTCAACCAGGCATTGTTTTAACACAAAATCTCTTTAGGAAGAAACTATTTTCTACATGAACAAATCAAGAAAAATATGCAGGCGAGGCACCGTGGCTCATGCTTGTAATCCCAGCACTTTGGAAGGCCGAGGCAGGTGGATCACCTGAGGTCAGGAGTTCAAGACCAGCCTGGCCAACATGGAGAAACCCATCTCTATTAAAAATACAAAAATTAGCCAGGCATGGTGGCACATGCCTGTAATCCCAGCTACTTAGGAGGCTGAGGCAGGAAAATCCCTTGATTTGCTGTGAGCTGAAATTGCACCACTGCTCTCCAGCCTGGGCAACAGTGTGAGACTCTGTCTCACCAAAAAAAAAAAGGAAAAATATGCAAAGTGTCTGTCCATAAACTCGATTTACATAGACATGTAAACGCTGGCTAAATTGGTATTGTTTTATATACCAAATATGCTTAAATTCCAATGCACATTTACGTAAAAGAAAAATATCTTGGGCTCCCAAAAACTCAAGCTAGGAAGCGCAAACTCAAAATAATGTAACCACTGGTGTCTCACCTATCTGTGACCTGGGAGTTCCCTCCCGCTTCGAGTTTTCCTGCCTTTGCTTCAAAGTAAAGCTTGCGAGAGAAGAAAGAATTGAGGATATGATTCCTTTCCATTTACCTACCCATTTTCTAGACACCCTGTGAAGGGGTCATTTACCCCTGAGTTTTTGGCTAACTCATTGGACAGAGCAGTTAGACCTTGCAGTACTTTTATTATACTTCCATCAGGGGCAGTATTGTTTGAGATGAACACCTTTCCAGACTGTTAGAAATAAAGTTTCAGTGCCACAAAAAAAATAGCCCTCGAACATACATTTTCTTAGCATGGCAATTTTAGTTTTATAGAAGGGTATGACTCGCAGATGGAGCAATGGTGAGAACACACCTGAGCAAGGAGGGGAAGGGGTTCCTATTCCTGTCGCAGGTAGCCCCTACTGCAATGTCATTCCCTGATTGGCTAGCGTTTCAGTTTCTGATGTCCCTGAAAGCTGTGTAATAGATTGTGAAGAAGAGGCAGGAGCAGAGTTCAAGGAAGGAATGGGAAGTTCACATTGTAAAAATGTAGTAGAGTCTGTAATGGCTCAGTCAAGGCAAAATGTTGACTATAATCAGTTACAGGAAGTAATATATCCTGAACCATCAAAATTGGGGGGAAAAGGTCCAGAATTATTTGGGCCATCAGAGTTTAGACGATGATGGCCACCAACTCCTTCTCCCGCGGTTCAGATGCCTGTGACATTACAACCTCAAATGCCAATCCAGACACAGTATCCACAATATCAGCTGGTGGAAAATAAAACCCAACCACCGGCAGCTTATCAACACCAGCCGCCAGCCGAATTTCAGTATCGGCCGTCTCCAGAGGTTCAGTATAGAACTCAGGTGGTGCGCCCAACCCAAATAGCAGGGCACTATATCAACATCCCACGGCAATGGTGTTTGATCCTACAGTACCACCTAGTGGACAAGATAGTGCACTCCATGAAATCATTGATAAAGCCAGAAAACAGGGAGATCTTGAGGCATGGCAGTTCCCAGTAATTTTACAACCCACCCGGCCGGGAAAGGGAGTCAAGCAGGAGCGTCTGTCCGAACTGAGTGTAGATATGAATCTTTCACCATGAAAATGTTAAAAGATATGAAGGAAGGAGTTAAACAATATGGACCCAACTCTCCTTGTATGAGAACATTATTAGATTCCATTGCTCTTGGAAATAGACTTATTCCTTAGGATTGGGAAATTTTGGCTAAATCTTCCCTTTCACCCTCTCAATTCCTACAGTTTAAAACCTGGTAGATTGATGGAGTACAAGAATATGTACAGAAAAATCAGGCTACTTATCCTGTTGTCCATATAGATGCAGATCAATTGCTAGGAACAGGTCCAAATTGGAGCACTATTAACCAACAATCAATAATGCAAAATGAGGCTATTGAACAACTAAGGGCTATTTGCCTCAGGGCCTGGGAAAAGATTCAGGACCCAGGATCTGCCTGCCCTTCTTTTAGTTCAATCAGACAAGGCTCTAAAGAGCCATATCCAGACTTTGTGGCAAGGTTGCATGCTGCAGCTCAAAAATCCATTGCAGATAATAATGCCTGAAAAGTTATTGTAGAAATAATGGCTTACCAAAATGCACATCCAGAATGTCAATCAGCCATAAAGCCATTAAGAGGAAAGGTTTCAGCAGGAGTTGATGTAATTACAGAATATGTGAAGGCTTGTGATGGGATTGGAGGAGCTATGCATAAGGCAATGCTATTGGCTCAAGCAATTAGGGGGTTGCTTTAGGAGGACAAGTTAAAACATTTGGGGGAAAATGTTATAATTGTGGTCAAATCAGTCATCTAAAAAAGAATTGCCCAGGCTTAAATAAACAGAGCAAAAGTAAACAGCCACCTGGCCTGTGTCCAAAATGTGGAAAAGAAAAACACTGGGCTAAAAAATGTCCTTCTAAATTTGATAAAAATGGGCAACCATTGTCAGGAAATGGCAAACAGGGCCAGCCCCAGGCCCCGCAACAAAGTGGGGCATTCCTGATTCAGCCATTTGTTCCTCAGGGTTTTCAGGGACAACAACCCCCACAGTAAATACCACCATTTCAGGAAATCAGCTAATTACAACAATACAACAGTTATCCCCCGCCACAGCAGGCAGCACGGCAGTAGATTTATGTTCTTTATGATTATGTAAAGATTTACGATTTCTTTACTCCCTGGAGAGCCCCTGCAAAAGATTCCTACAAGGGTACATGGCCCGCTGCCAGAAGGGAGAGTAGGCCTTATTTTAGGAAAATCAAGTCTAAATTTGAAGGGAGTCCAAATTCATACTGGGGTAACTGACTCTGATTATAAAGGGGAAATTCAGTTAGTGATTAGCTCTACTGTTCCCTGGAGTGCCAATCCAGGTGATAGAATTGCTCAGTTACTGTTCTTGCCTTATATCAAAATTGGGGATAGCAAAACAGAAAAAACAGGAGGGTTTGGAAGTACCAACCCTGCTGGAAATGCTGTTTATTGGGCTAGTCAGCTCTCAGAGAATAGACCTGTGTGTACAGTTACTATTCAGGGAAAGCAGTTTGAAGGAATCATGGATATGGGGGCTGATGTTTCTATCCTTGCCTTAAATCAATGGCCAAAAAATTGACCTAAACAAGTCCGTTACAGGACTTGTTGGTGTGGGCACCGCCTCAGAAGTGTATCAAAGTCCATGATTTTACATTGTTTAGGAACTGAGCATCAAGAGAGTACAGTTCAGCCTATGATTACTTCTATTCCAATTAATTTATGGGGCCGAGACTTGTTAGAACAGTGGCATGCAGAGATCACTATTCCAGTCTTCCTATACAGCCCCACTCCAACTTTAGATTTTTGCTACTGCACACTCTCCAACAGGCATTATTGTTGAAAATACAGATATTGTGGAGTGGCCATTCCTTCCCCACAGTAAAGACTTTTACATTGTACTTAGATCAAATGGCTACATTAATTGGTCAGGCAAGACTACGAATAGTAAAATTGTGTGGAAGTGACCCAGATAAAATCATTGTCCCTTTAAACAAGGAACAGGTTAGACAAGCCTTTATCAATTCAGTCTGCATGGCAGACTGGTCTTGCTGATTTTGTGGGAATTATTGATAATCATTACCCAAAAACAAAAATCTTCCAGTTTTTAAAATTGACTACTTGGATTTTACCTAAAATTACCAGAAAAAAACCTTTCAAAAATGTTCTGACAGTGTTTACTGATGGTTCCAGCAATGGAAAAGCAGCTTACATCAGGCCAAAAGAACGAGTCATTGAAGCTCAATATCACTCAGCTCAAAGAGCAGAATTGGCTGCTGTCATTTCAGTGTTAAACAAGATTTAATCAGCCTATTAACATTGTTTCAGATACTGCATATGTAGTACAGGCTACAAAGGATGTTGAGACAGCCCTAATCAAATATAGTATGGGTGATCAGTTAAATCAGCTGTTTAAATTGTTACAATAAACTATAAGAAAAAGAAATTTCCCACTTTATATTACTCATATTCGAGCACATACTAATTTACCACGGCCTTTAACTAAGGCAAATGAACAAGCTGACTTCCTAGTATCATCTGATTTCATGGAAGCACAAGAACTTCACGCCCTGACTCATGTAAATGCAACAGGATTAAAAAATAAATATTATATCACATGGAAACAAGCAAAAAATATTGTACTACATTGTGCTCAGTGTCAAGTCTTACACCTGCCCACTCAGGAGGCAGGAGTTAATCCCAGAGGTTTATGTCCTAATGCATTATGGCAAATGGATGTCACACATGTACCTTCATTTGGAAAAATGTCATTTGTCCATGAGACAGTTGATACCTATTCACATTTCATGTGGACAACCTGCCAGACAGGAGAAAGTACTTCCCATGTTAAAAGACATTTATTATCTTGTTTTGCTGTCATGGGAGTTCCAGAAAAAATTAAAACGGATAATGGGCCAGGATACTGTAGCAAAGCATTTCAAAAATTCCTAAATCAGTGGAAAATTACACATACAACAGGAATCCCCTATAATTCCCCAAGGACAGGCCATAACTGAAAGAACTAATAGAACACTCAAAGCTCAATTGGTTAAACAAAAAATGGAAAAAGACAGTAAGGAGTATAACACTCCCCAGATGCAACTTAATCTAGCACTCTATAGTTTAAATTCTTTAAACATATATAGAAATCAGACCACTACTTCTGCAGAACAACATTTTACTGGTAAAAAGAACAGCCCACATGGGGGAAAACTGATTTGGTGGAAAGACAACAAAAATAAAACATGGGAAATAGGTAAGGTGATAACATGGGGGAGAGGTTTTTCTTGTGTTTCACCAGAAGAAAATCAGCTTCCTGTTTGGATACCCACTAGACATTTGAAGTTCTACAATGAACCCATCAGAGATGCAAATGAAGGTGCCTCCATAGAGACAGAAAACCTGCAATCGAGCATCATCACCTCGCCAGGTGAAGAAAATGGTGATATCAAAAGAACAGATGAAGTTGCCATCCACCAAGAAAGCGGAGCCGCCGACCTGGGCCCAGCTAAAGAAGCTGACACAGTTAGCTGAAAAAAGCCTGAAAAACATGAGGGTAACATAAACTCCAGAGAATATGCTGCTTGCAGCTTTAATGATTGTATCAATGGTGCTAAGTCTCCCTATATCTGCAGGAGCCGCTACAGCTAACTATACTTACTGGGCCTATGTGCCTTTCCCACCCTTAATTCGGGCACTCACTTGGAGAGATAATCCTATTGAAGTACATGTTAACAATAGTACATGGGTACCAGACCCCACAGATGACCGTGGCCCTGCCCAACCTGAAGAAGAAGGAATGATGATAAACATTTCCATTGGGTATCATTATCCTCCTATTTGTCTGGGAAAAGCACCAGGATGCTTAATGCCTACAAACCAAAACTGGTTGGTAGAAGTACCTACTGTCAGTGCCACCAGTAAATTCACTTATCACATGGTAAGTGAAATGTCACTTGGGTCACAAATGAATAATTTACAGGACTCTTCCTATCAAAGATCATTAAGATTTAGGCCTAAGGGAAAATCTTGCCCCAAGGAAATTCCAAAAGAATCAAAAGACCCAGAAGTCTTAGTTTGGGAAGAATGTGTGGCTGATACTGCAGTGGTACTACAAAACAATAAATTTGGAACTATTATAGACTAGGCCCCTCGAGGCCAATTATATTATGACCGTATGGGCCAGACCCACTCATGTTCACAGGCTCCATCTGTCTGGCCCGCTAATCCAGTCTATGATAGTGATTTAACTAAAAGGCTAGACCAGGTTTATAGAAGGCTAAAATCACCCTATCCATGGAAATGGGGTGAAAAGAGGATTTCTTCACCCCGACCAAAGTTAGTCCTGTTGTTGGTCCTGAACACCCAGAATTATGGAAGCTCACTGTGGCCTCGTACCACATTAGAATTTGGTCTGGAAATCAAGTTATGGGAACAAGAAATCATAAGCCATATTATACTATTAACCTAAATTACAATCTGACAATTCCTTTGCAAAGTTAGGTAAAACCCCCTTATACGCTAGTTGTAGGAAATATAGTTATTAAACCAGATTCCCAAACTATAACCTGTGAAAACTGTAGATTGTTTACTTGCATTGATTCAACTTTCGACTGGCAGCATCATATTCTGTTAGTCAGGGCAAGAGAGGGTATGGGGATCCCTGTGTCCATGGACTGACCGTGGGAGGCTTCTCCATCTGGACATATCTTAACAGAAGTATTTAAAAGAGTTCTAACTAGATCTGAAACATTCATTTTTACCTTGATTACAGTGATTATGGGTTTTATTGCAGTCACAGCTACTGCTGCGGCTGCTGGAATTGCTTTACACTCCTCTGTTCAAACTGCAGAATATGTGAATAATTGGCAAAAGAATTCCTCGAAATTGTGGAATTCTCAGACTCAAACAGATCAAAAATTGACAAATCAAAGTAATGATCTTAGACAAACTGTCATTTGGATGGGAGATAGGCTCATAAGTTTGGAATATCTTTTTCAGTTACAGTGTGACTGGAATATGTCAGATTTTTGTATTACACTTCAAGCCTATAATGAATCTAAACATCACTGGGACATGGTTAGATGCCATCTACAAGGAAGAGAAGATAATCTTACTTTAGATATTTCAAAATTGAAAAAACAAATTTTTGAAACATCAAAAGCCCAGTTAAATCTGGTGCCAGAAACTGAGGCAACGGTGAAAGCTGTTGATAGCCTCACAAATCTTAACCCTGTCACTTGGGTTAAAACCACTGGAAATTCCACTGTTGCAAATTTTGTATTAATTCTTGTACGTCTGTCCTCTCTGTTGTTAGTCTACAGGTGTATCCAGCAGCTCCGGAGAGACAGCAACCAGCGAGAACGGGCCATGATGACTATGGCAGTTTTGTCAAAAAGAAAAGGGACATATGTAGGGAAAAGAAAGAGAGATCAGACTGTTACTGTGTCTATGTAGAAAAGAAAGACATAAGAGACTCCATTTTGAAAAAGACCTGTACTTTGAACAATTGCTTTGCTGAGATGTTGTTAATTTGTAGCTTTGCCCCAGCCACTTTGACCCAACCTGGAGCTCACAAAAACATGTGTTGTATGGAATCAAGGTTAAAGGGATCTAGGGCTGTGCAGGATGTGCCTTGTTAACAAAATGTTTACAAGCAGTATACTTGGTAAAAGTCATTGCCATTCTCTAGTCTCAATAAACCAGGGGCATAATGCACTGCAGAAAGCCGCAGGGACCTCTGCCCTTGAAAGCTGGGTATTGTCCAAGGTTTCTCCCCATGTGATAGTCTGAAATATGGCCTCATGGGATGAGAAAGACCTGACCGTCCCCCAGCCCAACACCCATAAAGGGTCTGTGCTGAGGCGGGTTAGTAAAAGAGGAAAGCCTCTCGCAGTTGAGATAGAGGAAAGCCACTGTCTGCTGCCTGCCCCTGGGAACTGAACATCTCAGTATAAAACCTGATTGTACGTTTGTTCAATTCTGAGATGAGAGAAAAACCGCCCTATGGTAGGAGGTGAGACATGTTTGCAGCAATGCTGCCTTGTTATTCTTTACTCTGCTGAGATGTTTGGGTGGAGAGAAACATAAATCTGGCTTACGTACACGTCCAGTCATAGTACCTTCCCTTGAACTTAATTATGACGTAGATTCTATTGCTCACATGTTTGTTGCTGACCTTCTCCTTATGATCACCCTGCCCTCCTACGACATTCCTTTTTACTGAAATAATGAAAATAATAATCAATAAAAACTGAGGGAACTCAGAGACCAGTGCTGGTGCAGGTCCTTTGTATGCTGAGTGCCGGTACCCTGGGCCCACTGTTGTTTCTCTACTTTGTCTCTGTGTCTTATTTCTTTTCTCAGTCTCTTATCCCATCCGACTAGAAACACCCACAGATGTGGAGAGGCAGGCCACTCCTTCAGTCTCCCTCTTGAATTTTTACAGTTCTTTCTTCAAACTTCCTTAACATGTCTTGGTTCAGTTCTTCTACTTGATTCCTTAAAGGAAGAAGCTTCTCTGAATAAGGTGGAGAAGAGTTGAGGAAGGTTTTAGTAAGTGCTGTCTCTATGGGTCTGTGCACCTGCCCATGATTCATGGTATGGCACAACACCCTACAAGAATAAATACAGCTACTATGGCTGCAAGAGAAGTAAGAATTGAGGTTGTGATTATTTTCCATTTACCAAAACATTTTTCTAGCCACCCTGTGAAGGGGTCATTTGCCCCCAAGTTTTTGGCTAACTCATTGGACAGAGCACTTAGACTTTGCAATGCCTTTGTTATACTTCCATCAGGAGTGGTGTTGTTTGTGATGAACGTAGTACATTGAGTTTTAATCATGAAGCAAACTCCTCCGCTTTCTGCTAATATCATGTCTGAGGCTATCCTATTTTCCCAAGCCATCTGGCAAGCAGCCCCTAATTGCTCAGCTATTCCTTTAACAGCATCTCTAGTGTAGGTAATAAAGTGCTGTTTGTTGTATAAATATAATTTATCTAATCTACATGCTTATTAATTGTCACCCACCAAAATATTGACAAAAATCCTGCAGCTATTTGATTGTGGGCTTTAAATTTATCTGGTACTCCTTGTGGGACTCCAATTGCATCTAGATAGATGTGTAGGTTAAAAGACCCATAAGGGGCTTCTCTTGCTTTATGATATTGCATTTTTCTTTCCTCTGGCTGATAAAATGCCAGTGTGAAAGGGATAGCCAACTGGGTTAGAGCACAAGTGCTGCTCCAGTTACTCAGCAGAGTGTCCAGTAAAGCTCCATCACAATGCCACCACACATCTGCTAGGGGAAGAACAAGGGCTGACTGATTGATAAGCTCTTGAAAATTCTTACACTCACGGCATCCCCTCAGGTCTCCAAGGATTGCTAAGTTTCCTCCTTGTCGTGAGAGACACGAAGTAACTTAGTGTTGGGAGACAGAAGCTGGATGGCCCTCAGGGGCTGGACTGCAGGGTGTCAACCTTTGGGATATAGCAGAGAGAGAGCTTGGCACAACTTGTTACCCCAGACTATGGAATCCTGGAAAAGAACTACCATACAGCCCATGCCTGGTCAACTGGAGGACCATCCTAGTCGAAAGGTGACAATCTGGGCCTCTGGCCTGCCATGCGCACAAGCGTAACAATTGCTTTTGTTTAATGTGTGGACAGAATATTTGATCCATTCCAATCAGGCATTTGCATCTTGATATCCTGGCTCTATTGCCAGTTTGTTATAAATCATTTACCTGCTACAACATCTACTCTGGTCCTATCATTGGGTATGGAAAGGATGACAGTTTGATCAGAAGAAGTTCTAAACAGAGAAGAGGGGCTAGGGGGTGAAGAGGGTGAGGGATTAATACAATGCATTTCAAATGAGTCTATGAGGTCTGTGCCAGCCAAGTTAGCTCCCATGTCATAGAAGCAACATAAAGTGGCGTCAGGATCAGGAGAGGTAAGAATAGAAAGCTGCATCAGATTGCATTGATATTATTGAAAATTAGAGGGAACACTTTCTTTGGTGAAATAGAGTAATGGTTCTAGAGAGGTGCAGCCCTTTGAGGAAGTCCACCCTTGTTCCTCAGTGGTCCATAGGAGGGACAGTGCTATGGAGGTCCAGAGGACCTCATTAGTGCTATGGACCACTTGTTCCTCAGTGGTCCATAGGAGGGAGCTAGAAACTAGTCCACATTTTGTTCCTAAAATGTGAGAAACATAAGGGAGTTGGTCTCTATGAAGCAAGAGTTGCAGAGGTCAGATGTGCCTTTGGAGAGACAGATATTTTTCTGAGGAGGCCAGTTACCTTTGGTTTTGGAGATCCCTGCAAGGTATGGTGAGCAGGCATCAAATGTGATTGTCTGAGGAAAAGGTGACCTGGTTTCATTAATAACAAGGTGCTCAGCAGTAGAGCAAGGAAAGGAGGAGTTATAAAATAAATGGAGGGTTAAACTTTGCTTAGCTTTAGTTTGGTAGAGTTTTGTCCTGGGACTATGGCCCATGACTCCAGAGGGGACAGTGCTCTTTTGACTCAGGTGTGATGGGTCCAGCCTCTTTCTGCTGTCCAAACTGCAGTTTCAGTAGTTAAGAGCACTAAGTAATGTCCTTCCCAGGCTGGTTTGAGCTTTTTGCCTTCCAGCTTTTGATGAGGACATGATCCCCAGGTTGATATTGTTGCCTAGTGAACTCCAGGGGTGGCAACTGTGCTAAGAGACCTTTAGTTTTATGGAAGAGAAAATAGATGACAGACCAAGTGTATAATTTTTAAGAAACTGATCTTTTGTTTCAAAATTTCTAGAAAGACTCAAAGAGCAAATGAGGAAATATGTAGTTCTAGAATTAGAAAACCCCTCTCAAATGAGGGATGTTAAAGCTTCATTTTGTAACTAATAGTTGGCCACATATTAACAAGAAATTACAAAGGTAGAGAACTGGAAAGACATACCTATGAAAGAGCTTCTAAGAGAAGCCCAAAAAGTATATTTAAAAGAGATAGAGGAAAATAAAAGCAGAAGGCAAGAATTCTGCTGTCCACCACATAAATAAATGACACAGGGATAGACACCAGATACTTTGTGGAGACAGAATGACTTAACCTTATTGTTTTCCCTTCCAAGTATAGTAAGAGCAAATGGATAGCAGAACAACTGTGTCTAAATTCTTTACCTGCTCTTAGCAAAAGCAAAATCCCACAGAATGATTGCCTGCCATCTTTATCTATTTTTCAGGGAAAACAGGCCACTTCTGGAGACCACAGAGCAGCATTTATCTGTCAAATACTTGGAAACTATTTGTTTAACAGTGACAGTCAGTGACCAGTAAAAGAAAATCCTAAACAAGGTCATGATGTAATTTAAGACCAATTTCCCTACTGTCCGAATAATCACAGTCTTATTACTTTCAATTTAACCTGAGTCACTATTAAGTTTACCAAAGTGCCACAGAGTTAATTTTTAAAGTTTGTAAAGGTTTGAATGTTTATATAAGTGCATCATGAAATTTTGTGTAAATCCAGATGAACTGTGGTTATAGTACTATAAATTAGAGATAGTCCATAAAGTTGGGTTGAAGGAGATTGAAAACATTTCCTTTGATGAAAATAAAATAATTAAATGACTTGGGCTTGCTTATGATCCAAGAGGGAGAATAAAGAGTCCTCTGTCCCTCCAAAAAGAAACTAGCAAAAAAAGACATAAAAAGCTCTTTGGTCTCTCTTCATGTGCTGTACATTTTTTTCCATTTTAATGTTTTGTGTAGATAATTCAAAGTTTGCACTATTTCTTTCTTGGAATAAGTAAGAATTTATTCAATATGGTATATTTCTGAGATTTCAACTTAAAACAATCCAACTCAGTAGTATTTCTTTCTAATATACATCCTAACTAACCAACTGATAAAAAGGCAAGACTTAGTTACTGTAGTATTGGTTCTCATCTGTAGAGAACTGACATTAGAGCAAATTTTATGTCTCCCCTTTGAAAATAAACTTTGTTAACTGAAGGCATAATAAATTTCCCACAGAGGCGGTTCCAAGATGGCTGAATAGGACCAACTCCAGTCTACAGCTCCCAGCATGAGCAACGCAGAAGACAGGTGATTTCTGCATTTCCAACTGAGGTACCGGGTTCATCTCACTGGGGCTTGTCGGACAGTGGGCGCAGCGCACCAAGCATGAGCCAAAGCAGCGTGAAGCATTACCTCACCCAGGAAGCACAAGGGGTCAGGGAACTCCCTTTCATAGCCAAGCAGAGCTGTGACACACAGCACCTGGAGAATTGGGTCACTCCCACCCTAATACTGTGCTTTTCCAATGGTCTTAGCAAACAGCACAACAGAAGATTATATCCTGTGCCTTGCTCAGAGGGTCCCACGCCCATGGAGCTTTGCTCATTGCTAGCACAGCAGTCTGAGATCAAACTGCAAGGTGGCTGCAAGGCTGGGGGAGGGGCGCCCACCATTGCTGAGGCTTGAGTAGGTAAAACAAGCAGCCTAGGAAGCTCGAACTGGGTGGAGCCCACCACAGCTCAAGGAGGCCAGCCTGCCTCTGTAGACTCCACCTCTGGGGCAGGGCATAAACGAACAAAAGGCAGCAGAAACCTCTGCAGACTTAAATGTCCCTGTCTGACAGCTTTGAAGAGAGCAGTGGTTCTCCCAGCATGCAGCTGGAGATCTGAGAACGGACAGACTGCCCCCTCAAGTGGGTCCCTGACCCCCGAGTAGCCTGAGAGGCACCCCCCAGTAGGGGCGGACTGACACCCCACATGGCCGGGTACCCCTCTGAGAGGAAACCACCAGAGGAACGATCACACAGCAACGTTTGCTGTTCAGCATTATTCGCTGTTCTGCAGCCTCCACTACTGATACCCAGGCAAACGGGGTCTGGAATGGACCTCCAGCAAACTCCAACAGACCTGCAGCTGACGGTCCTGACTGTTAGAAGGAAAACTAACAAACAGAAAGGACAGCCACACCAAAACCCCATCTGTACATCACCATCATCAAGGACCAAAGGTAGACAAAACCGCAAAGATGGGGAGAAAACAGAACACAAAAACTGGAAACTCTAAAAATCAGAGCGCCTCTCCTCCTCCAAAGGAACGCAGCTCCTCACCAGCAACAGAAAAAAGCTGGACAGAGAATGACTTTCACGAGCTGAGAGAAGAAGGCTTCAGATGATCAAACTTCTCCGAGCTAAAGGAGGAAGTTCGAAGCCATCACAAAGAAGTTAAAAACCTTGAAAAAAGATTAGATGAATGGCTAACTAGAATAACCAATGCAAAGAAGTCCTTAAAGGACCTGATGGAGCTGAAAACCATGGCAAGAGAACTACGTGACGAATGCACAAGCTTCAGTAGCCGATTCGATCAACTGGAAGAAAGGGTATCAGTGACTGAAGATCAAATGAATGAAATGAAGTGAGAACAGAAGTTTAGAGAAAAAAGAATAAAAAGAAATAAACAAAGCCTCCAAGAAATATGGGACTATGTGAAAAGACCAAATCTACGTCTGATTGGTGTACCAGCAAGTGACGGGGAGAATGGAACCAAGTTGGAAAACACTCTGCAGAGTATTATCCAGGAGAACTTCCCCAACCTAGCAAGACAGGCCAACATTCAAATTCAGGAAATAACACGGAATGCCACAAAGATACTCCTCAAGAAAAGCAATGCCAAGACACATAATTGTCAGATTCACCAAAGTTGAAATGAAGGAAAAAATGTTAAGGGTAGCCAGAGAAAAAGGTCGGGTTACCCACAAAGGGAAGCCCATCAGACTAACATCAGATCTCTTGGCAGAAACTCTACAGGCCAGAAGAGAGTGGGGTCCAATATTCAACATTCTTAAAGAAAAGAATTTTCAACACAGATTTTCATATCCAGCCAAACTAAGCTTCAGAAGTCAAGGAGAAATAAAATACTTTACAGACAAGCAAATACTGAGAGATTTTGCCACAACCAGGCCTGCCCTAAAAGAGCTCCAGAAGGAAGCACTAAACATGGAAAGGAACAACTGGTACCAGCCGCTGTAAAAACATGCCAAACTGTAAAGACCATCGATGCCAGGAAGAAACTGCATCAACTAACGAGCAAAATAAACAGCTAACATCATAGTGAAAGGATCAAATTCACATACAACAATATTAACCTTAAATGTAAATGGGCTAAATGCTCCAACTAAAAGACACAGACTGGCAAATTGGATAAAGAGTCAAGACCCATCTGTGTGCTGTATTCAGGACACCCATCTCATGTGCAGAGACACACATAGCCTCAAAATAAAAGGATGGAGGAAGATCTACCAAGCAAATGGAAAACAAAAAAAAGAAGGGATTGCAATCCTAGTCTCTGATAAAACAGACTTTAAACCAACAAAGATCAAAAGAGACAAAGAAGGCCATGACATAATGGTAAAGGGACCAATTCAACAAGAAGAGTTAACTATCCTAAATATATATGCACCCAATACAGGAGCACCCAGATTCATAAAGCAAGTCCTTAGAGAACTACAAAGAGACTTAGACTCCCATACAATAATAATGGGAGACTTTAACACCCCACTGTCAACATTAGACAGATCTATGAGACAGAAAGTCAACAAGGATACCCAGGAATTGAACTCAGCTCTGCACCAAGCCGACCTAATAGACATCTACAGAACTCTCCACCTCAAATCAACAGAATATACATTTTTTTCAGCACCACACCACACCTATTCCAAAACTGACCACATAGCTGGGAGTAAAGCACTCCTCGGCAAATGTAAAAAAAGCAGAAATTATAACAAACTGTCTCTCAGACCACAGTGCTATCAAACTGGAACTCAAGATTAAGAAACTCACTCAAAACCGCTCACCTACATGGAAACAGAACAACCTGCTCCTGAATGACTACTGAGTACATAACGAAATGAAGGCAGAAATAAAGATGTTCTTTGAAACCAAGGAGAACAAAGACACAACATACCAGAATCTCTGGGACACATTCAAAGCAGTGTGTACAGGGAAATTCATAGCACTAAATGCCCACAAGAGAAAGCAGCAAAGATCTAAAATTGACACACTAACATCACAATTAAAAGAACTAGAGAAGCAAGAGCAAACACATTCAAAAGCTAGCAGAAGGCAAGAAATAACTAAGATCAGAGCAGAACTGAAGGAGATACAGACACAAAAAACCCTTCAAAAAAATCAATGAATCCAGGAGCTAGTTTTTTGAAAAGATCAGCAAAACTGATAGACCGCTAGCAAGACTAATAAAGAGAGAAGAATCAAATAGACGCAATAAAAAATGATAAAGGAGATATCACCACCGATCCCACAGAAATACAAACTATCATCAGAGAATACTATAAACACCTCTACACAAATAAACTAGAAAATCTAGAAGAAATGGATAAATTCCTCGACACATACACCCTCCCAAGACTAAACCAGGAAGAAATTGAATCTCTGAATAGACCAATAACAGGATCTGAAATTGAGGCAACAGTTAATAGCTTACCAACCAAAAAAAGTCCAGGAGCAGATGGATTCACAGCTGAATTCTACCAGAGGTACAAGGAGGAGCTGGTACCATTCCTTCTGAAACTATTCCAATCAACAGAAAAAGAGGGAATCCTCCCTAACTCATTTTAGGAGGCCAGCATCATCGTGATACCAAAGCCTGGCAGAGACACAACAAAAAAAGAGGATTTTAGACCAATATCCCTGAAGAACATTGATACAAAAATCCTCAACAAAATACTGGGAAACCAAATCCAGCAGCACATCAAAAAGCTTATCCACCATGATCAAGTGGGCTTCATCCCTGGGATGCAAGGCTGGTTCAACATATGCAAATCAATAAACATAACCCAGCATATAAACAGAACCAAAGACAAAAAACACATGATTATCTCAATAGATGCAGAAAAGGCCTTCAATAAAATTCAACAGCCCGTGATGCTAAAAACTCTCAATAAATTAAGTATTGATGGGACATATCTAAAAATAACAGCTATTTATGACAAACCCACAGCCAATATCATACTGAGTTGTGCACATGTACTCTAGAACTTAAAATATATACATAATAAAAAAATTAAAAAATAAATTTCCCACAGATTTATCAAGAAACATTTTATTAGAGATCTTATGGTAGTATCTCAGTTCCTACCACAGCTTTTTAAAGGATGAGACTTGCATTTCACTAAGTGACATATATAATATTTTTCTACAGTTTTGAAACTGAATTAAAGGAAGGTGGTGTATTACAATGTGTAGTGAGGTATAAAGGGCTAGTTCATTCTGTCCCAATTAGAACTTAGAATAAAATAACACTTTTTTCATGAGACTTACCTCATTTTTGTTAGGCTATGGATGTTTTGTCCAGTTCATCTGTCCCTTGGATTAAGTAGATATTGCTCAAGGTGCAGGCAAAAGTGCTTCAAGGACAGAGATTATATAGCAAGTTGATTTTCTAGGAATTCTTTGAATTCATTTGTGTAATAGCTAGAACACACTCCTCTTCCTTCCTTTAACAGATGACCTTTTAGGACTTCTATCTTCAAGAAGAACGTTTGTTTGGAATTGGTGGAGCGTACTCACAGTTCGTTTATAGTATGGGAAAATTAATAAGAAAATCCCCACTTGCATTCAAATAATAGTGTTGATGTTCAGTGCACTGACTCATTCAACATGTCTGAACTAGAAGTAAATTTAATTCTGAAAAGGACTATCGGTTAGGAAATAAGTATTTGTGTACACATATACTGTGGTAACTTTGGATTCATTTTAAGTCTGATAAAGTTAAGATAAACTTTGTATTAAAAATAAAATTATGCTAAGTGAATAAAAACTGTCTTAGATATTTTAAGCTGGGCATCTTTGTTAGCATAGTATCTGGAACATAACTACTTATTTCTTTGGAAAATAATTTACTTATTCCAAAAGGCTTAGAAGGAATTCTCAAAATTGTTCTAACTGGCCATTAAAAGTAAGGAATTTGCATGGTACAGCTGAAGATCTGGGTTGACTCATTAAAACTTAATTGTATTTTTTAACATTAAAATATTTTTTGGCTCTCCCTCATTTTTTAAACTAAGATAATTAGTATTTTAACCTAGAACATATAATGGCAAATTAAATTTTAATTTGACACTCATCCCAAAATAAGAAAAACTCCTTGGGCTTTAAATTCAGTATGTAGTACTTTTTTTATTGTCGAATTTCTTTGTTACATCTTTGTGGCCAAGAAAACCTGCGGAAATCTGTATTCATTTTTGTGGTGAGGGATGGAGGAGAAAAACAGGAGACTTGCTCTAATTATGCATATACATTTTGATGGTGTAAAGGCAGTTGTAGACTGTATGTATAAATAACAAGTTAACACTTAGTATTCTGAATTGTTCTAAGAACAGTGGCCTGAAGCCATGACTTGCTTTGTGGAGCTGCTGGCTCTTTAACAGTAGCTGATCTATTGGATTTAAACTGAGACTGAAATTGAGATTTGTAGTTAGGTTATCTAGATTAGGATTTTAGCAATGGAACCAATGATATCTGTTCCTGCAGTGGATCCATTTAATTTCTTATTTGAAGTACTCTCACTTAGCAAGGATTTTCTATTCTGAATCTTTGTGTTAGGAATTTAAAGACTATTGTCAAAAGCTATTAGTGATAAACACAAGTACATGCAAAACAATTTACAGATGGGTAAAAATTTCAAATTGTGGGTTTTTGTTTTTGCTTTTTAGTTTCAAAGATTAGTTATGTAGTAGCAATATCATAACCAAAGCAAGTAGGAAGTTGGATGGTTTGCAGAATCTTCAAGTAGTCTTAAATACTATAATGTATCAGATTGTTAACCAGGATTTTTTTTCCTGTATTACTGCTAAATGTATTACTATATTAATGCACTTTTGCATATATAAATTTCTTCTGTACATTCTGTACTTATTAAAGCCTGTTTTCCCTAAAGCTGTGAGGGAATAACAATACCTGTTATCATAAGTCATTTCTATTTTGAGTTCCTTCTTGTATGTGAAAGTAGTTCAATAGTGAAATCTAAATGAGTGTGTATGGTTGTAATTAAAACTTGCAGTGTGGCAGAGCTGTCTTTTGAAACTGAATACCAAAATGAAAAGTGTTTTGCTTAAGAACTTTTTTTTTTTTTTTTTTTGACAGAGTCAAGCACTTTCCCCCAGGCTGGAGAGCAGTGGCGCGATTTCGGCTCACTACAAGCTCCGCCTCCCGGGTTCAAGCGATTCTCTGGCCTCAGCCTCCGGAGTAGCTGGGACTAGGTGCCTACTACCACGCCCAGCTAATTTTTTTTTTTTTTTTTTTTTTCAGTAGAGATGAGGTTTTACCGTGTTAGCCAAGCTGGTCTCAATCTCCTGACCTCGTGATCCACCGACCTTGGCCTCCCAAAGTGCTGGGATTAGACACGTGAGCCACCGCACCCAGCCAAGAACTCTTATAATTATATCATATTGTTTCTTTTGATGTACGCTGAGTTGTTACAAACCCCACTCACTGCTGCTTACTACTTTATTCTTCTGAGTCAGCTCCTTTCGTGCTCTATCCCAGAATATTTACCAACAGAGAAGAACTGCTCTCTTTTCTTTTGCTCACAGTTTGGTTATGGCTTTATAAACTTTTACTTGCTGGAAGCCCCAGATACCCCAAATGTCATTGGCAAAATATTTTTTTCTGGAGAGATCAGATTTCTAGAGAGATTAGCATTCATAGTAAGTGAAAATTATGTCTAATTTTTTAAATCCATACTATTACTGGGAAGTAGGTCTAATTTTTGTTGACAAAAATAGAGCTATTCCCCTTATATACTGATTTAGAATCTTAAGTTAGAATTCTATAAAATAAATGTCTGAGCAGTTTTATGCCTAGAAGAGTAATTCAGCTTTTCAGCAGCAACTTTATCTTTTACCACTAGTGGGAGATGGATGGTTGCTTTCTCCTTTAAAGAATAGCTGCTTTGCTTTGTTTTTAATTTCTAAAGCTGGAATAGACCTTATTCTCAAAATTCCTTGAGTGTTATTAAATACTTTCATTTATTAATCAAAGGTAAGTTAACTAAGCTTGTTTAATGGTGCCAATCTTTTGCTTTTCTGTAATCTTCAATTTTTAATAAATGTTAGTTGAAAAAATAAATAAAGCAAACCAGTCCCATCATTTGTCTTTAGCAAAAATGGGAAACTGGAGAGAGAAAAATTATGTTTCAACACTACAGTAGACCTGTTAATTCTAGTCTTGCCTAACTTTTTCAATTTTTATTATTATCTACAGTTTGGACCAAATTCTAATTTTTCTTAGCTGCAAGTGTTCAAAATAATACTTTCAATTTTCTTCCTTCTTTTTTCCTTTCTTTGAAATTTGGAGTCACTGAAAACTAAGCTGTGTTTTAAAAAACCCTGTGAACTGAGGCCAGACAACTTAAACTTCAAAAGAAAATAAAAGCAACCTATTTACATAAATAAATCACTTTCATACCTGCCTACTAAAGCATGGACTGTAGAGTAATATGGCCTAGAGTGATTTTTCAGGATTGTTGTTTTTTCTCCCTTCCTCTGGCTATGTTCTCTTCACAGGACATGAAACTTCACAACCTGCTAAAAATGAGCTTTCCGGCCTACCCATCTAGGCATAATTCCTCTTAGCCACGAGAGATCAGATGAAACCTGAGCCCAGAGACTCATTTTCTTATAAAATGCTTTGTCCAAAAGATTTTTTAAAAGGGGGAAAATGTGACTGGAAGATATCTTGGGCCCCAAAAATCATTAAGGAAAACTCAAGCTGGGAACTGCTTAGGGCAAACCTGCCCCATTCTATTCCAAGTCACTCCTCAGCTCACTGAGATAGATGTATATCTCATTCACCTCCCTTGGAAAGGCTAATCAGAAATTCAAACTAATATAACCATTTGTATCTCACCTGTGACCTGGAAGCTCTGTCCCTCCTCCCAGTCTTCCTGCCTTTGCTTCAAGTTATCCCTGCCTTTCTAGACTGAACCAATGTACTTCTTAAATATATTGATTGATGTCTTAAGTCTCTTTGTAAATGTATAAAACCAAGCTGTGGCCAGGAGCAGTGGCTCATGCCTGTAATCCCAGCACTTTGGGAGGCTGAGGCAAGTGGATCATTTGAGGTCAGGAGTTCAAAACCAGCCTGGCCAACATAGTGAAATTCTGTCTGTACTACAAATACAAAAATTAGCCAGGTGTGGTGGTGGGCGTCTGTAATCCCAGCTACTCGGGAGGCTGAGGCAGGAGAAGTGCTTGAACCCAGGAGTTGGAGGCTGAAGTGAGCCAAGATCACGCCATTGCACTCCAGTTGGGCAACAGAGCAAGTCTCTGGCTCAAAAACAAAACAAAACAGAACCCAAGCTGTGCCCCAACAACCTTGGGCACATGTCTTTAGGACTTCCTGAGGCTGTGTCATGGGGCATCCTCAACCTTGACAAAATAAACTCTCTAAATAAACTGAGACCTGTCTCAGATTTTCTGGGTTTACATTTATATTTTGGCTCAAGTGAGTTATTTTGTCCTCCTTAAACAGTCCAGGGTCAAATGCAAATCACCATTTAGGAGACTAGGCAATTTTTCCATTGAAATTTGGATAATTTCTTTTTGAAAAGCAAAATTTTGCAATATAAGTTTCAGCAAAAACATCTCCTTATTAAACAATTATAGACCACCTGGACACTCCAGGGAAAGTCTAATAACATCTTAATATGTGGTTCCCAGTGTTCCTGCAGTATTTGCTATTACAAGAGTTATGTGTTCACTTCTCTTACGGAGAAATTTGTCCAGATACCTAGGAATGCAGGATCAAAAGCATACAGTCCATTCAGCTGTTAGGTATAATGGTTTAAATATTGAAAACAAGTAAAGTGAGACTCTGACCTCAAGTCTAATGGGATTTGGAAAGAGAATAAATGCAGCTATACTCTTAAGACTGCCTAAGTGGGACCGACGGTGTTCTGGGTTTCCATGGAAGGTAAGTGGAAAGAGGAATTTCTCACAATTGAGGAAAATCAAGAATCCCAATAAATCCCACTAACTTGTCTGTAATTTGGATGCCTTATCTCAACCTCCTGGGCCACTCCCTGGTCCAAGGAACCTGTGGAACATCACTGTCCTCTAATAGCCAAACCACCTGTCTTGCTGATTCGCTCCAAGGCCAGAGCATTGCTTGAGCCCAGGAGTTCAAGACCCATGTGGGCAACATACTAAGACCTCATCTCCATTAAAAATACAAAATTAGCTGGGCAGGGTGGCTTGTGCCTGTAGTCCAAGCTATTGGGACAATGAGCTGGGAGGATAGCTTGTGCCTGGGAGACTGACAAGGGTTACGGTGAGACATGATCATGGTACTGCATGGCAGCCTGGGAGAGTGAGATACTCTGTTATAAAAGGAAAAAGGAAAGGTAAAGTAAGAAAAGGTAAGAGCAGGGCATGGAGGACGAGGGCAGGGCAAATGGTCGGGTGGCAAAGGGATGGGGGGAAAAGCTGTAGGGAGGCAGAAAAGGAAAGAGAAGAGTGAAGTGGAGGGGATGGAATACGGAAGGGGAAAGGGAAGAAGAATGGGAAAGGAAGGGGAAAGGGGAGAGAAGAGGAGAAGAAAGTGGAGGAGAGAGGAGAAGAAAGGCAAGGAGGGGAGGGGAGGAGAAGAGAGGAGAGGGAAGGGCAAAAGAGAGAGGAGAGGAAAGGAAAGGACAAGGCAACAAAAAGGAAAGGAAAAAAAACAAGAGCAGAGAAAAAAAGGAGGGAAGGGAAAAATGGTAAAGAAAGGTCTTAGAAAAGGAAAAAAAGGAAAGTAGAAAGAAAAGGGTAAAAAGGAAAGGGGAAAAGAAAGGGAGAAATAAAAAAAGGAAAAAGAAAGGGGTGTAAGGAAAGAAAAAAATGAAAGGAAAAAAGGTTTAAAACACACATATTAAACAACTATAACAAAATCTCAAAGAAATATTTGTGCAGGGAAGTTCACAGAAGCATTATGCATTACAGTCAAAAGGTGGAAGCAACCTAGGTAACCATCCGCAGAGGAATAAAGTGACCTATCCATACAATGGAATAGTACTGAGCATTAAAAAAGAAAGACATTCTGAGACATGCTACCATGTTGATGAACCTGGAGAACACTATGCTGAGTGAAATAATCCAGTCACAAAAAGATAAATACTGCAGGATTCCACTTCTCTGAGGTCCCACAGTTGTGAAGCACATAGACACACAAAGTCAATGGTGGGTGCCACAGACTGGGGAAGTAGGGGAAGGAGTAGGTAGCAGGTATGGAGTTTCAGGATTACAAGACAGAAGGACTTCTGGAGGTTCGCTGCACAACACTGTGAATGTACTGTTACTGAACTGTACACTTAAAAATGGTTAAAATAATACAATTTATATTACATATATTTTAACAGTAAGAAGAAAAACACTATTCAACAAATTGCTTTTGATATTTTGACAACTGCACTGTTAATAACATTATTTGCAATTCTATTTTTTATTTGTTTTAGAAAGTGATTCTGAGACCTCTGTGGCTTCACTCAGTCACCTCAGTGACTAAAGAAAGTCAGGTGCACACATAGGTTATGGACCCTGGTGTAAAACAAAGGGGCCAATAAAGACTCTTGACCCTTTGAGTCTGAGGCTCAAAACAAGGAGTTTGGAGTTTGTGCTTGCTGCCCCACAAGGGCACAAGTTGGGGCCTCACTGAAGTTTCTGCCCCCACACTGGCTGCTGAGCCACTGGTGTTTTGAGTCTTGAGCATGAGGATAAAGGGGGCACCAG